>NT_187660.1:2783079-3084883 GCF_000001405.40 Homo sapiens | reverse complement strand
TGAGGTTTTACCATGTTGGCCAGGCTGATCTCAAACTCACGACCTCAAGTGATTCTCCTGCCTCAGCCTCCCAAAGTGCTGGGATTACAGGTGTGAGCCACTGCAGCTGGCATAAGGAGCCTGTTATAGCACTGTCTCTTCCCCTGTGATTGGGGGCTCCATGCCTCTAGCTGGGATGATGATGTCCAGACCTGAGAGGAGCCCAGGGCTACCCACCTCTAAAAGTCAGAGGGCAGGAAGCAAGAAACAGTCACAGTACTGCCCTGGATGGTGCTGGGGTCACCAGCCCCCAGGCTGGAGCTGCCTCTGGCTTGGTACCTCCCCTCCCCAGAGGCTGCTGCCTGCCTCCCAGCCCTTTTTGGATGGGGTGGAGGTTTCCGTGTCCTTCACCTCACCAAGCTTCTCCTGTAGCTCCTTTACTTGCTGCTCCAACTGCAGTGCGCTCTTGTTCTCATTGTTCTGGACAGAGAGAAGCAATCAGCAGCCACCCACTGCAGCTGGAGACCCCAGAACTTGGTGTCTGCCTCCCATGGCACTGGGAAGGCTGGAGGCCGGTTAGAAAAATCATCCCCTCTCTCCCACAGCCACCTGGCTCACAGGTGCCTTTAGAAGTAACCTTTCACATGAGGGCTACACTGCCCCATTTTAGAGGTGGGGAAACAAAGGCCCAGAGGGCTTGGGAGGGCAGGCTCCCCAGGAGGGGCAACGCACCAGCTCCTTGAAGATGCTCTGTGGCTCGGCCAGCTGCTGAAGCCTCTTATGCTGCTCCTAAAGCCTCTCCTCCTGCTTCCGAAGCCTCTCTTCCTGCTCTCGAATCCTCTCGTCTTGTCCCCAGTTCAGGAGACTTATGCGCTGATTGTTTTTGACCTGGACCTGGAGCTCTCCTGCCACTCTATCTAGTTCCTTCCTCAGGTGCTGCGGCTCCACCTCAGAGGGCACTGCTGGGGGCTCTGGAGGCAGGGGTTCAGCTGAGAAAGGAAGCAGATAATAAGGGCTTCTGGATTCTCAAACAAAACAAAACAAAACAAAAACCGTCCTCTTGGTACACAGCTCCTCTCAGGCTCCCCAAACTTGGCCTCACTGCTAATGATTCCTCACAGCCGGATGGTAGCCAGTCTTCAAAGCCACTTTCAGATAGAGAGAACTGTGGGTGGCTGACAATGGGCCCCCTTTGCTGATAAGGACCCTGAGGCTCATGGAGATGACAAGACTTGCCGTCTCCTAGCACAGACCTCTTTCCCTCTGCCTCCCTCTCCCTTCCATCCACCCACCTCCCTGGGGCATTCGAAGCCACCCTCACAGCCCTCTGATGCCAGTCCTGCTCCCAGGTCACGCCAGCCCCATCTTACCCATCTGGTTTTTGAGTTTGGACAAGCTCCTCTCCAGCCCCTCTACCCGATGTGTATAATGCTCCTTCTCTGTCTTCAGTGTGTAAACCTGCCCAAAGCACAGGGGGAAAGGGCCCTGGAGAGAGGGGCTGGAGGCTGGACAGGCTGCCCTCTCCCTCTCTGCCCCCACCTCCACAAAGCCCAGACCCATGACCACCTCTGGCTCTACTATTCCCATTTTACAGATGCCCAGAAAGATCCAGTGACCTATCTAATGTGGGGGGGCTGAAGGGTCAGATCTCACCTCCTGCGACATTTTTCTCATCCTCTGCTGCCACCGGGCCCTCTCTCCTTTTATTTGTTGAGCATAGTTATCTCTCTGTAATTGGACTTGTTGAAACGACTCCTTCAACTGCAAGAATGGGCACAGAAGTTAGGAAGGGCTGTCACTGGTCCTCACCTGCTCCTGGCCACCTGGGGTCATCTTCCTTCCACATCCCTCCCTCTGCAAAACCTCACCCGTGTTAGCTATGCCTTCAGCCGTGCCTTCTCCTGTAGGGACTGCTCTAACTCCCACTCCGTATGTGCTCTGCTGCGGCTCGAGAACTGGATGGCGAAGAGTGAGAAGTTCCAATCTGGGGAGGCCGGGACATTCCACACAGTACCCCTTAAAAGGGCCAGGGCTAGGCTCAATATACAACTCGGTCAGTAAAGATCAAGGCATTTCCAAGCCCATGGTCTGGTTTTTAAAAGAACTCAGAAAAGTTGGAAGGGACAGGGAAAGAGATCGAATTTACAGCTGGCTAACAGAGGCCCAGAGAGATCAGATAATATTGCTATGGTTATTACTGTTATTATTACCACTGTTTGAACCTTTATGGAGTGCTTCAACGAGTTCCATGCTAGCAATCCCATTTAATCCTCGCCACCATAGGAGACAGTTACTATGATGACCTCTATTGTGTAGATGAAAAAACATGGAGTATTTGAGGTTAAGTGCTTGCCTAAGATCACTTAGGCAGAGCTGGGATTTGAACACCCAGGTCTATCTGATTCTCTAAACCCATTTTTCTTGCTAGGGGTGGGGGCACAGATAGGAAGGGGAAAATTAATCTTTTGTTCACTTTTTGAAATGATGATACATTCGCATAGTCCCAAACTCAGAAAGTACAGAAGGGAAGTATCTCCCAGCCACCCTGTTGCTCTCTCCTGAATTTTTTATGAACACTTGCAGACATGTTTTATGTATATTATCATAGTATGTACACAAACATGCACACACACACACATTTCCTCTCTCTACAGAAATGGTAACATACTAAAGGTACTCTTCTGTACCTTCACAGTACAAGTACCCAATACCCCACCTAGGACTTGGCCGAGACCACAGCCAGGTAAGGGCAGGGCAGGCACTTGGCCTCCAATCTCTGTGTCCAGTGCTCACTCCCCAAAGTGCCCCCCAACTCACCCACAGCAGCTGACTCAGCCCCACGCTGCCTCTAACAACCATACAAAAAAGCAGCGAGAAATGGCCATGCTGCCTTCTGGGCAGGACACTCCAACCTGCAGAAGGGACCTTTAGGCTCGCTCCTCCATCTGTGAAGCTGGGCACCCAGGGGACAGGGCAAGTGGTTGAACTCACACTGATCTCCTTCTCCTCTGTGGTGGTGACAGCAGAGAGAGCCCGCTCTAACTCTCCTATACACTGCAATGAATATTGCAGGCAGCCCGCCAGATCCTTGGACTCTTCAGTAATGAGAGAGTTGAGATGGGGCCCAAACGACTCCCCGTGAAGACCCGTCAAAGTGCCAGGTTGAAGGATGACAGGGTGCCCAGATTCCTACCTTCAAAGTATCTGAGAGAACATTTCGTGTCATATAGGTCCGTATTTAGTTACTTTTTCTGTATGTTCAACCTCTGGATTTGAACCTTTGGGAGAAAAACCAAGCAAGTGCTGAAAGAGAAGGAAAGAAACACTCTCCCCGGAGGACAGGAGGAAGCTTCACGCCCTCCACTCACCTCTAGCTCCCTTTTGGCTTTTTGTTTCTCGTTTGCTTTTCCTATAGGAAGAGGAAGACAGAGCTCTTACCAGGGAGACGCAGAGACGGCACAGCAAGAGACATGCCCCCAGAATGCCACCAATGCCCCAGGACAGGCCCACCCATGGGACCAGGTTATCAGGGACCCTGTGGGGATGGGGTGGAATCTGAGGGGTGAGCCTCCTTCCCCAGGCTGGGAGTGGGCGAGATGAGACTGAGGCCTCTATGTCTGAGTGCCCCCCAAACCCAGCAGTCGTGTCGCGAGCAAATAAAGAAATCACGTTACTTCTTCCAGCTGATGTTCCACTTGTTTCTTCTGTTGTTTCTGTGGGAAGAGTCAAATTAAGGTGATGGAGGGTGGCCCCCTCAACTCTATTCCCCAGACAGGAAGCGGTAGGCAGGGGTCAGGAATGGATTTTAAAGGCAAAGTTCTCAGACCCAATGGGAACATGAACTGGTAAACTCTCTTCAAGCTCCCAAGGACAGAGGATTTGGGTCTTTGTTGGTTTTTGCCCACAGCCACAGAACTCAAAGTCTGAATCAGGACTCTCTTGAGAGGACAGTAACATAAACCCCTAGAGATGGAGTTTCAGAAAGGCCCCTCCTTCTGGCAGCTTGTGATTTAGAAAAGTGGGTTCACTCAATAAACGTGTACTGAGCATGTATGGGCCAGGTATGATTCTTCACAGCAGATATAGGATGGAAAAGGACAGACAGGAGCCCTTGGCCCTGGGTTTCTATTCTAGGGGGCCTTTAAATCTCGGACTCTCAGAGCTAACAGAGACCTTTGATACTCACTACCTCCTCTGGAAACACAAGACCAAAAAGGAGAGGTGGCTTGTCCAGAATCAAAGAGCAAATTAGGAACTGAGTCACAGCAGAAATACAGGGCCCCTGACAACCAGTCAGGCTAGTAATTCCCCGAGAGGCAACAACCCCAGGGCGTGTGTAGCAAGGACTCGAGCAGGGGTGTCTGGAGAGGAGAGAGTCGGCAAAGAGGGCAGCAAAAGCAGAGCCATGCTGCATGCTCTGGGGTCCCTCCAGGTGAGGCCTGGGCACCCCAGCTCCCTATTTGTCCTTGGCACCAGGGGCCCCCAGCACTTTCTTCAGGGCCCTAAGGGGAAACTGGAGCCCAGGATTGGCAGCGTGGACTCAGGGGACCCCACTGGACTCTTACCAAAGATTTGATGGTGTTCTTCAGTTGACTGATTTTTACGGACCTTGGGTTCAGGACTACTGCTGGCTCTTGGCACGGGCTCTGAGGCGCATGCAGAGAGGAGGAGGTGGAGGAGGAGTCGGGGGAGAGGTAGAGAAAACGATCATCAGGGCTGGGGTGTGTGGGCTGTCTCAGCTGGCAGAGGGGCACCCAGTCCCCACTGTGTGAGGAGGATGGAGGGCTGGCCTGCAGGGTCACTGCACCTCCGCCCAGAGCCTCCTACCTCCAGATCCTTCAGGGTAGCAGATGATGTAGGGCCCTCCCCGTGGATACCTGTTGCTGACTACAAGAGATGAGAGTGCACATGGAGATGTTCTGTCCCCCTCGGTGTCTGAGCCCTCTGACTTCCTTTCTTCCCCATCAACTGGCAACATTTTCTTTTCTGCCTATCTTGGACCCTTTGTCCCATAACTCTGTGCCAACTTCTCTCATGGTTCTTTTCTCCACATCATCCCACCCTGGGGCCCTTTCAGTGACTCCTGATGGCAAGTGACTGTTCTCATTGTCCTGGCTTTCCCTTGAGACTGGGGATGAGGAAAATCAAACAGCAATGCTGGGTGTCCTGGGTGTTTACGGCAGGCCATGTACTAGGGATTAACATAAAAACAACAAAAACAAATCTCATTTAAACTTCACAAATGGAAGTCAAACAATACCATCTCTGTTATACAGATGTAAAAAGAGAGGCCCAAAGAGCTCAAGCAACTTGCCGTAAATCATATCCCTACCAGGCGGAGAGGCAGGATGCAAACCCAGAATTCCATTTTTTTTTTTTTTTTTTTTTTTTTTTGAGACGGAGTCTCGCTCTTTCCCAGGCTAGAGTGCAGTGGCACAATCTTGGCTTACTGCAAGCTCCACCTCCTGGGTTCACGCCATTCTCCTGCCTCAGCCTCCTGAGTAGCTGGGACTACAGGCGCCCACCACCATGCCTGGCAAATTTCTTTGTATTTTTTAGTAGAGACGGGGTTTCACCATGTTAGCCAGGATGGTCTCAATCTCCTGACCTTGTGATCCACCTGCCTTGGTCTCCCAAAGTGCTAGGATTACAGGCGTGAGCCAGCACACCTGGCCAAACCCAGAATTCTTAACCATCACCCAACAGTCCATCCGTGATCTCAACAATTACCTTCTATTGCCCCTTGGGCCCCCTGTCCCCAGAAGCCTGGCCAGCCAAGACTCACATCCCCAGGTGACTGGCAACCACCAGAAGTGGCTGTCTCAGGGATACTGCCATTTGTTTTCCTGTTCCTCTTGGCTCCTTCTGGAACTCTAGGGCTGTTTTTCTGCCAATATTCTTTTAACTGTGGGAAAGAAGAGCAGTAATACTCATAAGAACTGTCAGCCCCTACAGCCACATCCTCCTTTACAGTTTTTACAAAATACTCTTATACACCATCTGATTTAACGACACCAACAACTGTACAAGGTGTTGTCACAATCATTTAGTGACTGAGAGGGATTGATATCATGGCTAGAAAAAAGAAAAAAAAAGAAAAAGGCGATACTGGGACTTTGAAACTCAGTCTTCTGACTCCAAGCTCTGGGGTTTTGCCAAGAATCAGCAGCTGCCAGGGACCAAAACCAGAGGCAGAGGTAGAAAAGTAAACATTAAGTAGGCAGGAACTGTATGCCATGTGGTTTAGAGTCATACATCCTCACACGTCTGTTAGTGTGAAGAAGTGCACCAGTACCTCTCAAACTTTTATATCAATGTGTCCTCATGGCAGAAGGCAGGCTTTTTGTTAAATCTGGGAATTTATCAGAAAGATGACAAACCAAGCCTCATTTCAGAGAGAAGTCTGGTATACTCTTAGAAGCCTATGTGACTGTCATCCCTAAGTACATTCATGTTTTTTCTCTTGATCTCAAGAGAATCAAGGGAAACTGATGCTTCAGAAAGATGTCCCACATTTATTCTGTGGCACTCAAAGTACCCAAGGTTGAGATAATATGAGGAAGATTCAAGCTGTCAAGTTCAGTTTCCCAAGATCTATTCCACAGAAGATGAGCAAATCTCACTTCAGAGACCACTGACTGAAGGGCAGTCTGGTCCCAGAACCATGGAGAATTAGAATATGAGGTGGAGAACTGAGAAAAAAGTTAAAATCTCTCTGGAAAGTAGAAGCCTGGGAGAAAACCAAACCAAACCAATTCTCCCATTGCCACCCAGAGACACTGTTAACGTTTTGAGCTCATGGGGGAAGTGTAGGCTTTTCCCACTGTCAGTGTCTATGTTAAGGGAGTAAGGCAGCCTGAAACCTCTTGCTCCTAGGTCCCATAATCTCCATTCCCTTTGCAGCTGGAAATTTGTGCTGTGACCAGAGGAATCAGAAATGGGGTGACAACGCTTAGGGGACTGGGTCATAAGATCAAAGGCTGGTCTTGCAGTAATGACAGTTCCCAGGTGGATTGTGACATCACTACATTCCACCCTCCTGGTCGTGGGGAGGGACATCAGCACGATGTCTGAGTTGCTGCTCCATGATGGGGGAGGGAAACACAGGGTTGGGACCCAGCTCCTTGGAGACGCCAGCGCAAAGAGCCCAGGGAGGTCGACCTTGAGGCAGCAGGAGGGGAGGGCAGAGTCTGCAGCAGGGAGCCTCAGGAGTCACCAGCCCAAAGTCACCCAGGGATGACTGGCGAGGGCGGGGCCTGGGGCTGGGGGACCAAGGTCCTTGGAGATGTGAGCCCAAAGAGCCCAGGGAGGTTGAGTTTGGGGCGGTAGGAGGTGAGGGCCCAGTAATGGAGTGGGAATCCCCAAGAGTCACCCACCCAAAGTCACCATGGGGTGATTGGAGAGGGCAGGGACTGGGCTGCTTGCTGAAGGGGCAGGGCTGACTGACAAGACTTTGGTGGGTGGAGCCCAGAGGCAGTCCGGTGTGCCTCAGGAGTGGTATGGACTCTGGCAGCGGTCTTGTCATCAGAGGGGATCTGTGGCTGGGTTGGGGGGTGATGACCTGGAATTTTTACCTTTGTATTGGCTACAGCCAATTTGCTCTGTCGAGTTTCTTCTGCTATTGTGGGGTGGGTAGGGAGGCAGGGTTGGGGCCACGTCAGCGAAATCCCAGTGAGCACTATCAATGCATCCAGTCACCTACCAGGCAGCCGTGTGACTGAGCCAGAGGAGGCGTAACCAGGGCTCCAGTAGAATGCAGAATAGGGGCGTGGCCTTAATGCTCCAAGCCCATTGGTCAATGACAAAGATGAAAGGGAAAGGGGGCGTGGCCGGGCCCCAGTGTGTCCAGAGGGACCTGTGGCTCACAAGGAAAGCTGCCCAGGCAACCGCTGTCCCCGCCCACTCTGTGAGAGGGGAGGGGCCAGCTTTTGCTTTAAAATTTAAAAAAAAGTGTGTATACTTTATACATACATATATATATATATACATATACATATACATATATGTGTGTTTCTGTGTATGTGTATCTATGTGTTCCTCCAGAGCTGTCTTCATTACCCAGCTTCTATGCAAGGTCTATGATTTTGGCCTATATTTTTCATCTTCAAATCCATTAAAAAAATTACCAGTATTACCTTAACTGAGATACAGATCCTATAAAAATGGAAAATCCATAGCATGCTTGATGATTAATGAAGAAGACTATATTATCCAACATTCCAGTAAGATAAAATAATCACAGTGATTCTCTTTTTTGGAAAAATGTTTATCTTATTCTCCTACGTTACTGTTAAGATTTTTTTTCTTAAACAAGAAACATGTCTAATATCTGTAAAAACACAAAGCTTTTGGGGCGGATGCAGTGGCTCACGCCTGTAATCGCAGCACTTTGGGAGCCCAAGGCGGGTGGATCACCTGAGGTCAGGAGTTTGAGACCAGCCTGGCCAACATGGTGAAACCCCATCTCTACTAAAAGTACAAAAACTAGCCAGGCGTGGTGGTGGGTGCCTGTAATCCCAGCTATTCGGGAGGCTGAGGCAGGAGAATCACTTGAACCCAGGAGATGGAGGTTGCAGTGAGCCAAACTCATGCCACTGCACTCCAGCCTGGGTGACAGAGTGAGACTCCATCTCAAAAGAAATAAAATAAAATACAAAGTAAATTTTAAAAGCTTTCAATTTAATAAGCACTCAAAGCTCTTTACCAATTTAAAACAAATACAAGGTCCATTTTTCTAGAATCACTTGGCTTCTCTAAGCCTTGCAAATGAAACTGAATTTCTCACTTGATACTTGGCTATGACTTACAATCATGAAAACCAAGAATTGTGTTATGTCACTGTGTACTGCTTGTTACCTGAATTTCACACGAGGCTGGGATCAAGGGTTGAATCTTTCATGATTTGCTCCATAACCTGTGTGCTTCTTATGCCAGACCAAACTAAGCTTTTGTTTAGAGTGCTACAGTTTACAGTTAGTAGACAAGAGTGGTTCTCAGTAATGTAGTCTCTGGACTAGCAGCAGCAGCAGCAGCAGCAGCAGCACCTGAGAACTTTCTGTAAGTGCAAATTCTCAGGCCCTACCCTGGACGTGGTGAATCAGAATCTCTGGAGTAGGACTCAGCAATCTGTGCCGCAGTAATCCCTCCAGGTGCTCAGGAACCTCTGCCATACAGCAGGTAGAAAAATGTGTTTCTTCTGTAGGTCCAAAGCCAGGGATACTATATATTCTATCTCGATATGAAACAATGACATGCAATTAAAACACTTAACTCTCCTTCCTACTCCCACCCTCCATCCAATGTGTTTTATTTTTATGAGTTCAATAAGAAAACAAGTGGCAGTCAGAAGTTTAGTCTAAAAAACATATTTACAAGTATTAGTTCTCATCCAGCCTGACTTCATACAAAACCATTTACATCCTCTTACAGCTAAAATTTTAAAAAAGTATCTTCACAATATAAGTCTCAGGCACAGTAGGAGTTCTATAATAAAACACCAAGTAGATTGGAATGTCCAAACTTACTAGAGAAGAAAAGTGGAATCATTGGCTATATTTTCAAATTGCATTCCAAGGAAATTTAAGTTCTGAATTTTTTTCACCTTCATACTTCCAAGTTAATAGAATTCAACCAGAACACTCCATTCCTTCAAAGCCTCTAGCCAGGCAAAGTTTTACTGTATTACTTCTTGCTTTCAATGGATATAAAGCAGCGTCCTGGTAGGCACATTTTGTGTGCCTGCAAAGATGCAGAACTAAACAGTTCTGTCTGTTCCATATTAACACAAAAGTCCTATAAACCTTGGATGGTGAGTGTAATACTTCAGCACTAGCACCAAAGCCTCAAATATGAAAAGATACCAAGAACATCACTAGCAAAGAAAATTAAACTCTCAGCCAGGAGCAGTAGTACACATCTGTAATCCTAGTACTTTGACAAGCCAAGGTGGGAGGATTACTTGACGTCAGGAGTTCAAGACAAGCCTGGGAAGCATAGCGAATTCACATCTCTACAAAAAATTTTAAAAAACAGCTGGGCATGGTGGCACACACCTGTAGTCCTAGCTAGTCAGCAGGCTGAGGTGGGAAAACTGCTTCTGCCCAGGAGTTCGAGGCTGCAGTAGCTATGATTATGGCACTGCACTCCAGCCTGGGTGACATAGCGAGACCTAGATAATTACATTCTCTCCTGCTCCTGTTTACACAAAAATCACTAAGTTAAAAAGCTTTCAAATTTGGCAGGATAAAAATGAAGTGAAATGTGACTTTGGAGTTTGGAGGGAGAAGGAAGAAAGGAAGGAAGGAGGGAGGGAAGGAGGGAGGGAAGGAGGGAGGGAGTGAAGGGGAAAAGGAAAAAGAAAAGAAGGAAGGAAAGAAAGAAAGAAAAGGAAAAAAGGAAGGAAAGAAAGGAAAGAAAAAAGAAAGGAAAGGAAAAAAAGGAAAGGGAAGGGTAGGAAGAAAGAATAGAAAAAATAAAATGAAATGACAAATTACTTACTAGGAGAAAGTTTTTGTAACCTCAGTGACAAATAAAAAGTTTGTATCCTTAGCCTATAAAGAAATGTTTAAAATTACTCAGAAACAAAAAACAAATGATTTTCAACAAAAAATGGGCAATAGAGAAACAGGCACTACTCACAAAAATAAAAATGGCCAATAGGTATATAAAAAAGATTCAAAAGCACTAGAAATCAAGGAAATGTCATGAAAACAATGACATTTTCTGTATAAAGGCACAACGATGACAAATGGAAGGGGGAACCTGGAGCTCTGTCCCTGTTGGTGGGAGTATAAACTTAGCCACTTTTCCTGGAGGATAATTTGAAAATTTCTATTAAAGACCCTAAAAATTATTACCCTCCAGAAATTCTACTTCTATGAATTCAGTCCAAAAATGCTTGCTCGAGTCCATTAAAATGTGTATATAAGAAAATTCACCTCTGGGGTGCCAATGATTAACTTAATATACATCCAGCTATTAAAAATGATGATGCCAGGATATATTTACTGCCACAGAAATATGCCCAAAATATAGTTAGTGACAAAAGATTATCTATTATGATTCTACTTTTCAAAATGTTTACATGTATAAAAAGATATAAAAAGCAACACACCGGCTGGGCGCGGTGGCTCACGCCTGTAATCCCAGCACTTTGGCAGGCCGAAGGGGGCGGATCACGAGGTCAGGTGATCCAGACCGTCCTGGCTGACACGGTGAAACCCCGTCTCTACTAAAAATACAAAAAAAATTAGCTGGGTGTGGTGGCGGGTGCCTGTAGTCCCAGCTACTCAGTAGGCTGAGGCAGGTGAATGGCGTCAACCCGGGAGGCAGAGCTTCCAGTGAGCTGAGATTGTGCCACTGCACTCCAGCCTGGGCAATAAAGCGAGACTCCATCTCCAAAAAAAAAAAAGCAACAAACTGGAATGTTTTGAGTGGCAAATTAAAGATTTTTCTTAATATTTGTCATCCAACTTATTTTAAAAAGAATGTGATTTCCTTTGTAATCAGGGAGAAGTGTTATTTTCATTTATTTATGTTTAAATCTCTTTTTCTTATTTTTTCTCCCGTATGTATCCCATGTAGGCTAGAATCCCTTCCTCTTCAGGGAAACCAGCCTATTTTTGGGAAGTGCACTACGTAAAGCTGCCCCATCTTCATTTATTTTAAGAGATCTGGAGACATTTTTATTTCAAATTGTTTTATTGTTCTCAGAATATTTTTTTTAATATATGAAATTGAGGAAAAGACAAAGGAAAGGCTGACTCCCTACCCTACTGGGGCTACTCTTCCAATTTTTGCTGCTATTGGTTATGTATTAATATTCACTGGGTATAAAAAGATGGGCAGCCCCTTAGATCCTTTGTTCTTATCTCTTTCTCATAATCCTACTTCATTCCTCCATTCACTTATTTTTAAAAGGGTCATGTGTACAAGTACATAGTTCAGAAAATTTTTAAATATAACCATAAAAGTGTGCAGTAAAATCCCATTCACAGTCTTATACTCCTTCCACAGCCAAACACTTTTAATTGGTTTCTTATGTATCTTTTCAGAATTTATCTTTGCAAATACACATGTATATTCTTATTCTACTCTTCTCTACAACACAAAAAGTAGCATACCACACATATGATACCATTCCTTTTTCCTCTGGAGAAAAACACACACAATATATCCGGGTTCTCCTAGACGAGTACAGAGTCTTTCTCATTCTTCTTTTCATCTGCACAGTATGCATCATTTGGATGTACCACAGTTTACTTAACCAGTTCCCTGTTGGCGGACACTGAAATCATCCCTATCATACTATTTATAGGCAATAATGCCAAGCATAGCCACCTACACACACCAAGTTCATTTCTGAATCTGCCTTTGATGAAGCTTCTGTTTGAATCACCACAAGGTCACAAGGCTGAAAAGTTAGTCCCTGTTTTAGTTTTCATTATGTACAGCAGTATGTAGCAAAAGACTCCCTTGGGCAAAGCAAACATACTCTTTGGGGATTTACTTCCTAACAGTAAATGGATAAACAGAACACCAAGGAGAACCATAAAAATTAAAAATATTAGCTGAGTGTGGACCTATAGTCCTACCTACTTAGAATCATTTGAGCCTAGGAGTTTGAGGCTGTAGTGAGCTATGACTGTGCTACTGCATTCCAGCCTGGGCAACAGGGTGAGACTCCATCTCTAAAAATAAAATTTAAAAATAAATAAAGGCCAGGTGTGGTGGTTTATACCTATAATCCCAGCACTATGGGAGGGCTAGGTGGGAGAGTCACTTGGGGCCAAGAGTTCGAGACCAGTCCGGGCAACATAACGAGACTCCATCGCTACAAAAAAATTTTAAAATTAGCCCAGTGTAGTGGTGCACACCTGTAGTCCCAGCTACTCTGGAGGTTGAGACAGAAGGATTGGTTGAGCCCAGGAGCTCGAGGCTGCAGTGAGCTATGATCACACTATTGCCCTCTAGCCTGGGCAACAGAGCAAGACCCTGTCTCAAATGAATGAATGAATGAATGAATGAATGAATGGAATAATGGCCCATGCTCAGCAAGACACATTACTGACTTTTTAATGTGAGGGGGGGAGAAGAGGAAATAAGCCAACTAACATTTCCATAGCTGTAAAAATGAGAACTAGCCCAACAGTGTGAATGGACTGATGCCACAGAACTATACACTATTAAGTTAAAATGGTCAATTTTATGTTTTCTTTATTTATCTTACATATAACCACAAGTTTATTTTATTTTTGTCTTAAATTTTTTTAAAAAAGAGATAGGGTCTCATTAAGTTGCCTAGGCTGGTCTTGAACTCCTAAGCTCAAGCTATCCTCCTGCTTTCACCTCCCAAAGTGCTGGGATTAGAGGTGTGAGCCACCACTCCTGGCCATTGCCACAACATTAAAGAAAGAGACAGAGAACAGACCACATTCTTGACTATTAGGTAATGCAACTTTATTTCAACAAAGGAGAGTAAAGGCAATAAAATCCCACACACCTGGAAAGTTTTAAACCAGCTCACAAACAATCCTAGATGGAAGGAAAATTTTAAAAGGAGACCTGAAACAGTCTGTAACAATAACGGAAACATTACATGTCAGAACTAATGGGCTATTGCTAACACTACATCGAAAGGAAAGTTCATAGCCTTAAATGATTCAATAATGACACAAGAAAGAAACAAAGAAAATGAAGTTACAAAACAATAAAAAGCTGGGGTACAGAACTAGGGATAAAAAGCCGTTTCTCTTTCCCAATAAATAAAGACAGGGCAGTGTCTTTCCTATACCCAGCCAGTATATGATATATAAATATAATTTCATAAATGTTAACTATAAAGAATTGGACCTATAGTGGAGAGCTAACTTAACTAATAAACACATTAGCTGAATGTGATGAAGAATTCAAAGGAACTGTCAGCTGTCATCTTATTGCAGTGCTTTTAAAATTAAATGTGTCTGTCTCTTACTGTTAATGTTTTCATTATGTTTTCTATTTTACACTAATATCAATTAATCTTCCTCAAATTTATAGATGTATTCTCAGTCAACATCCCAATAGGTAAACTAAAGTTGATTTTAGAAATTACATGCAAATGAAAAAGGGCAAACATAAATTCTTGAAAAAAGATATTAATGGTAGGCCAAAACATTGCATATATTGAAAATATATATTAAAAGTAAAGACTATTAATTGAGATAGTGTGGCACAGAGATAAGTAGGCCAACACAACCAAATAGAGCCTAGAAAGAGACATGTCCATTGATGTGACAGAGGTGACACTGCAGAGCAGGGGAGAGAAGACACACTTTGACTCCGTGATATGGGGAAACTGATTATCTGTATTTATTTTTAAAATAAAAAACAGAACTAAACATAGCACCACACACAAATATAATTTTAGTCTCCATGCCTACTTTCCAACAAACAGCACCAAAATTAACATCTGAAATATATTGCAGTGTTTTAAAAATTAAATGTGTCTATCTCTTGCTGTTAATGTTTTCATTGAGTATGTTTTCTATTTTATACTTAAACATTAGTTGTTTCACATTTGTGGATTGATCTTTCCTCTAAGGGCTTCAAGGTACCTGGAATTTTTTTTTTAACACATTTTATTGTTTTAGTAATTCACTGAATCAAGAACGTAGGATTTTCATTTCTTGCAGTATGGTGGGCAAGCTACCTGGACAACCCTATCCCTCTGAAAGCAACTAAAAATACTGTATATAAAATTTGAAAAAAACAAACAAACAAAAAAAAACCTTAAAAACATCTATAAAGTAGCACCAAATTCTTTTTTTTTTTTTAGATGGATTCTTCTCTGTTGCCCAGGCTGGAGTGCAGTGGCACAATGTCGGCTCACTGCAACCTCTACCTCCTGGGTTCAAGCAATTCTTCTGCCTCGGCCTCCGGAGTAGCTGAGATTACAGGCGCGTGCCACCACGCCTGGCTAATTTTTGTATTTTTAGTAGAGACGGGGTTTCACCATGTTGGACAGGCTGGTCTTGAACTCCTGACCTTTTGATCTGCCCGCCTCGGCCTCCGAAAGTGCTGGGATTACAGGTGTGAGCCACTGCACCTGGCCTATACATCTTTTTTTAACAGTGTATAACTCTAATTTATCACAGTTGACTTTCAAGTAATGATATACAAATTCATATATATGAACCGCATGTATATTAGAGCTTTGTATCATAGCCTTATTTATATAATGTACATAATGATATGCAAATTCCTAAGAACCTCACACCAGAATAATCTAGCATTCTCCTTCTACCCTTCCTAATATTGTCATACATTTTATGTCTACATATGTTATAAAGCTCACAATTCGTTGTTGTTATTTCTGCTTTAAACAGCTATGTTTGGCTGGGCATAGTGGCTCATGCTTGTCATCTCAGCACTCTGTGAAGCCAAGGCAGGAGGATTACTTGAGACCAGGAGTTCAAGATCAGCCTGGGCAACATAATGAGACCTTATCTCTATTAAAAATTAAAAAAAAATTAGCTGGGCATGGTGGCACATGTCTGTTGTCGCAGCTGCTTGGGAGGCTGAGGTGGAAAGATTGCTTGAGCCTGGGAGATTGAGACTGCAGTGAGCTGTAATCCTGCCACTGTACGTCAGTGTGGGTGACACAGTGAGACCCTGTGTCTCAAAAAGAAAAACAACAGCAGCTTATGTTTAAAATAGGTTCAAAAATTAAGGAAAACAATTCATTATATTTATTCACATATTTACTTTTTTATTCTTTGTTTTTTTGTATAGATTTAATTTTCTTCTCATCATTTTTTTCTGCCTGAATAATTTCCTTCAATATTTTTGTAGTGCAATTCTGCTGGTGATGAATTTTCTCAATTTTTGTATGTAAGAATGCAGCCCGCCATGCTCGAGACCCCCTCTCCCCTCGGTGGGCTCCGACGCCGCCCGAGCCTCCCAAACAGGCGCGGCCCCCTGCTCCGCAGCGCCAGGTCCCATTGACCGCCCAAGGGCCAAGGAGTGCAGGCGCATGGTGCCGGACTGGCGGGCAGCTCCACCCACAGCCCTGGCGTGGGATCCACTAGGTGAAGCCAGGTGGGCTCCTGAGTCAGGTGTGGACTTGGAGAACTTTTATGTCTAGCCAGAGGATTGTATATGCACCAGTCAGCACTCTGTGTCTAGCTTGGGGTTCGTGGATGCACCAATCAGCAGTCTGTATCTAGCTAATCTGGTGGGGACTTGGAGAACTTTTATGTCTAGCTAAAGGATTGTAAATGCACCAATCAGCACTCTGTGTCTAGCTCAAGGTTTGCAAATGCACCAATCAGCACTCTGTCTAGCTAATCTAGTGGGGACTTGGAGAACTTTTATGTCTAGCTAAAGGATTGTAAATGGACCAGTCAGCACTCTGTGTCTAGCTTGGGGTTTGTGGATGTATCAATCAGCACTCTGTATCTAGCTAATCTGGTGGGGACTTGGAGAACTTGTGTGGCTAAAGGGTTTTAAATGCACCAATTTGTTTAGTGACCTTGTAGTTGCACAGTTAGGGAATTAGAGTTTTATAATGCCTGGGAAGGGAGAAGAGATAAGGCTCACTAGCCATAGAAAAACAGGCAGTTTCTTTTAAAGGACTCCAGCTCTTTCTCATTCTCAGGGGGAAATGGTTTTTTTTTTTGTTTTTTTTTTTTAACATACAACTGTTTTTGCTTACACATTTTTAAATGTCTTTTAATTCCTGTTCCAATCCCAGCACCCAGAGAGGCTGAGGCAGGCACATAACTTGAGGTCAGGAGATTGAGACCAGCCTGACTAACATGGAGAAACCCCATCTCCACCAAAAAAAAAAAAAAAAAAAAAAAAAGCAAAATTAGCTGAGCATGCCTGCAGTCCCACCCACTCGGGAGGCTGAGGCAGGAGAACCACCCAAACCCAGGAGGCAGATGCCCAGGTGAGCCAAGACCTCACCACTGCACTCCAGCTTGGTCAACAAGAGTGAAACTCTGTCAAAATAAATAAATAAATAAATAATAAAAACATAAATAAAATAAAAAGAGTAATCTTAGTTCTCAGGAGATCTGGCTGTTAAAAAGAATCTGGCACCTCCCTCCTCTCTCTTTCTGTCTCTCTCACCATGTGATGTCTACTCCCCTTCACCTTCTGCCATGAGTGGAAGCAGCCTGAAGCCCTCACCAGAAGCAGATGCTGGCACCATGCTTCTTCTATAGCCTGCAGAACTGTTAGCCAAATAAACCTCTTTTCTTTATAAATTATCCTGCCTCAGGTATTCCTTTATAACAAAGCAAAACAGGCTAACACAGGCATTACTGGTGGGATAGGCACAGATTGATAGCCAGGTGTGGTGGCTCATGCCTGTAATCCCAGCACTTTGGGAGGCCAAGTTGGGGGGATCACTTGAGGTCAGGAGTTCAAGACCAGCCTGGCCAACATGAGGAAACCTCATCTCTATGAAAAATACAAAAATTAGCCAGGTGTGGTGGCACATGCCTGTAATCCCCAGCTACTTGGGAGGCTGAGGCAGGAGAATCACTTGAACCTGAGAGGCGGAAGTTGCAGTGAACCGATCACACCACTGCACTCCAGCCTGGGTGACAGAGCAAGACTCTGTCTCAAAAAAAAAAAAAAAAAAAAAAGGCTTATCTAGATGTAGATTCACCTCTTGCTCCCCTCTAGTTTTCTATAAAATCACCCCAATCTGGCTCCCATCTCAATTTGTTATTTACGAGTCACTGATAACTCCATCTTACCAAATCCAAAGAAATGTCTATTTTATTATTATTATTATACTTTAAGTTTTAGGGTACATGTGCACAACGTGCAGGTTGGTTACATATGTATACATGTGCCATGTTGGTGTGCTGCACCCATTAACTCGTCATTTAGCATGAGTTATATCTCCTAATGCTATCCCTCCCCCCTCCCCCCATCCCACAACAGGCCCCAGTGTGTGATGTTCCCCTTCCTGTGTCCATGTGTTCTCATTGTTCAATTCCCACCTATGAGTGAGAACATGCAGTGGTTGGTTTTTTGTCCTTGCGATAGTTTGCTCAGAATGATGGTTTCCAGCTTCATCCACGTCCCTACAAAGGACATGAACTCATCACTTTTTATGGCTGCATAGTATTCCATGGTGTATATGTGCCACATTTTCTTAATCCAGTCTATCATTGTTGGACATTTGGGTTGGTTCCAAGTCTTTGCTGTTGTGAATAGTGCTGCAATAAACATATGTGTGCATGTGTCTTTATAGCAGCATGATTTGTAATCCTTTGGGTATATACCCAGTAATGGGATGGCTGGATCAAATGGTATTTCTAGTTCTAGATCCCTGAGGAATTGCCACACTGACTTCCACAATGGTTGAACTAGTTTACGTTATGGTCCCACCCACAGTGTAAAAGTGTTCCTATTTCTCCACATCCTCTCCAGCACCTGTTGTTTCCTGACTTTTTAATGATTGCCATTCTAACTGGTGTGAGATGGTATCTCATTGTGGTTTTGATTTGCATTTCTCTGATGGCCAGTGATAGTGAGCATTTTTTCATGTGTTTTTTGGCTGCATAAATGTCTTCTTTTGAGAAGTGTCTGTTCATATCCTTTGCCCAATTTTGATGGGGTTGTTTTTTTCTTGTAAATTTGTTGGAGTTCATTGTAGATTCTGGATATTAGCCCTTTGTCAGATGAGTAGGTTGCAAAAATTTTCTCCCATTCTGTAGGTTGCCTGTTCACACTGAAGGTGGTTTCCTTTGCTGTGCAGAAGCTCTTTAGCGTAATTAGATCCCATTTGTCAATTTTGGCTTTTGTTGCCATTGCTTTTGGTGTTTTAGACATGAAGTCCTTGCCCATGCCTATGTCCTGAATGGTATTGCCTAGGTTTTCTTCTAGGGTTTTTATGGTTTTAGATCTAATATTTAAGTCTTTAATCCATCCTGAATTAATTTTTGTATAAGGTGTAAGGAAGGGATCCAGTTTCAGCTTTCTACATATGGCTAGCCAATCTTCCCAGCACCATTTATTAAATAGGGAATTGTTTCCCCATTTCTTATTTTTGTCAGATTCGTCAAAGATCAGATAGTTGTAGATATGCAGCATCATTTCTGAGGGCTCTGTTCTGTTCCATTGGTCTATATCTCTGTTTTGGTACCAGTACCAAAACAGAGTTACTGTAGCCTTGTAGTATAGTTTGAAGTCAGGTAGTGTGATGCCTCCAGCTTTGTTCTTTTGGCTTAGGATTGACTTGGCAATGAGGGCTCTTTTTTGGTTCCATATGAACTTTAAAGTAGTTTTTTCCAATTCTGTGAAGAAAGTCATTGGTAGCTTGGTGGGGATGGCATTGAATCTATAAATTACCTTGGGTAGTATGGCCATTTTCACAATATTGATTCTTCCTACCCATGAGCATGGAATGTTCTTCCAATTGTTTGTATCCTCTTTTATTTCATTGAGCAGTGGTTTGTAGTTCTCCTTGAAGAGGTCCTTCACATCCCTTGTAAGTTGGATTCCCAGATATTTTATTCTCTTTGAAGCAATTGTGAATGGGAGTTCACTCATGATTTGGCTCTCTGTTTGTCTGTTATTGGTGTATAAGAATGCTTTGTGATTTTTGCACATTGATTTTGTATCCTGAGACTTTGCTGAAGTTGCTTATCAGCTTAAGGAGATTTTGGGCTGAGACAGTGGGGTTTTCTAGATATACAATCATGTTATCTGCAAACAGGGACAATTTGACTTCCTCTTTTCCTAATTGAATGCTCTTTATTTCTTTCTCCTGCCTGATTGCCCCGGCCAGAACTCCCAACACTATGTAGAATAGGAGTGGTAAGAGAGGGCATCCCTGTCTTGTGCCAGTTTTTGAAGGGAATGCTTCCAGTTTTTGCCCATTCAGTATGATATTGGCTGTGGGTTTGTCATAAATAGCTCTTATTATTTTGAGATACGTCCCATCAATACCTAATTTATTGAGAGTTTTTAGCATGAACGGCTGCTGAATTTTGTCAAAGGCCTTTTCTGCATCTATTGAGATAATCATGTTGTTTTTGTCTTTGGTTCTGTTTATATACTGGATTACGCTTATTGATTTGTGTATGTTGAACCAGCCTTGCATGCCAGGGATGAAGCCCACTTGATCATGGTGGATAAGCTTTTTGATGTGCTAATGGATTCGGTTTGCCAGTATTTTATCGAGGATTTTTGCATCGATGTTCATCAGGGATATTAGTCTAAAATTCTCTTTTTTGCGTGTGTCTCTGCCAGGCTTTGGTATCAGGATGATGCTGGCCTCATAAAATGAGTTAGGAAGGATTCCCTCTTTTTCTATTGATTGGAATAGTTTCAGAAGGAATGGTACCAGCTTCTCCTTGTACCTCTGGTAGAAATTAGCTGTGAATCCGTCTGGTCCTGGACTTTTTTTGTTTGGTAGCCTATTAATTATTGCCTCAATTTCAGAGCCTGGTATTGGTCTATTCAGAGATTCAGCTTCTTCCTGGTTTAGTCTTGGGAGGGTGTATGTGTCCAGGAATTTATCCATTTCTTCTAGATTTTCTGGTTTATTTGTGTAGAGGTGTTTATAGTATTCTCTGATGGTAGTTTGTATTTCTGTGGGATTGGTGGTGATATCCCCTTTATCATTTTTTATTGCGTCTATTTGATTCTTCTCTCTTTTCTTCTTTATTAGTCTTGCTAGCAGTCTATCAATTTTGTTGATCTTTTCAAAAAACCAGCTCCTGGATTCATTGATTTTTTGAAGGGTTTTTGGTGTCTCTATCTCCTTCAGTTCTGCTCTGATCTTAGTTACTATTTCTTGCCTTCTGCTAGCTTTTCAATGTGTTTGCTCTTGCTTCTCTAGTTCTTTTAATTGTGATGTTAGGGTGTCAATTTTGGATCTTTCCTGCTTTCTCTTGTGGGCATTTAGTGCTATAAATTTCTCTCTACACACTGCTTTAAATGTGTCCCAGAGATTCTGGTATGTTGTGTCTTTATTCTCACTGGTTTCAAAGAACACCTTTATTTCTGCCTTCATTTCATTATGTACCCCATAGTCATTCAGAAGCAGGTTGTTCGGTTTCCATGTAGTTGAGCGGTTTTGAGTGAGTTTCTTAATCCTGAGTTCTAGTTTGATTGCACTGTGGTCTGAGAGACAGTTTGCTATAATTTCTGTTCTGTTACATTTGCTGAGGAGTGCTTTACTTCCAATTATGTGTTCAATTTTGGAATAAGTGTGATGTGCTGAGAAGAATGTATATTCTGTTGATTTTGGGGTGGAGAGTTCTGTAGATGTCTATTAGTTCTGCTTGGTGCAGAGCTGAGTTCAGTTCCTGGATATCCTAGTTAACTTTCTGTCTCATTGATCTGTCTAATGTTGACAGTGGGGTGTTAAAGTCTCCCATTATTATTGTGTGGGAGTCTAAGTCTCTTTGTAGGTCTCTAAGGACTTGCTTTATGAATCTGGGTGCTCCTGTATTGGGTGCATATATATTTAGGATAGTTAGCTCTTCTTGTTGAATTGATCCCTTTACCATTATGTAATGGCCTTCTTTGTCTCTTTTGATCTTTGTTGGTTTAAAGTCTATTTTATCAGAGACGAGGATTGCAACCCCTACCTTTTTTTGTTTTCCATTTGCTTGGTAGATCTTCCTCCATCCCTTTATTTGGAGCCTATGTGTGTCTCTGCATGTGAGATGTATTTCCTGAATACAGCACACTGAGTCTTGACTCTTTATCCAATTTGCCAGTCTGTGTCTTTTAATTGGAGCATTTAGCCCATTTACATTTAAAGTTAATATTGTTATGTGTGAATCTGATACTGTCATTATGATGTTAGCTGGTTATTTTGCTCGTTAGTTGATGCAGTTTCTTCCTAGCATCAATGGTCTTTTCAATTTGGCATGTTTTTGCAGTGACTGTACCAGTTGTTCCTTTCCACATTTAGTGCTTCCTTCAGGAGCTCTTGTAGGGCAGGTCTGGTGGTGGCAAAATCTCTCAGCATTTGCTTGTCTGTAAAGGATTTTATTTCTCCTTCACTTATGAAGATTAGTTTCACAGGATATGAAATTCTGGGTTGAAAATTCTTTTCTTCAAGAATGGTGAATATTGGCCCCCACTCTCTTCTGGCTTGTAGAGTTTCTGCTGAGAGATCAGCTGTTAGTCTGATGGGCTTCCCTTTGTGGGTAACCTGACTTTTCTCTCTGGATGCCCTTAACATTTTTTCCTTCATTTCAACTTTGGTGAATCTGACAATTATGTGTCTTGGAGTAGCTCTTCTCAAGGAGTATCTTTGTGGTGTTCTCTGTATTTCCTGAATTTGAATGCTGGCCTGCCTTGCTAGGTTGGGGAAGTTCTCCTGGATAATATCCTGCAGAGTGTTTTCCAACTTGGTTTCATTCTCCCCCTCACTTTCAGGTACACCAATCAGACGTGGATTTGGTCTTTTCACATAGTCCCATATTTCTTGGAGGCTTTGTTTGTTTCTTTTTATTCTTTTTTCTCTAAGCTTCTCTTCTCCCTTCATTTCATTCATTTGATCTTCAATCACTGATACCCTTTCTTCCAGTTGATCGAATCAGCTACTGAAGCTTCTGTATTCGTCACGCAGTTCTCGTGCCATGGTTTTCACCTCCATCAGGTCATTTAAGGACTTCTCTGCACTGGTTATTCTAGTTAGCTATTCGTCTAATCTTTTTTCAAGGTTTTTAACTTCTTTGCAATGGGTTCAAACTTCCTCCTTTAGCTCAGAAAAGTTTGATCATCTGAAGCCTTCTTATTTCAACTCGTCAAAGTCATTCTCCATCCAGCTTTGTTCCATTGCTCGTGAGGAGCTGCGTTCCTTTGGAGGAGGAGAGGTGCTCTGATTTTTAGAATTTTCAGTTTTTCTGCTCTGTTTTTTCTCTATCTTTGTGGTTTTATCTACCTTTGGTCTTTGATGATGGTGACATACAGATGGGGTTTTGGTGTGGATGTCCTTTCTGCTCAGTTTTTCTGCTCTGTTTTTTCTCTATCTTTGTGGTTTTATCTACCTTTGGTCTTTGATGATGGTGACATACAGATGGGGTTTTGGTGTGGATGTCCTTTCTGCTTGTTAGTTTTCCTTCTAACAGTCAGGACCCTCAGCTGCAGGTCTGTTGGAGTTTGCTGGAGGTCCACTCCAGACCCTGTTTGCCTGGGTATCAGCAGCGGAGGCTGCAGAACAGCAAATATTGCTGAACAGCAAACGTTGCTGCCTGATCATTCCTCTGGAAGTTGCGTCTCAGAGGGGTACCTAGCTGTGTGAGGTGTCAGTCTGCTCCTACTGGGGGGGTGCCTCCCAGTTTGGCTACTCGGAGGTCAGGGACCCACTTGAGGAGGCAGTCTGTCCGTTCTCAGATCTCAAACTCCATGCTGGGAGAACCACTACTCTCTTTAAAGCTGTCAGGGACATTTAAGTCTGCAGAGGTTTCTGCTGCCTTTTGTTCGGCTATGCCCTGCCCCCGGAGGTGGAGTCTACAGAGGCAGGCAGGCCTCCTTGAGCTGCAGTGGGATCCACCCAGTTCGAGCTTCCCGGCCGCTTTGTTTACCTACTCAAGCCTCACCAATGGCAGGCGCCCCTCCCCTAGCCTCGCTGCTGTCTTGCAGTTTGATCTCAGACTGCTGTGCTAGCAATGAGCGAGGCTCCGTGGGCATGGGACCCTCTGAGCCATGCATGGGATATAATCTCCTGGTGTGCCATTTGCTAAGACCATTGGAAAAGCGCAGTATTAGGGTGGGAGTGACCTGATTTTCCAGGTGCCATCTGTCACAGCTTTGCTTGGCTAGGAAAGGGAATTCCCTGACCCCTTGCACTTCCCGGGTGAGGCGATGCTTCGCCCTGCTTCGGCTCATGCTCGGTGTGCTGCACCCACTGTCTGACAAGCCCCAGTGAGATGAACCCGGTACCTCAGTTGGAAATGCAGAAATCACCTGTCTTCTGCGTCGCTCACGCTGGGAGCTATAGACTGGAGCTGTTCCTATTCGGCCAACTTGGAACTGCCCCACCGATTTGATTTCAATGATATTTGCACCGATGCTATATTTTCTGAGAATTCATTAAGTTGTACAGTTATGTTGTGATTTCTAGAGGTATGCAATACTTCAGTAAGAAACTTTGAAATATTTTGACTTTGTCTTGTTGGCTTTGCTTTGTAGTAGGTTTTGCAGTGTGAATGTAAGGTGGCTACTTGGAATATATTTGATGTTAAAAAGCTGTTACTTTATAACAAAACATAAACAAGCAGGAACTGAGCACATGGACATGTAGTTTTATATACTTGCACCATTTAGATTAGTCCGACCATTATGATTCACTCTTAGTACAAATTTAACATTAAATTAAAATCAGTGGTGTTTATTCCTAGAGGCCTGATTATAATCGGCAAAATAATTCATGCTAAAAGCTGCAAGATTGCAAGGTAAGCATCAATATTTTACAAGAAACCATGGAGAATACTATCCAAGGAGTCACCATGACTAGTTAGGCAGAGGACACATAGAAGCAGAAGGAAGAAAACTTTCCAAATATCAAGAAATAAAAACAAAACGATGATAAAGCTGGCTTTTTCAAAGGGCTTCTCAGTGGTGTACTGGGTTGGCCCCAGAGGGACTTTGGCAAATCTAGTCCTCAAAAGTAAAATGAGAAAATGACCATTGATGAAGGGCATGAAATTGCATTTTGTATGGAAATATTCATAACTGTCCTCTGTTCAGGCCCTATTATGTTCCATTTCAGTGTTGCGGATACCTTGTTTCATTCATTCATACCACCATTTTATAACTGCAGAAACTAAGGCTTGGCAAGTTAAACTACTTGGTTCAGGAACCCCAGCAGGTCAGAGAAGGGTGATAAGTCAGACTCAGGATGTTCTGACTGGCTTCAGCAAACTGCACAGAAACACATGGGCTCCCTGCTACTCCTATGGGTCCTGATTACAATCTGCCTCCCTGAGGCGGCTGCTTCCACCTTCTCCCCACGGGGTGGCCACCCTCCAAGATAGCCCCCAAGGATCCTTCTGTGTGGCCCCCTCCACTTTGTACTAGGGTTAGTCTGTATGACCGATGGATTATAGCCCATGCGATGGGATGTCACTTCCGAGATTACTCCATGACAGACTGTGGCTTCCATCGTAAGCTGTCTCTTTATCTCTCTCTGATCACTTGCTCTGAGGGAAGTCAACTGATGCCTTACGAGGTTGCCCAGGCAGCCAGGGAAGAGGCTGTGGTGAGGCTCTGAGGTCTCCTGCTGACCGCCAGTGAAGAACTGAGGCCACCAGCAGCCCTGCGAGTGGGGATGGAAGAAGGTCCTGCAGCCCCAGCTGGACTGCAACCTCGAGAAGGACCGTGAGCCAGTTACGCCACGCTTGGATTTATGAGCCTCAGAAATGGTGTAAGAAATATATGATGGTTATCTTAGGCTGCTAAATTTTGGGATGATTTTGTATGCGGCAATAGATGACTAGTACACCACAATATCAGACTTTGACTAAACATTACTGATTAAAAAAAAAAAAAAAAAAAAAGAACTGCAATGGAATGACATACAAATGCACTAGAATGGCTAAAGTTAAAAAGACTGACAACACTAAACATCAAAGATGATGGAGCAAGCAGGACTCTCGTATGTTGTTACAGTGGGAGTATAAAACAATATGAACACAATTGAAAAGGCCTAGCAGTTTCTGTAATACTCAACATACCTCTGCCTATGACCCCGGCTACATCTACCTGGGATCCAGAGAGTTCACTAATAGGTGTTTACCCAAGAAAAACAAAGCCACATCTCCATAAAAAGACTTTTACAGAAATGTCTGTAGTAGCTTTACTGATAGTAGCCAAAGCCAGAAACCACCCAGATACCCATCAAATAGTGATGGATAAAAAAAAAACTGTGGTATAGCCACACAATGAAACACTACTTAGCACACTTCATTCTTTCTTCAAAAGAAATGAACTGCTAATATACTCAACATAGATGAATTTCAGAAATGTGCTTGGTGGAAAAACCAGACACAAACCTTGCACACTGTACACTTTCATTTATACGAGGTTATGGAACAAGCAAAATCAATCTAGGAATGCAAAAAAAAAAATTGAGAACAATGGTTGCTGAGGGGTGGGCTGAGGTGGGGAGGGGTTTTGACCAAGAAAAGAAGTGAGGAAACTTTTTGAAAGCAAGGTAGTGTTTGATTTTTTTATTACAGTTTCAGACACAAGGTTTGTCTATTCGTCAAAACCTATTAATGGCATACCTAAGTCTTGTGCATTTCACTGAACATAGATTTTACCATAAAGAAGAACCAAAAACATATTGCACTCCAGTTAATAATAGCCAGGCAGAAACATTTAAGGTGAAACATAAGCTACATATCTGCAACTTAACTTGAAATATATAAAAAATTAGATGAATTGATGGATTCATGGAAGAATGGATAGATGGATAGGTACATATATGTGATAAAGAAAGTAGGGTAAAATGTTAATTGTAGAATCTAGGTGGTGGGTACATGGTGTTCACTGAGCAATTCTTTCATCTTTTGCATGTTTGAAAAATTTAATAGTATACTAGTGGGGAAAATATTTGAGAGTGGTGAGTTCTGTGTGTGCGTGGAACTATCTGTAACTTGGAGGAGCTAGAAAAATCCATTTGGACAATGTGTTCATGGACTCAGAAAATCAGAATATAATTTTTGTGAGGCAGGGTCTCACTGTGTTGTCCAGGCTGGATTGCAGTGGTGCAATCATAGCTCACTGCAGCCTTGACCTCCTGGGTTCAAATGATTCTCCTGCATCAGCCTCCTCAGTAGCCAGGACTACAGGTGTGAGCCACCATACGTGGTTAATTTTTGCATTTTTAGTAAAGACAGGGTCGTACTATATTGCCCAGGCTAGGCTCCAACTCCTCGCCTCAAGTGATTCTCCTGCCTTGGCCTCCCAAAGTGCTGGAATTACAGGCGTGATCCACTGCACCTGGCTTGTATTTGTTTTAAACCAATTTTGATCTCTATCTTGGAGGCAGATCCAGTTCATTAGAGATCATTCCTGTGGATGCCTCTTCAACTTCTACACTACATATTCATTTCTCACCTTAGACCCTTCAGATGATCCACTGCAGTGAATTCTTACAATGTTATGCTTTCTTGGTACCTATTTTGAATATATGTTGGACTTTCTCATACCAGAAGCAGGGCTTAGTCATCCTTGAAAGTTTCCACGTCTCCACCTCTTCCCAGGCCCTCAAAATGGTCGATCCAGAGATGTGCCTTATATAGCTGCCTCCTGGTGACCAAGTCCCTAAGGGACAGCTAGATGCAACCTACTTGACCCACCCTGCAGACCCTCACACCCGGCATGGACTGCCCAGATATGCTGCCATGACCACCTCTCCCTCACAACATGGCCTCCCGTAACTTGTGCCTACCTGATCTAAGCCAACGAATTACAACTTCTTGGGAACCTGCTGGGGTGATGGCCTGGACCCCATAAAGGCTTCAGCTCTCAGGGCCCACACTCCATCTCTCTTGCTCCCCACCTGCTGGCGAGCACAAGGGTCCTGACGGCTCCCCCAGTCCAGCGTGCTGCCCTCTTCTCTCTGGACCTGCGAGGAACTCACTGCTTCTGGTATTTCATGGGTTTTGTTGAGTGGCCTCCTCTGTGTCTCACTTGACCAACACACCTGATCCTAACTTCTTTCCAAATTCAGAACTCTCCTGAAGAGTGGCTATCTTGGTAGGCTAAATAAATAAATACACCAGACACAGACAAGAGACTCAAGGGTATCTAAGAGGGTAAACAAGTTTCTCATGAGAGACCTGGGCACAGGTCAGACACAGGGATTCTGCCATCCACCAGGATAAAGAAGTACCCCGTGAAGGCACATCATAAACATGCACAACCACCTCCCCTGGAGCCCCATCAGGGCAGGGCTGGAGTTCACAGCCACTCTACAGAGAGAGGGAGACCTCAAAAGCAAACTAAAAGGAGAAAAATGCAACCCCCTCTCTCTGCCATTGCTGACAAAAGCCAGTCTATGGCAGTTTCCACAAAGCACGCAAACCAGCCATGACCTCGCATCGGGTCTTCCTTGGCGTCTCCTCTTCCACGACGTTTCTCTACACACACTCTTCCCAGGGCACCTGGACCTACTCCCTGCCTTTACACAGCATATACGTCCCTGCCAGCACGCCACGGCGCATGCTCTGTGTTCTGCCCGGATGTTCTCCACCCGTCTCCACCCACCATGCCTCTGTCTGTCAAGGCCCTCCTTCACGGAGCTCCGTGCATGCTCATGGTCGGAGTTCCCTCCTCATCCCTCCAGGCCTCTCTTCCTACAGGCTTCTCCCGGCACAGTGCCCATTTGCCCTGTATACAGCAGGCAATGTTCCTGCAGGTCTGCACCAGGGCATGAGTGACGATGACAGCGATGGAGTCCTATTCCCCTGTGCTTCACAGAGCAGGGGCCGCCCCACACAGAAACCACCCAAGGCTTCCCCAGTGTCCTCGCCTCGGTTTGGGGCCCTTTTTTCCTGAAGGTTTCCATCGGGCTCTGAGTGAAACCTTTAACCAAAGGGAGTGTGAAGCAGGACAAAAGGACAGCAAGCTTTCCTCAAGGTTAGGACCCTGGGGATGCAGACAGGACTCTTCCCACCTTCTGGAACCTGCCTCTGGCACCCAACCATTCCCAGTCTTACTGGATGTGACAGGAAGAAAATCAGCTCTAACTTCAGTTCCACCTTTAACTCCAAAGACACCGTCAGCAAGTCCTAGGTCCTTAGTGGTTCTTGGTTTCTGCCTTCTAAAGCGAGGGGTTTGAGCCCCTCCAAGTCTGTGATCAGAGCTTTTAAACCCCAAGCAAAGCTCCCTTCATAGTCCTTCTTGGCAAGTTTTGACCCACTGCTAGTCCTTCCCTATCTAGAAAGACTCTCCTTTGTTTTGACCCCAAGTAGCCCCCATTTCCTCTTAGGAAAACCTGGTACTAAATACGGCACTACCTTGGCGCTCCTGGGACCTACAGGTCACCTTGCTCACTGCCCTCAATTTTACAGATGAGAAAACAGAGAGCAGAAGATCAAGAAATTTGTTGAAGACTGCACAGTAAATTAGTAAGGCCTAGGGCTAGCGGAGCAAATAATATTTCCTGCCTGAAAACACAAAGACCTCCCATCCAAACATCCTTCCCAGCAGCCAATGGAACCAGGCGGGGAGAGACCTGGGGGCAGAGAGCCCCGACACCGCCTTGCCGCTGCACTGAGGATGGCGCCTGGTGCTTCCAGGGAGAGTGTGTGAAGGCGCTAACTCCAACCTGGATGTTTCAGAAAGCAGACAGTGGGGCATGTACTACAACTCTCTTATTCAACATAAAAGAATGCAAATGATAAAATTCTAAGATGCCTAAGTGGGGTTTGAAAAAGTCGATGTAACTGGAGGTTAAATGTGACATGTGAAACCCACAAGCAAGTGAAGATCTGAAAACTGTCTTGTTAATTCACTTCAGGCTGCACAGTTTTTGCAGGGACAGCTGTGGCTACAAACGGGGGCCATGTGGGAAGGGCACTCTCCCTGCACTGTCACCTGCATGCCCAGGATTGACAAGGAGAGCCACTGCCCCCCACCTGCCGGCTGGTCTCCAGCAGCATGAAAACAGGGGGCGTGGCAGTTCCTGCCATAAAGAGGAAAATGATACACTTTATCCCAGATGCCAGGTGCTGTCTGCATCAGTCCTTTTAAAAATTTAATCGCTTTATACAATTGACACCAAATAAAATGCACATATTTAAAGTTTACAATTTGAGAAGCTGACACGTGTCCATACAGACACACCTCATTTTACTGTGCTTTACTGTATTGCCCTTTGAAGATACTGCATTTTCTTTTTACAAATTAAAGGTTTGTGGCAACCCTGTGCTGAGCAAGTTTATTGGCATCATTTTTCAAACAGCATGCACTCACTGTGCATCTCTGTGTCACATTTTGGGAATTCTCACAGTATTTCAAACTTTTCCATTAGGATTATATTTGTTATAGTGACCTGTGCTCAGTGATCTTTGATGTTACTGTTGTAATTACAACAGTTCTGGTTCTGGGGCACCACGAACCACACCCACACATACCGATGAACTTAATAAACGTTGTGTGTGTTCTGACTGCTCCACTGACCAGTGATTCTCCGGTCTCCCTCTCCTCAGGCCTCCGTATTCCTTGAGACACAACATATTAAAGTTAGGCTATTAACAACCCTAAAATGTCAAGTTGTTCAAATGGAAAAAAAAAAAAGAATAGAAAAGTTAGAAGCTAGCAGAGGTTGGTTCATGAGGTTTAAGGAAAAAAGCCATCTTCAATAACATAAAAGTTTTATGTTATAGCACTGGGGAAGTGGCAAGTGCTGATGGAGAAGCTGCAGCAAGATCTCTAGATCTTAGAAGATCTAGTTAACATCGCTGATTAAGGTGGCTACACTATACAACAGATGTTCAATGTAGACAACACAGCCCTCTATTGGAAGAAGATGTTATCTAGGCTAGATGAGAATAAGTCTCTGCCTGGCTTCAAAGCTTCTACAGACAGGGACAATTGTAGCTGGTGACTTTAAGTTGAAACAAATGCTCATTTATCATTCTGAAAGTTCTAGTGCCCTTAAGAATGACACTAAATCTACTCTTCCTGTGCTCTATAGGAACAAAGAAGCCTGGGCACAGCACATCTGTTGATACCTTGGTTTACTGAATATTTTAAGCTCATTGCTGAGACATGCTGCTCAGAAAGAAAGATTTCTTTCAAAATATTACTGCTCATTTGACAATGCACCTAGTTACCCAAGAGCTCTGATGAAGATGTTCAAGATCAATGTTTTCATGTCTGCTAATACAACATCCATTCTGTACTCCACGGATCAAGGAGTAATTTTGACTTGCAACTCTTATTACTTAAGAAATACATTTTATAAGGCTATAACTGCCATAGACAGTGATTCCTCTGATAGATCTGGGCAAAGTACATTGAAAACCTTCTGGAAAGGATTCACAACTCTAGAAGTCAATAAGAACATCTATGATTCATGGGAGGAGGTCAAATTATCGACATTAACAGGAGGTTGTAAGAAGTGGATTCCAACTCTCATGGATGACTTTGTGGGGTCCAAGACTTCAGTGGAAGAATTAACTGCAGATGTCGTGGAAGAGAACTGGAATTAGAAGTGGAGTCTGAAGATGTGACTAAATTGCTACAATCTCAAGTTGGGGAGTTGCTTCTTATGGATGAGCAAGGGAAGTGGTTTCTTGAGATGGAATCTGCTCCCGGTAAAGATGCTGTGAACATTGCTGAAATGACAAAAAGGATTTAGAAATTACAAAATGCATTTGATAAAGCAGCAGCAAGGTTTCAGAGGACTGACTTCAATTTTGAAAGAAGTTCCACTGTGGGTAAAATGCTATCAAATAGCATCACACATGCTACAGAGAAATCTTTCATGAGAGGAAGAGTCAATTAAATGCATCAAACTTCATGATTGTCTTATTTTAAAAAATTGTCACAGCCACCCCAACCTTCAGCAATCACCACCCTGATCAGTTAGCAGCCATAAACATTGAGGCAAGACCCTCCACCAGCAAAAAGATTATGACTCACTGAAGGCTCAGATGATTGTTAGCATTTTTGGCAATGAAGTATTTTTTCAAATCAAGTTATGTACTTTTTTAGATATAATGCTATTGAACACTTAGTAGACTACAGAATAGTATAAACATAACTTTTTTTTTTGAGACAGGGTCTTGCTCTGTCACCCAGACTGGAGTAGAGTGGCACTATTTCTACTCACTGCAACCTCTGTCTCCTCAACTCAAGCAATCCTCCCACCTCAGCCTCCCCAGTAGCTGGGACTACAGGCATGCACCACCAAACCAGGCTGATTTTTGTAGGGTTTTTTTTTTTTTCTCAATAGAGACGAGGTCTCACCATGCTGCCCAAGCTGGTCTGGAACTCCGGGCTCAAGCTATCCATCCTCCTTGGCTCTCAAAGTGTTGGGACTACAGGTGTGAGCCACTGTGCCTAGCCAACATAATTTCTATATGCACTAGAAAACCAAAAAATTCATGCGACTTGCTTTATTGCTATATTTATTGCAGTGGTCTGGAACTGAATCTGCAATACCTCTGAGGTCTGTTATCACCGCAAGATACCATACATATCTACCACTCTCAAAAGATTGCTCAGGCCAGGCGCGGTGGCTCACGCCTATAATCCCAGCGCTTTGGGAGGCTGAGGTGGGCGAATCATGAGGTCAGGAGATCAAGACCATCCCGGCTAACACAGTGAAACCCCATCTCTACTAAACTACAAAAAATTAGCCAGGCATGGTGGCGGACGCCTGTAGTCCCAGCTACTCAGGAGGCTGAGGCAGGAGAATGGCATGAACCCAGGAGGCAGAGCTTGCAGTGAGACGAGGTCGCACCACCGCACTCCAGCCTCCCTCTAAAAAAAAAAAAAAAAAAAAAAAAAAAAAAAAATTCCTCAGCTGCTTTGTAATCCCCACTGCTCACTGCTGCCCTCAGCCCTATCTGAGGCAATCACTGACCTGCATTCCATCGCTATAGATCACTATGCATTTCCTAGACTTTACATAAGTGGAATTGCACAACATGTAGTTTTTTTTTTGTCTCACTTCTTTCACTTCATGTAATTATTTTGAGAATCATCACTGTTGTTGCACGTTATCAATAATTCACTCCTTTGGATTGAGAGCCGAGTAGCATTCCAGTGTATGTATCTACCACCATTTGTTTACCTGTTTACCTGTGATGGGCATTTAGGTTGCTTCCAGTTTTTTAGCCCTCACTAAGAATGCTAAAAACATCTGTGTACAAGCTTTGCTATGGGCAAAGGCTTTCGGTTTTCTTAAGTAAATAAATAGGAGTAAAATTTGCTGGATTGTACACTAGGTACATGTCTAATTTTGAAGAACTTGCTGAATTGTTTTCTAAAGTGGCTGCACCACTTTCCATTCAAAACCAGCAGCGTACAAATTTACCAGTTTTTCCACATCCTTGCTGAGATTTGGTATGCTCAGTATTGTTGGTTTTAGTCATTCTCATAGGTGTGTAGTGCTATCTCATTCTGGCTTTAAGTTATATTTCCCTAAGGATTAATGATGTTGAGCGTCTTTTCACCTGCTTATTTGCTATCCATGTATCTTCTTTGGTGAAGTCTGTTCAAAGCTTTTGCTTATTTTTAATTGGATAGTTTTTACAAAAATAATTGAGTCATGAGAGCTCTTTACATATTTTAGAAACAAGTACTTTACCACATATATGATTTGCAGTACTTTCTTCCAACTTGTAGTTTATCTGTTCATTCTCTTAGCACTATCCTCAAAAAGCAGTTTAAGTTTTAAATGAAGTCCAATTTATTAATTTTTTCTTTTATGGATTGTTCATGGGGTATTGTCTCTAGAAAATCTTTTCCTAAGACAAGGTTAAAAAGATTTTCTCATGAATTAATGGCATTTGAGCGACCTGGATGAGACTGGAGACTATTATTCTAAGTGAAGTAACTCAGGAATGGAAAACCAAACATCGTATGTTCTGACTTATAAGTGGCAGCTAAGCTATGAGGATGCAAAGGCAGAAGAATGACACAATGGACTTTGAGGACTCAGGGATAAAAGACTACAAATAGGGTTCAGTGTATACTGCTTGGGTGATGGGTGCACCAAAATCTCACAAATCCCCACTAAAGAACTTACTCATGTAACCAAACACCACCTGTATGCCAATAATCTAAGGAAATAAAAAAAATAATAAAAATAAAATAAAAAGATTTTCTCCTGTGTTTTTTTCTAGAAGACTTTTTTAGCTTTAGGTTTTATATTTAGGGATACCATCCATTTTAAGGTAATTTTTGCATATGAGTGAGATGTAAACCAAAGTTCACTTCTTTTGCATATATAAATCCAATTATCCCACAATTTGTTGAAAAGATGATTTTTTTGCACTGAATTACTTTTGTATCCTTATTGAAGATCAGTTGTCCACATATGTAAACTGTTTCTTAACTTTCCAATTTGTTTCATTGATCTAATTCTCTACATTAAAAAAACTACTTTACTGTATATATTAAGGTATATGATATGATGTTCTGATACACTTATACATAGTGAAATGGTTATTATAGTCAAGCACATTAGCTTATTCATCATTTCACGGTTACCCCTTTGTGCATATGTGTGTGTATGTCTGTGAGTAGTAAGAGCAAATTTTCTAGTACACTATGCAATATTATTAATGATAGTCTTCATGTTGAACATTTGATCAATATCACAGTTTTGATTACTGTACTCTTATGAGTTTTAATATCAGGTATTGTCAGACTTCTGATATAGTTTGGCTCTATGTCCCCACCCAAATCTCACTTTGAATTGAAATCCCCATAATCTCCACGTGTCAAGGGCAGGACTGAGTGGAGGTCATTGGATCATGGGGGCAGTTTCCCCCATGCTGTTCTTGTGAATAATGAGTGAGTCTCACAAGATCTGAAGGTTTTATAAGTGTCTGGCATCTCCCCTGCTTGCACTCACTCCGTCCTGCTGCCCTGTGAAGAAGGTGCCTGCTTCTCCTTTGTCTTCCACCATGACTGTAAGTTTCCTGAGGCCTCCCCAGTAATGTGGAACTGTGAGTCAACTAAGCCTCTTTCCTTTATAAATTACCCAGTCTTGGGTATCTCTTCATAGCAATGTGAGAACTAATACGCCTTCTAACTTTATTCCAATTTTTCAAAGTTTGTTTTGTTTATTCTCTATCCTTGGATTTATGTATGGATTTTAAAGTCAACTTGTTAATTTCTACATAAAAAGCTGGTTTGGATTGTTATTGAGATCGTACTGAATTTAAAGCGATCTGGGGAGAACCAACATCTTAATAATATTGAGTCTTTTGACCCTGTATATGGTACACTTAACCCTTTATTTAGGTTTTTCATCTCTTTAAGCAATCTTTTGAAGTTTCAATTGTAAATTTATTCACATTTTATATTTTTGGATGCTACTGAATAAAGTATTTTTAAAATTTATTTTTAAAAATAATGCAATTATTCATTGCAATTGTAAAAATGCAACTGACCTCTCTATATTGATTTTCTATCTTACAACACTGCTAACTTCACTTACTAGTTCCAAAAAATGCTTTTAAATTCCATTAGATATTCTACATATGTCATCATGTCACCTGTGAATAAAGATAGTTTGCTTCTTCTTTTCCAATCTGGATGCTTTTTAATTATAATTTATTGTTTGACTGCACTGGCTAGAATGTCCAGGAAAATGTTGGATAGAAGTGGTGAAAGAGGGCATCCTTATTTCCCTCTTGATCTTTGGGGAAAAGCTTTCTTTCATCACTAGGTGTCAGGTTAGCTGTAGGCTTTTTTGTAAATACTTTATATAAGATTGAGGAGGTTTTCTTCTATTCCTAGTTTTCTGAGTGTTTTCTAAAAATCAAGAACGAATGTGGATTTTACCAAAGGCTCTTTCTGCATTTACTGAGATGATTGTATACCTTCTGTTTCTCAGTATATTAATATGGAAAATTATGTTGATTGGTTTTTGAATGTTAAACTAGTTTTGCATTCTTGGGATAAAACCCACTTGGTCATGATGTAGTATCCTTTTTATATAATGCCAAATTCGATTTGCTAAAATTTTTTTCAGTATTTTCACACTTTTCTTCATGAGGAATATTTGTCTGTAGTCTTTCTTGGTTTTGTATTAGGGTAATGCTGGCGCAAAGAATGAATGAGTTGAGAAGTACAAACCCTTTTCAATTTCCTGGAAGAGCTGGTAAAATTTTTCCTTTATATGTGTGGTAGAATTTACCAATGAAGCTATAGATGCTTGCAGTTATCTTTGTGAGAAAGTTTTAAACTACAACTTAGATTTCATTAATAAACATAGAGCTATTCAAATCATTTATTTTTTTTCTTGTATAGGCTTTGGTATTTTGTACCTTTCAAATAATTTGTGAATTTCATTTAACTTGCTGCATTTATTGGCATAGAATTGTTTATAATATTCCTTTATAATCCTTTTAATATCTTGAGAATCTGTACTGAGGTCATCTCTTTCATTCTTGATATTGTTAATTTGTATCTTCTTTTTCCTCTGATTATGTGGCTATGGGTTTATCAATTTTATTGATCTCAAAGACCCCACTTTTGGTTTCACTGACTTTCTCTACTATTTTTCCATTTACTATTTCATTGTTTTTTGTTCTGGTCTTTATTATTTCATTTCTTCTGTCTGGGTTTAATTTATTTTTCCATTTACTATTTCATTGTTTTTTGTTCTGGTCTTTATTATTTCATTTCTTCTGTCTGGGTTTAATTTGCTTTTTTTTTTCTAGTTTTCAAGATAAAAATTAAGGTAACTGATTTGAGGCCCTGCTTCTTTTCTAATAGAGGTGTTTAACTTATACATTTTCTTAGAGGTACTGTTTCCTTGAATCATTTTTTCCTATTGTTCATGCCTCTCCTTCAAGGATTCCAATTACACTTATTTTAGGCTGCTTACATTTTTCCACAGCTCACAGATGATTTAATTTTTAATTATTTTTTCTTTTTTAGAGATGAGGGTCTCATTATGTAGCCCAGGCTAGCCTCAAACTCCTGGGCTCAAGCAATAATTCTGCTTCAACCTCCTAAGTAGCTGGGATTACGGATATGCACCACTGCACCTGGCTTTCACTGATGCCTTTAATATTTCTTTACTTCTATTTTTTTCTGTGTTCCATTTTGGATATTTTCCATTGCTATGTCTTCATGTTCACTAACCTTTCTCTTTTTTTGTATTAAGCAATGTGCTGTTAATTCCATTGAGTTACTTTTTCATCTCAGATGTAGTCTTCATCTCTGGAAGTTCAGCTCAAGCTTTAAAAAGTATGTTCCATATCTTTACTTAAACATCTGAACAGCATCTCAATATGTACCTTATTCTATTCTATAGAGTACAGTTATTAATAACTTTTAGTGCCCTTGTCTGATAATTTTAACATCTCTAGCAGTTCTGGTTTGACTTTGATTGAACAGTTTCTCCTCATTATGGGTCCTATGTTCCTGCTACTTTGCATTCCTGATAACTTCTGATTGGGTGCCAGACAGCAAGACTTTTACATTATTTGGTGCTGGACAAGTTTATATTTCTATAAATGTTATTGAGCTTTGTTGTAGAATGAAGTTACATTTCTTGGAAACACTCTTGAGAGAGGAGGTAAAAAGAGACCAGCTAGGCAGATAGTTAGGGCAGAGAGTCCTCGGCAGAACTTCCCTTCTACCAAAAAGCAGCCCAGGAAATCACTCCTCTTCTAACAGAAAGCAGCCTGGAAGACCTGGCTGCAAACAGATAAGGAAGCTGGAGTTTGCATCGGGGGATGCTTGCAGCTGCACAGACAGAAAGGGGTACCTGAGGCCAGGTGTGTCCACCATGGAGGCTCCACCTCCCCCTTTGAAGCACATACACAGTAGGAAAGCAACGTGGAGTAGCTCAGGCAAAAGACCTGCCTGTATAATAAAAGGGTGGGGTGGGGGATGCCAGAGATTCATGCTCTACGCAGATGGCACACCTGGGGTTTTTCACACCCTATGTAGGTAAGATAACACCTCACCTCCCCACTAGCTAGCTTATAAAAACCCTTGAATTTCACTGCTGAATGGCAACGCTTTTAATCCCTCTCTGCTGCAGAGAGCTGTTATCTTTCTTTTGCCTAATAAACTTCTGCTTCTGCTCTAACCTCACCCTTGGTGTGGCCGTGTCCTTGACTTCCTTGGCTGTGAGATCAAGAACTTTGGATCAGGCAATGAGGCCATTTCACTGTGATCCTTGTGGATCTTGCTTCTTGCTTTTAAGGTTCATTAGGTATGATCAGAGTGATTTATTTACTTTTATTTTTTTAGAGTCAGGGTCTTAGTGTTGCCTAGGCTGGAGTCAGCAGTGCGATCATAGCTCACCATAACCTCGAACTCTTGGGCTCAAGTGATCTCCTCAACTCAGCCTCCTGAGTAGCCAGGACCACAGGCATATGCCACGATGCCCAGCTAATTTTTAGAAGATTTTTGTAGAGACAGAGGTCTTGCTATGTTGTTCAGGCTGGTCTTGAACTCTTGTCCTCAAGCCATCCTCCTGGCTTGGCCTCCGAAAGTGTTGGGATTACAGGTATGAGCTACTGTGTCTAGCCCTAGAAAAGTTTTTATTACAGGGCTAATTATTCCCAATTACTGAGGCAAGATCCTTCTAGGTATTATATTCAGTGCTTGTCCGGCCTGGCTGGTGAGCACAGGCACTTTCCATGGCTCTGTATCAGCCCCAGGCACTGTTTCCTCTAATCCTCTCAGGTGGTTCTCTCCCCAGCTGCACACAGCTTCCTCACACACAGGCACTGATCGGCACTTGGCTGAGTGGCACAGGCAAACCCTCTGTGAATCGCTGCAGTTCTCTCTGTGTAGCTGTCTCCGCTCTCAGGCTCTGACCTGAGGACTCCAGCCTCCTGGACTCCTGGGACTCTAAGCTCTGTCTCCTTCCACTGTGGAGTCAGGCAAGCTTCCTCTGGGTTCCTCCTCCCTGTACCACGGATTAGAAACTTTCTCAAGGCAGTGAGCTGGGCAATTATAGGACTAACCTTGTTTGTTTCCAATCTCTTGGGGACTACTGTCCTTCACTATCTAACGTTCAGTGTCTTGTTTATCATATTTATCTTTTTCTTTTTCAGGCAGGAGGGCACACCCACATTCTGATACTTCATCTTGGCTGGAAGTGGAGGTTTCCTGGTGCTGTCTGTTTTAAAACTTTTTATTATGGAAACATTCGTACATCACTTATAATAAACCTGTTTGCATCTACTATTCAGGTTTAATCAAAATCAACTCATGGATAATATTGTTTCATCTCCTCTCCCACCCATTCGCCTGTCCCCAGAAAACCCCTGCATGATATTACTTCATCCATCCACGTCAGTATGTATCTTATTTTTCTTAGCACTATCATAATAAAAATATCATATCTAAAAGTAGTTATTCTTTAATATCATCAAATATCCAGTAAATGTTAAGTGCTCACATTTCCCAGATTGTCTTATAATTTTTCTTTTTTAGTTTGTTGGAATCAGTATTCAAATAATGTGCATACATTATCACTATCTGACAGATCTCTTAAGCCTCTTTTAATCTACAGCACAGGTTGGCAAACTACTGCCCATAGGCAGGCTGGCTGGCTGCCTGTTTTATAAATAAAAGTTTTGTTAGAACACAGCTGCCTATAGATTGCTTTAGGCAGGAAGGACCTTGAAGGCAGGGCCTACTCTTCTTTCTTCCTGGCTCTCCCACACGCAGCCCAGAGGCCCTCAATGCCTGCTTGGAGATTGGAAACATGAAGGTTTGGCTTAAGTGGGAGTTCTTAATATGTAGCAGCCTCCTCTTTCCTGCCTAGTCAAAGAAAATAGTTTAAATTGATTTCAGTTTGCACAGCTAATTTTTTATTTTAAAAAGTGTTTAACGACATGACTCTGAATCTGAGGGCTTCTGGTTGTTTTTTGCTCCTTCCCTCTTCAGCTTGGTTCAGTTACGCCCACATTACTGAGTGCCCACTCAGGACAGCTCATCCACAGGGCTGGGGCTCTCAGCCATGTGAAAGGGAATGGCATGGAATTCCTGGACCTCAGGGAGCCCTGGAGTGGTGGGCACATAAGTGAAGCAAAGTGAAAGGACACAAAGTGGTGGGGGGCACGGGGGAATGGGGAGGCTTTATCCATGCACAGACACCAAGAAAGACGCTGGGATGAATACGGCTGGCTTTCCAGAGAGGAAGTGTCTTTCTTTCTCTCTTTCTCTCTCTCCCTTTCTTTCCTTCTTTTCCTTTTTTTTTTTTTTTTTTTTTTTTTGAGACAGAGTCCCACTCTGTTGCGGAGGCTGGAGTACAATGGCGCGATCTCGGCTCACTGCAACCTATGCCTCCTGGGTTCAAGCAATTCTCCTGCCTCAGCCTCTTGAGTAGCTGGAATTACAGGTATGCACCACCACACCCGGCTAATTTTTGTATTTTTAGTAGAGACAGGGTTTCACCATGTTGGTCAGGCTGGTCTCGAACTCCTGACCTCGTGATCTGCCTGCCTTGGCCTCCCGAAGTGCTGGGATTACAGGCATGAGCCACCAAGCCTGGCCAAAGTGTTTAATTTCAAGCAGCCACAATGGCACAGACTCTTGAATAAAACCAACAAAATAGGCCAGTGATGATACCTGGGGGTTACAAGCTTCCCCAATAGGAAGGAAATGAAGGAAATAAGATCTACTTAATTGATCAGCGTGACACAAGGAAACTCACTGCAAATGGTCTTAATGGGTCTGTTTAAGAGTATTTAAATACACTCATCTCTCTAAAGGAAGAATGTGTCTTCCTGAATGAGGCCAGGCGAGAGGGAGTATCTTAGAATTCTGATCTGGAGATGTTTATTTTTATTTTTTTTGCCATTTTTCCCCCAAATATGTCTGGTCTAACGGCAGAGCTCTCCCTAGTGGGAACAGGACACTTGGAAGGGCAGCCAGCGGTTTCCTTTCAGTATTTCTAGACCCACTGATGGTCCCAGCCCCGGCCAAGGGCCATCACACCTTGTGGTCGAGTGTTAACTCCTGCTTAGGATTCATGGTCCCTAGACCACCTTTTTGTTCCCATTCAAGGGTGTGGGATTTGCCCATGGCAGTCCTCTAATTGCACACACTTGAAAACGCCAGAGCCGTGAACTCTGCTAAATCAATGGCATGTGCTCAAGACTGGGCAAATCCAGCTTGATAAGCATGTGATGAATTATAAAATAAGGCACAACCAAATACAAGCTGCAGCAGAAGTCCACAAAGTTCCACAGGAGGGCAAGGAATTATCAGTGAATCCTTACCTCGTCATAGAAACTTCTTCCTCCAGACATCCACGTGGCTTGCTTTCTCACCTCAAATCTTTGCTCAGATCCCATTTTTTTTAAGTGAAGCCTTCCCTGACAACCCTAATTTAAAACTGTACACACTCATACCTGCTTCCTTCTCCCCGACTTAGTTATCTCCACAGCACTAATGGCTAACACACTATATAACTTATTTCCATCTGTCTCCATGTGGGCAATTTCTGTCTGGCTGCTCATCACTGCACCTCAGCAGCTATTAATAGATCACTCTACTGAGGGACTCATACGTGCTGGGTGTTGGGCAAACAGTGAACAAAACCTTGTATGGTCCTTGCTGTCGGGGAGTTCATGATCCATCGTGGAGGGAGAGCTGAATTTCAACAGGCAGGCAGTGTGTGCAGGGGGAGGAGCAGCAGGAGCAATGGGTAGAGGCAGAAGCACAGAGGTGGGTGTCAAGTCAGGGAAAGGGATGGTGAAGAGATGCCTCAGGTAATGAGGGGAGGGACGGAATACGACTAGATGCTGAAGGGCTGGAGTACCAGTTGGAGAAGTTTATTTTGCAGGTAATGGGGATGGAGTATGAAAAATTGGAGGAAATGGAGTTACCTGACTAGAATTTGTTTTGGAGAACCACTTCAGGGACATGCAAGGGGCTGATATGAAGATGAGATGGAGCAGAGACCCCTCTTAGGGGCTTGCCGGGCACCTGCCCCCAAGCATGGAAATAAAAGGAAATCTTAAGTTCCTTCAAAGGCATTTCCAGGTACCTAGCCAGCACAGGGAAGTAAATGAGCAACTGAAGCAAGAAGGGAAGAATAACTTAAAACAATAGCCAGGGAAGTTTAAGTCACAGAATAGACCAAAGTTCCCATAGAGACTAAAGATAACATTTTAACAGAAGTCCTTAAGTTGATTTCCAGAAACCAAGACACCAACAAATGAAAAGTGCTATCTGCTGGCATGCAGACCTCAGACAGGGGAAACTGAGGACTGAGTTTGGACCACCACTCTTTGTTCTAAATTTCCTACTGAGGGGCCTGGAGGAAGTCATGCCCAGAGACCAGAGCTAACATTCTTTTCTGCTGATCACAAATTTGCAGACAAAGCTTCGTCTCCTTAACCCATTGTAAATCAGAAAATCTTCAAATCTACCTATGACCTATGCCCTCCGCCCCACATCTGGTTCAAGATGTCCTGTCTTTTTAGGTCAAACCAATGTACAGCCTCCGTGTATTGATTTATATCTTTGCCTGTAACTTCTGCCCCCTGCCTTTATTTTATTATTATTATGTTTTCAAGATGGAGTCTCGCTCTGTCGCCAGGCTGGAGTGTAATGGTGCGGTCTCAGCTCACTACAACCTCCGCCTCCTGGGTTTAAGCGATTCTCCTGCCTCAGCCTTCTGAGTAGCTGGGATTACAGGTGTATGCCACCACACCCAGCTAATTTTTGTGTCTGTAGGAGAGACAGGGTTTCACCATGTTAGCCAGGCTGGTCTCGAACTCCTGACCTCAGGTGATCCACCAGCCTAGGTCTCCCAAAGTGCTAGGATTACAGGCATGAGCCACCACGCCCAGCCTCTTCCTGCCTGTAAAAACGCTTACCTATATGGCACTGGGGGATTCAGGGCTTAAACATGAGCTGCCCAATTCTCCTGGCTTCCAGCCCTGCAATAAATGTCTCACTTTCTCTTACTGCAACCTTGATGTCAGTTTTTGGCTTTGCTGCGCCAGAGAGCCAGACCCAAGTTTGATCTGGTAACACAGGAAGCAGGTGAACAGGCAAGGCCACCCTCTTCTGTTTGGAGGCAGGTCAGTGTTCACTTGCCTCAGTTTACCAAGGTTGTGATCAGCCTCTGCTCCTCCTTTCTCTTACTGGCCTCCCTCTGCTGTACTGTGATTCCCATCATTGCAGTGTTTAACTTTTTATTTTGAAATAAATAAAAATACAAGAAGTTACAAATGAGGACCACGTACCTTCCACTCAGCTTCTGCCACCATGAGGATTTATGTCTGTTTAGACATCTCCCCTCTAAATTCCTACATTACTGACATCCTCCCAATACAGATCTTTCTGAGGACTTACAACAAAAATATTTCATTCTTTGAAACACTGGCTTTAGAGAAATCTTCACCCAAATAACTTTGACACCTTAAATAATCCATCATACACAATGGAACCACAGTCCTCTTACCTGTGAAAGCCAAGGGCAGGACCCAGCAGCGGGTGAGGTGAGTGAGCACTCACCACTGCCACCCTCTGTCCCACTGGGTGCAGTCGGGACCCCTGGACAGCGTGCAGGCAGCAGCGACCGGGCTCAGGAAGGTGGATCACAGTTGGAGGTGCCGATGCAGAAAGGAGACCACAGTTGGAAGTGCCACAGAGCTGGAGGTGAGCGAGACACTTCCCTTCCTCCAGTCTCCCCAGTGTGGAGTCAATGCAGCTCCTAACCCAGAGTGGGCACTAATTCCAGGAAAAGCCCAGCAACTCGGGTACAGAAGCAGGAAAGGGGTCTCTACCGTTCTAAGAAAGTCTGGAAATCTCTAATTTATCCTTTTTTTTTTTCTTTTTCTTCTAAAATTTTTTCTTCTCTGTGCCCCAGACCTCAAGAAATTTTGTGGCCCTAGTGAGAAATGGCAGATAATTAAAGTCATCAGGCCAGGCAAACTTCCTTTCCAACCAGAGAGTCTGAGGTCCCCAGAGGGTGGGGAAACCTTCATGCTTTTTCTCTCTGGCTTCTCGCTGCTTAGCTCTGACGTGGTTCAGTCAAGTGCACCAGAGAGTAGGGTAAATCAAGCCTCAACCACCCAAGCTGGCTGGAGGGCTGAAAAGGTAGAGCCCAGGGACCCAGACACTACTGGGCAGGTTACAATGAGGAAGGGCTTCGGGAGAGCAACCCCTGAAAGTTGCTCATGAACTCTTGGGCTTACCCTTGAGCTCTACATGTATGGATCCGACCCTACACGGACCACACAGACTTTGAGTGCTGAAATGTGGGATAGATTACCACCAGAGTCCCAGGCTGGCCACTAGGTGGCGCTTGTGCGAGACAGATCCACATCTCACAGACTCACAGCAACCACAATCCACACAAGTCTTGCAGGAACTTGGAATTTGTGGTCTGAACCCATTTGGGGTGATTATCTTCTAAAATAAAGTTAATAATGTTCACTGTAAGATTTTAACAATAACCAGAATCTCAAAACATAGTATTTAAAATGTCTAGGATACAATTCAGCATACTGAAACCATACTCAGCATACAAAAAGCCAACAGCTACTCTGAGATGAAACAGATACTGGAATTATTTGACAAAGATTTTCAAGCAGTTGTTAAAAATATTGTACAAGTAAAGGAGGGTACTCTTAAAACATATAGAAAATTTTGCAAAGAAATGGAAGATATGAAGAAGAACTAAGTGGAAATATTAGAAATGAAAAAATCAACTACAAAAATAGAAAACACACTGGCTGGGCTCACTACTGGGATGAAGATGATGGAGGAAGTAGTCAGTCAGTTCATAAATAAATTAATAGAAATGACTGAATCTGAGTAACAGACAAAGTTTGAAAACCTTGAACAGAACCATAGAGACCTTAGGTAATAACAAAAGGGCCGAGCTTCCTATCATCTGAGTCCCAGAAGGAAAGAAAAAAAGGGCAGAACATAGAAACATGGAAAGAAATAGCTGAAAGTCTGGTTTACCACTAGAAGGCAATCAGTTTAATCTAGTATAGCAACAGTTTAAAGCAAAAAACCCACTTGATCTTCATTTTAAAAATTCAGTATCTATTTATTATAAAACTCTCAGCAAACTTGGAATAGAAAGAAATTTTCTTCACCTGATAAAGACCATCTACTAAAACCTATAGCCAACATTCTACTTAATGGTGAAATACTGCTTGTTCTCAGAGATTAAGAACAACACAAGGATCTTCTTTCTTAACACCGCTATTTAACCTTTTGAATAGTCTTCGTCAGTGAAATAAGACAAGAAAACCAGAAAGGCCTAGAGACTGGAAAGGAAGAAATAAAACTGTCCTTACTCACAGATAACATGATCACCTATGTATAAAATCCCAAGGAACACACACACACACACACACACACACCCCTCCTAGAACAAACTGAGTTTAGCTTTAGCAAGATTGCAGGATGCAAGATCAACACACAAAAATCAGTTATATTTCTGTACATTGCCAATGAACAAGTAGAAACTGAAATAAAAAATACCACATACAATAGCTTACAACCCCGACCCCCAATACACATATAACAAAAGATGTATAGGATCTACATGCCAAAAACCATAAAATGTTGACGAAAGAACTTAATGGAGGCCCAAGCAAATGGAAATTATGGCACTCCTTCATGGACTGAAAGACATAACATAGGATTGAGTTGTAGATTTACTAAAATTGTAGACAAAATCTCAGCAAAACAGTTTAGAGTAGATAGAGGTAAGCAGATCCTAAAGTTCACATAGAAAGGCAAAAAAAAAAAAAAGAATAGCTGAAACACTCTTGAAAAAGAAGAATAAATTTAGAAAAATCACACTATCTGATTTTAAGACTCATTACAAAGCTATAGAAATCAATATGGCACAGTTTTGATAAAAGAACAGACATAATGATCAATGGAACAGAACCACTGTCCAGAAATATATTCCTTACAAATACCCTCAGTTGGCTTTTTGTCAAATTGCAATGGCAATTCAATTTCAATGAAAGAAGGAGGATATTTTCAATAAGTGATGTTGAAACAATTGGATATCCGTATGCATAAAACTGAATCTGGACCTAAATCTCACATATTATACAAAAATCATCTCAAATGGATCGTAGATCTAAATGTAAAACATGACAGTATAAAACTTTTAAAAGACCAACTACAAGAAAATCTTCATGACCTGGAGTTATGCAAAATTTCTCAGACATGTCACTCAAAGCATGATCCATACCAGAAAAAAGTCGTTGGAACGCATCAGAATTTAAAACTGTGCTCTGTAAAAGGCCCTGTTAAGAGACTGAAAAGTCAAGCACAGATTGGGAGAAGATATTCACAAATCCCATATCTGAACAAAAGATTTATACTCAGAATATGTAAAGAACTCTTAAATCTCAAGTAAACAATTCAATTTAGACATAGGCAAAAAGCCTGAACAGACATTTCACGAAAGAGAATAAAAAGATGGAAAATAAACAGCATGAAAATTTTCAACGTCATTAATTATTAGGGAAATGAAAATTAAAACCATGAAGAAATACCATCACACAGCTATCAAATGGTTAAAATGAAAAAACAAAAAAGGAAGAAATACCAAGTGTTGACAAGGATGTGGGGCAGCTGGAGCTCTCAGACACTGCTGGTAGGAATGCAAAATGGTGCAGCACTCTGGAAAACAGGTTGGCAGTTTCTTACAAAGTTAACATGTATTTAGCTTAGAAAAATTAAAACTAGGCCAGGCAGGGTGGCTTACACCTATAATCCCAGCACTTTGGGAGGCTGAGGTGGGCAGATCACAAGGTCAGGAGTTCAAGACCAGCTTGGCCAAATATGGTGAAATCCCGTCTCTACTAAAAATACAAAAATTAGCTGGGCATGGTGGTGCGCGGCTGTAATCCCAGCTACTCAGGAGGCTAAGGCAGGAAAATTGATTGAACTGGGACCCAGGAGGTGGAGGTTGCAATGAGCCGAGATAGCGCCACTGCACTCCAGCCTGGGCTAGAGTGAGACTCTCTCACCAAAAAAAAAAAAAAAAAAAAAAAAAAGAAGAAAAAGAAAAATTAAAACTATATTCACAAAATCCCGTTCTTAAATGTTTCCAGAAGCTCTAGTCTAACTGCCAAAAACGGAAAACAACTGAAATGCCCCTGGACAGATGAGTGGAGAAATTCTGGTGTACCTGCAGAATGGAATACTACTCAGCAACAAAAAGGAACCGGCTACTGACACATGACTTGATGAGTCTCAAAATGATCTCCCTGCATGAAAAGGAGCCAGTTTCAGAAGATTAGGCTCTGTAGGACATTTATCTGACATTCTTGCAAAGAGACAAAACTAGTGATAGAAAACAGAGCACTGACTGCCAGTGGTTGGGGTAGGGGAGGGTCTGATTATAAAAGACATCAGGACAGAGAATCTGGAGGGGATGAAGTGCTTCTGTGTCCTGAATGTGGTAGTAATAACACAAATCCATACATGTGTTAAAGTTCATAGAACTAGACACAAAAAACTCAATTTTTCTGTATCTTAATGTGAAAAATATAAGTAAAAAAATAAAGAAAAGAGATGACAACTCTTGCTTCCTATTTAAGGCTGTCTAGACATTAATACTGATGTTAGTACTAATTACAATAATGGCCACCACAAGCATGGTCTTCTATACTTTTTTGAGCATCTGCTACATGCTGCTTCTTTACCACACATTTTATATCACAACTTCTAATATTCACAGTCACCTTGTAAGGTGGGTTAAGCTCAACATAGAAGAAATCTCAGGGTAAGGGAAGTAAAATAATTTGTCCTATATCTCATAGTTGATAAGTGGCTGAATCTGAACTCAAACTCGGATTTCACTGCCGACCTTATTCCAAGCCTGCTTCTCCACTCTGCTGCCCACTTAATGAAAATAATGGAAACTGACAGGGAGACATTATATAATATAAATAGCAGGAAGGGAGAATCATATTTTGATTTCCATAGATTGCAAAAACTCTCAGCATATTTTATTCTAAACTTGGAGTTGGTTTGAAATTCTAATAGGTTGGGGAAAATTTAAAAACTATGCTTTTGCCATTGCCATTTTTTGATAATCCTCCAGTAGGTGGTTCTTAATTTTCAATATGATTGAATAGTTCTCTCCACTTCTGCAAATGTACAATAATTCTTATTTTCCCTAAGTGACTTAAAGAATCATTGTGACTTACAATTCTTGACCAAGTATTTACTAACTCCACAAATTGCAGTTTATACATTTGAAGCAAAGAGTAAACATTACAAAGTTCTCTCCTCTCACACAGCTGACTGTCCTGAGAAGTTGTAACTGGTCCCTCCCACCTTTACATACCACTGCCACCATCAGAAAAAAAAAAGAAAGGTAAAGCCATTTTAGAGACATAGAAACTAAACTTTCATTTTAGTTCACTATGGTTATGGCTGAATACATATCTGAAAACATCATACATACGGAGGATGCACATTTCTCACGCAGCAAATGGTATCTACATGAAAAGCTGGAGGATGAAGGCTGTCTTCTTGCTTGTGAATTATTCCCAGTGACTTTCCTGGATAGTAGGTGCTTTTTCCACCAAAAACCCTGGCCTAGAGTATTTTCGTCTCTACTAACACAGAGATATGAAACTAAGGCCTCCCATAAAAGTATTTTCTTGAATGTTTTATAATTTCTGCTCCATTGAATATATTTTCTTAAATATAATAATTAGTGATAAAATTTTGACTCGACATCAGTAAGATGTAACACAAAGCAGAGCCCACTTAGTGCTTCACGCTATTTTACTGTCAAGAGTTGGGGGATCTATTTCATAACCCAAATAAAAATAAGAAAAACAAAAATAATTTTATCACCAACACTTTCACTTTTGAGAGTCCAAATACTGTCCAAGTACCACTGTCGTCAGTTATTGGAAATCTTATTTGGAAGGTGGTTATGCCCAGAATGGTGGTGTGGGGGACAAGGAGGTGGGCTTACCTTCCAGCAGGTCTCTGGCCAGACCAGGTTCTGCCCCCGTGGACCGAACAAAGTCTGACAGGACTGCGTCCATATCAAGAGTCATAGGATCATGTAGAAGTGCTGCCCAACACTCAGCCGAGGTGGGGTTTGGAAGCACACTAGAAACCATCCATCTGCAGGAAAGAAGAGAAAGGGCATTTTACCACGTGATGGAAATGGAGCTGCAAGTGACAACTACATGCAGAGACCTGAGCGAGAGAACCCTCGAGGGTGGAGCCATTTCCACCTGCTGTCATATTTTTTAGAATTGGTTTGGTCCAACTGCCTGATTCTTCATGCAAGACATTATATTATAGAATGCTAACTAAAATTTCATCCCTGTGTACATGCCATGTGAGAGAAGGGGTATTATGAGCCAAATGTTTGTGTTCCCTCCCAAAATTCATATGTTGATATCTAATCTCCAAGGTGACGGAGAAAGACAGTGCCATCTATGAAGCAGGAAATGGGCCCTCACTAGACACCAAATCTGCTGGTTCCCTGACCTTAGACTTCCCAGCCTTTAGTACTGTGTGGAATACATTTCTGTTGTTCATAAGCCTCCCAAGCTATTGTATTTTGACATAGCAGCCCAGATAGACTAAGGCAAGGGGTCATCACTATCTCCAGTGCTCCTGAAGTTACATTTTATTAATTCCAGTAACTGATGAGGAAAAAAGACTATTTTAAAATTTCAAACACCTAAGTATACCTAGAAAAATTCAACTGGAGTTGCTAGATTTCTAATCCTCTTCCGAATTGTATAGACTTGTAATACTTCCACAATGTGATGAATGTTACCCACTCTATTCCAATTATGCCTTTATCAGTGTGCCATCCTACCCCCTCAGCTCTCACCCCTTACTTGGCTATTAGGAAAGACTAATAGCCAAGGTTAATCCACAGTTGACGGAAATACCATACTTGCTGAAGATGGCTACTGAACTATCTACCATCCCTCTAAGAGCTGCCATCAATCCAACAACATTCTTAAGAATGTCAGATTTCCCAGGCAGCATGATCCCAGCCAGAGAAATACAACGGATATGCAGCAGGTTGACCCAGGCTGACTGTAGCAGCTGATTGCTGGGGAAAAGCAACTGTGACATTACAAGTGAGAGTAACTTACACTAGTGAATGGTGCTGGGGCCCCAGTGGGTGCTCAATCTTTGCCGGTGGAGTGCAAATGCATCCTTGTGTTTGTGTAGATAAGAGGTCTGCAAGTTATAGACTATGGGCCACATGTGGTCTGCCACCCATTTTTGTAAATGAAGTTTTATGGGAACACAGCCATACCCACTCATTTGCATAGCATCTGTGGCTGCTTTTGCACCTGGCTGAGTTGAGTAGTTAAAACAGAGATCCTTAAGGCCCACAAAACTGAAAAGATGTACTTCCTGGAACTTTATGGAAAAAGCTTGCAGACCCCATTACAGGCAATGGAAAATTTTATGCTAGGAAGTATGTAATTAATTTTACATATTGTGGGATGAGTTTGAATCCCATGCTATTGATGACTGTCCTCTGTTCTTTCTTTCACAGTAACTCACTGGGATGGGTGCTGCTTGGTGGAGTAGGTCCTGTGTCAGTGGCCCATGCTTTAGAGCCAGGCACATAGCCTGATTTGACCCTGGCCCTGCCCCTGTCCAGCTGTGACATGGGCTTCACCTCTCTGAGCCCTCCTGATTTTCTGTAGGAATGCAGGAAATGAGCTCACCTAACGTGCAAGACCCTGAGGACTGAGGGTCTCAGGCAGGGAGGTCTGTACCCTCAGAGACATTCACTGTGACCACCCCATCTTGCACACAGCTCCTATTGGGTATAATTTTTAGTTGATGCGGCTAGAAAATAAGAAATTATTTGACCTGATGTATATGGTACCAATTAGGAAATTGATTTCTTCCTTCTCTCCATGCACTGGGGCCTCGGCCGGGAGAGTCTCTTCTTTCGTCACTGCCACCTGGGGGACAGATCAGAGAACAAGAGCATGTGATCTCCTTACCCTCAGACTGAGGCCGAAGGCTTGGCTTTTTGTCACAGGAGGCTGGATCTTGGCCTTGGCCAATTGCCTGAGGCATGTACTCTGTCTTCCTGGGCCCTACAGGTCCCCACTTGCCAGCTGACCACCATGTCCCATGCCCAGGCCTGGCCATCTCAGCTTTCCTCATTTTAGCAAGCACATCTATTTCAGTGAGGATCACTTGCACAGCACAGAGCTGTTTTTTTTCTTTTTTTTTTTTTTTGAGATAGAGTCTTGCTGTGTTGCCCAGGCTGGAGTGCAGTGGCGTGATCTCGGCTCACTGGAAGCTCCGCCTCCCAGGTTCATGCCATTCTCCCTGCCTCAGCCTCCCAAGTAGCTGAGACTACAGGCGCCCGCCACCATGCCCAGCTAACATTTTTTTGTGTATTTTTAGTAGAGACAGGGTTTCACCATGTTAGCCAGGATGGTCTCGATCTCCTGACCTCGTGATCCACTCACCTCAGCCTCCCAGAGTGCTGGGATTGCAGGCGTGAGCCACCACACCTGGCCTTCTAGATGTATTTCTTAAACCTCACACTGCCACCATCACCACACCCTCACATTCATGTCCCATGATGATATGGGAGAGGCTGGGCTGGTAGGGACACTTGACCCCAGCCACCTGGGCCATCCTCACCCACTGCCCCGTGCCATCCTCCCAAGCATGCACTGTGCCTCTCGACCTGCCTTGTGTGGTCTAAAGCACTCACTCAGCCGCTTTGAACAGCATGAGGCTCTGGGTGGCCGTGCCCTGGCCCTGCATTCCTGCTCTCCTCCGTGCAAACTAGCCCTTGGACAGAACATCTCTGAAGGTCTCATCAGCCACCCCGGGGAGAGTAATGTGTCCCAACAATGCATGGTGACTTTGCCTTAGGAGGGGCAGTGCCATGTGGGGACAGAGGGTTGGCCCTGGAATCAGTCCCTTGGGGCCAAAATGGTTCCACCACTTTGTGTGACCTTGGGCATGTTATATCACCTCTCTGTGCCTCAGTTTCCTCATCAATACAATTATAATTGTATCTAACAGTTATTATGAAATTTTAAGGAATTCTGCACAAAATGTACTGGCCCATAGTACATGCTCAATATACATTAATTATGAGCCAGTGAATGAACTCTCAACAGGGACCCTGAGACCACCCTTGCCTTCCCAGGGCTCCACTGAGCAAGAAAACTGCTGCCACCAGCTTGCTGAAGGCAGATATAAGGGGCCTACCTCTAGTGCCTTGGCTTGGAATCACAGAGGGTTAAACTGGTGGGGGCTCCTGCCTTCAATTCCGTCTTCTCTCCCGTATCCGAGGTTGCAGTGTTCATTGATTACTTAAGCAACCTTCATGGAGCTGCTAATCTGTTCAGGACATGACTGCAGGGACTCTGTGGGAACTATGAGCCCCCTGAGCTTTCCCAGGATCTCCCCAGTAAGCAGAAAGGGACAGACACACACATACAGGTCTCAGAGACCAACTGCTGGATTTGGAAGACACTTAGTGGAGGAAGTGGTCCAACCAGAGAGAGTAAAATTGGAAGACAGAGGTGTAGCAGGATAAAGACCAAACTACCTCAGGATCCATTTTTCATTAACTTCTGTTTTGGCCAGGTGCAGTGGATTACACCTGTAATCCCAGCACTTCGGGAGGCCAAGGCTGGTAGATCACCTGAGGTCTGGAGTTCGAGGGCAGCCTGGCCAAAACGGGGAAACCCCGTCTCTACTAATAATACAAAAAAAAAAGAAGAAGAAGAAGAGCCAGGTGTGGTGGCAGACACCTGTAATCCCAGCTACTTGGGAGGCTGAGGCAGGAGAATTGCTTGAACCCGAGAGGTGGAGGTTACAGTGAGCCAAGATCACGCCATTGCACTCCAGCCTGGGCAACAAGAGCGAAATTCCATCTCCAATGAATGAATGAATAAATAAATAAATAAATAAATAAATTAAATAAACTTCTGTTTCAATGAAGCTCAAATAAAACATTCCTGCATTATATTTGTCTGTAGATGTTACAACTCGACACTGGAAGGCAATAAAACGGGTGGATGGAGAATGAGACTGGGAGATGATGGCAGAGGCTTGTGGTCTGATCCCTGGGGACAGGTACAGGAAGACTATGGGTGAATGAGTGCCTGGAGGTTACTCTTCACTCTCAGGGCAGTGAAGAGGGTAGTGAATGCTTTTAACATCTCTTTCAACAGAGGGCCAGCTGCCTGAGAGCTGGGATCCACTTCATCCTCCTTTCTATCCTCCTGCCCACAGTGCCTGGCACACAGCAGGGCCAACTCTAAGGTGAGGCGAGGAGGCACCTGCCACTGCTGCAGAATCTAAGGGGGTGCAAAAACACTCAGGAATCGACATAAACAACATTTTAGTGCTATATCTGCAAAAATAAAAATTAGCGCAAAAATATCTTTGAGGAACAAAATATCAGCCTTTTAAATGAAGGCAAGGTTGGCATGACCATTTTTCCTTTGCCCCTGGCTCTGCAGGGCTGCCAGGCCCTGGCATGAGCTCAAAGCTGCTGCCTGGGAGGCAGGTGGTTTGGAGGCAGCCAAGTGAACACCCATCACAGCCAGAGAGCCTGACCTCAGAGAGGGCCAGCGAGGGGAGGGCCACGGGCAGGGGAACACAAGTGAGTGGGGAGTGGGAGCTCACCCTCATCAGGTCTGTTTGATGATAAAGCACACTGAACACAGGGATAAGGGAACAGAGGGGTGGATGAACAGATCTGGGGTCGAGCACAGGCTTGGGAGCTGATGGCCTGGCTGGGTGCAAAGCCCCTGCAACCCTGGAAAGGCCACTTCACTTCTTGAAGCCTTGGTTGTCACATCTGAGCAATGAGGGTGAGAACAACCCTGCCTCTTAGAATTGCAGTAAGGATACAGTGAGATGACACTGAAAGAACATGCACTATTACTATTATTACCATTGACATAGATTAAAACAATAGGCAAATGTACTGTTCTGGTATTGAGAATCCACCCTTGACTACCCATACATTTATACATCCCTGTTAAGGGGGTGAATGGTTAAATATGAAAAAAGGTCAGGCATGCGTTCATCTTGTCCGGCCTGGCGAGGAAGCCCACCCTGGTGAGAAGATCAGATGCCTGGGTTCCCGTGGTGAAATGAATTGGATGTCTCAACTCACAGGTCAACATTCCAAGAGACTGTGTGGTCCATCCCTTGCCAGACGCCCTTGTGACCTTGGGCAAGCGTGGTGCACTAGGGGACAAAGGCTTCTGTGGATGCCACATTAGGGAAACACATCTTCCAGAGCGTCTTCATGGTTCAGATGAAAATTAAGAAAGCCCGGTGTCTTTCAGTGCGGGGGCATGAGTTCTGGGAAGGTTGGCTCTGCCAAACATTCAAATGCGTAGAGCACATTCTCATTTCCAAAGCTTGGCCACGTATATTACTTACATAACCTCCACAACACCAGCTAAAGATGAGTCTAAGAGTAATTTGGACTGTGATGAAGCAATTTCTCCAGGAAATTCAGTGTAAAAAGCCCTGGGTGAGGAGAGGAAAGGTGCTTCTTAGGAATAAGAAGAGAAGTTTGGCCAGACAGCGACAGATAGGGCTGTGTGAAAATCAAACAAAAGTGGCTATAGGAATGTCTGTGGGGCACACTGAAGTTCTTCACATTGTTGCAGGATCATTTCACTCTTTAGTTTTCCCCTTGTTGAAGCTGATACGCTCAAACACATTGTCTTGTAGGAACTGAGGAAGGCTCCAGCAGCAACAGTGGGCAGTGCCGGGACCCACCACTTGTACCTGAGGCTCGGAGAAGGCACACGTGTGGGCTTTGAGCCCATTTCACTTGTCCAGCAGGTGCCGCGGGCTGGACACCCAATGGGCTTAATGGGAGGGAGACATGCCTTCTGTTCAGGGGCCATGACTGGGTCTTATGCCAGCTCTCAGAGCATCTGGTGCCTTTAAGATAAAATATGTGCATAGATGCATGATTGGAAGCAAAACATTTCCTTAGTTGACACTCACTCATTGTACTTTTTCATAATTTTCTCCTAGTATGGAAAGATGGAAGAAAAGTCTCTCCTAAAATGTGTAACTTTGGGAATAGCAGTAAGTGTAGGATCTACTGGGGTTTTGTCTTATATGCATTGAAATTATATACTCATCAATGACATATCAAATTCTTTAACGGTTCTTAATACAAGTTAAACAGTAGTTTAACTGACAGGAGAAAGTGGGGCACTAGAAATTGTAAATGGCACCTCAACATTCCAGTCTCTCTACTCTTGAGCTTAGATTTTTAGGCTAACAAGGAGAACACAGAATTACCTGATGGTACATATTTTAAAAGTATTTTTCCAATAAAAATTTAAATATGTATAAAAGTAGACAGAAAAGGATATTAAAGCCAATGTACCCATCCCTCAGGCATGACAATCATCAACTCTTAGCCAACCATGCTTCTTCTCTATCTCCAACCCTTCCCCTGCTCACATAATTTTGAAGGAAATTCCAGATAACACGTTATTTCATCCACAACTACTTCCATCTCTCTCTAAGAGACTCTTTACAACAAACCACAGTACCATAATCCCACCCAAAAATTAACAATAATTCTTCAGTGCAATATCCAGTATGCAAATTTCCAATGATATCAAATGTTGTAAGTTCACATATTTAGTTTTTCAGTTTGTTTGAATTAGAATTCAAGTAAGATCTCTTATTGTACTTGGTTGATATGTCTTTTTTAATCTACAGATTTTGCCTCCATCTTTTTTCCTCTGTTGAAAAATCTTATATATATATTTTTCTCTAGAGTTTTCTATCATCTGGCTTTTACTGATTGCTCGTATGGTGCCATGTCACATGCTCCTCTGTCCTCTCTATTTCATGTAAATCAGCACTGGGATATAAGACTCGATCAGATTCAGATTCAATTTGGGGCACATTTTGGTGCTGTCTTCTTCCATCAGTTGGCACTGAGTATCTGTCTCTGCCTGTGATGGTAGCAGCCACTGATGTTCATTGCCTAGACCCAGCAATTCAAGAGGGGTTGCATATACTGGCAGCATAATTCATTCATTCATTCTTTATTTATTAGCTGGAATTCTTAAAGGGAAACTTCTACTAATCTACTATTTGGTCACCCAGTGGTAGACATCTAATAGAAAAGGCAAGATAGATGCTTATTTATGACCTTTTAATTCATCATTTTACTTGGACGAGTTGGTTCACTAGCTTCCTTCCATGGGATCAATTTGTTACTTCTTTTTTTTGAAGTATTTTGCATTCATCAATTTAAACATATTTTATGCATTTCAATCTATCCAATATAGAGCAGTTGTTGTCTTTATTGATGCTTAAGTCCTGAATCAAGTTCCCTTGACACTAGTGTAGCTGATAGAGTCTTTTCTACATATTTTGTGTGACAAAATGTTTCAGGTCCCTTTTCTACATTTACTGTTCCGGATCTAGAATTCAACATTTCTCCAAAGAACTATGACTCTTTTTTATTGAGAATGGTTTTTCAAGACCACAATCTGGATGCTTGGTGTACCCATAACTAGTGGTTTAGTCATCGTTTACAGGACTTCTTGGAGAGTTAAGAAATATGTTTGTTTTAAAAATAAATTTTGAGTTCATTCTAATATTTCTAATTCAAATTGAAGACTTAGGAGTTTTTACTTAACCTAATCTCTTTTACAGATGAACCTCCTTCCCGCACCAAATCCTAGTTCCTAATAAAATCAGGAATGATAGCATATTACACAGTTACTCTTTCAATTTATACTGCTCAAATCAAAGCTATTGATTTCTGTGTGCTAAAATTATATCTTGCTATTTTACTAAGTTCTTACAATTTATAGCAAATTTGCATAGTTTTTTTAGTTTTCCAGATACACAACATATCAAATGCAAATATAGTTTGTGTTAACTCTTTTTTTTTGAGATGGAGTATCTCTCTATTGCCAAATCCTGTCTGATTTCCTTGATTAATGCATTCAATATAATATTACATATTATGAGAGGTTATGGGCATCTTTGCTTTGCTCCTAACTTTAGTGGGAATAACTTTGGTGTTTCCACACTGAAAAAGATGCTGGGTGTTGGGTCTTGGGCTAAACACACACATACACACACACACACAAATTTTTTTAAATTTAATTTAAAGTTCCAGGATACATGTGCAGGATGTGCAGGTTTGTTACATAGGTAAATGTGTGCCATGGTGGTTTGTTGCACCTATCAGCCCATCACCTGGGTATTAAGCCCTAAATGCATTATTTATCCTGATGCTCACCATCCCCCACATCCCCCCGACAGGCCGCAGGGTGTGTTGTTCCCCTCCCTGTGTCCATGTGTTCTCATTGTTTGCTCTCACTTATAAGTGAGAACATGTGGTGTTTCGTTTTCTGTTCCTGTGTTAGTTTGCTGAGGATAATGGCTTTCAGTTCCAACCATGTCCCTGCAAAGGACATGATCTGTTTCCTTTTTATGGCTGCATAGTATTCCATGGTGTATATGCACCACATTTTCTTTAAAAAAATTTTATTTTTCCATAAGTTATTGGGGTACAGGTGGTGTTTGGTTACATGAGTAAGTTCTTTAGTTGCGATTTGTGAGATTTTGGTGCACCCATCACCTGAGCAGTATACACAGAATGCTATTTGTAGTCTTTTATCCTTTGCTCCCCTCCCATCCTTCCCCCCAAGTCCCCAAAGTCCATTGTATCATTCTTATGCCTTTGCGTCCTCATAGCTTAGCTCCCACATATCAGTGAGAACATAGGATGTTTGGTTTTCCATTCCTGAGTTACTTCACTTAGAATAATAGTCTCCAGTCTCATCCAGGTCACTGCAAATGATGTTAATTCATTTCTTTTTATGGCAGACTAGTATTCCATTGTATAAATATACTATAGTTTGCTTATGCACTCATTGATTGATGGCATTTGGGTTGGTTCCATGATTTTGCAATTGTGAATTGTGCTGCTACAAACATGCATGTGCAAGTATCTTTTTCGTATAACGATTTCTTTTCCTCTGGGTAGATACCAAATAGTGGGATTGCTGGATCAAATGGTAGCTCTACTTTTAGTTCTTTAAGGAGTCTCCACACTGTTTTCCATAGTGGCTGCACTAGTTTACATTCCCACCAGCAGTGTGGAAGTGCTCCCTGTTCACCACATCCATGCCAACATCTACTGTTTGTTGATTTTTTTTTTTATTATGGCCATTCTTGCAGGAGTAAGGTGGTATCACATTGTGGTTTTGATTTCCATTTCCCTGATCATTAGAGATGTTGAGCATTTTTTCATAGGTTTGTTGGACATTTCTATATCTTCTTTTGAGAATTTTCTATTCATATCCTTAGCCCAATTTTGATGGGATTTTTTTTCTTACTGATTTGAGTTTGTTGTAGATTCTGGATATTAGTCCTTTGTCAGATGTATAGATTGTGAAGATTTTCTCCCACTCTGTGGGTTGTCTGTTTACTCTGCTGGCTGTTCCTTTTACCATGCAAAAGCTCTTTAGTTTAATTGAGTACCAGCTATTTATCTTTGTTTTTATTGCATTTGCTTTTGGGTTCTTGCTCATGAAATCATTGCCTAAGCCAATGTCTACAAGGCGTTTTCCAATGTTATCTTCTAGAACTTTTATAGTTTCAGGTCTTAGATATAAGTCATTAATCCCTCTTGAGTTGATTTTTGTATAAGGTGAGAGATGAGGATCCTGTTTCATTCTCCTACATGTGGCTAGCCAATTATCCCAGCATCGTTTGTTCAAAAGGGTGTCTTTTCCCTACTTTATGTTTTTGTTTGCTTTGTCAAAGATCAGTTGGCTGTAAGTATTTGGGTGTATTTCTGGGTTCTCTATTGTTTTCCATTGCTCTATGTGCCTATTTTTATACCACTACCACGCTGTTCTGGTGACTACGGCCTTATAGTATAGTTTGAAATCAGGTAGTGTGATGCCTCCAAATTTGTTCTTTTTGCTTAGTCTTACTTTGGCTATGCAGGCTCTTTTTTTGGTTCCATATGAATTTTAGAATTGCTGTTTCTAATTCTGTGAAGAATGATGGTGGTATTTTGATGGGGATTGCACTGAATTTGTAGACTGCTTTTGGCAGTATGGTCATTTTCTCAATATTGATTCTACCCATCCATGAACATGGGATGTGTTTCCAATTGTTTGTGTCATCTATGATTTCTTTCACCAGTGTTCTATAGTTTTCCTTGTAGAGGTCTTTCGTCTCCTTGATTAGGTATATTCCTAAGTATTTGATTTTATTTTTGCAGCTGTTATAAAAAAGGTTGAGTTATTGATTTGATTCTCCGCTTTGTCTTTCCTGGTGTATAGAAGAGCTACCAATTTGTGTACATTAATCTTGTATCCAGAAACTTTGCTGAATTCTTTCATCAGTTCTAGGAGCTTTCTGGAGGAGTCTTTAGGGTTTTCAAGGTAAACAATCATATTATCAGCAAACAGTGACAGTCTGACTTCCTCTTCACCGATGTGGATGCCCTTTATTTCTCTTGTCTGATTGCTCTGGCTAGGACTTCCAGTACTATGTTGAAGAGGAGTGGTGAGAGTGGGCATCCTTGTCTTGTTCCAGTTCTCAGAGGGAAGCTTTCAACTTTTCCTATTCAGTATTATGTTGGCTATGGGTTTGTCACAGATGGCTTTTATTACATTGAGATATGTCCCTTGTATGTCGATTTTCTGTTTGTGTGGTATATTGCGTTTATTGACTTGCGTATGTGAAATCATCCTTTCATCCCTGGTATGAAACCCACTTGATCATGGTGGATTATTTTTTTGATATGTTGTTGGATTCTGTTAGCCAGTATTTTGTTAAGGATTTTAGCATCTATGTTCAGCAAGGATATCAGTCTGTAGTTTTCTTTTTTGGTTATGTCCTTTCCTGGTTTTGCTATTAAGGTGAGGCTGGCTTCATAGAATGAATTAGGGAGGCTTTCTTCTTTCTCTGTCTTGTGGAATAGAGTCGAATTCTGCTGTGAATCCATCTGGTCCTGGACTTCTTTTGTTGGTAATTTTTAAATTAAGATTTCAATCACACTGCTTGTTATTGGTCTGTTCAGGGTATCTAATTCTTCCTGATTTAAGCTAGGAGGATTGTATTTTTCCAGGAATTTATCCATGTCTTCCAGGTTTTCTAGTTTATGTGTGTAAAGGTGTTCATAGTAGCCTTGAATAATCCTTTGTATTTCTGTGGTGTCACATCTTTTGTATTTCTGTGGTGTAATATCTCCCGTTTGTTTCTTAATGAGGTTATTTAGATTTTCTCTCTTCTTTTCTTAGTTAATCTTGCTAGTTGTCTATCAGTTTTATTTATTTTTTCAAAAAACCAGCTTTTGTTTCATTTATCTTTTGTATTTTTTTTTGTTTCAATTTCGTCTAGTTCTGCTCTGATCTTGGTTATTTCCTTTCTTCTGCTGGGTTTGGGTTTGGTTTGTTCTTGTTTCTATAGCTCCTTGAGGTGTGACTTTAGAATGTCAGTTTCTGCCCTTTCAGTCTTTTTGATAGGTGTTTAGGGCTATGAACTTTCCTACTAGTATCCCCTTTGCTGTATCCCAGAGGTTTGACAGGTTGTGTCATTATTGTCGTTGAGTTTGAATAATTTTTAAATTTCCATCGTGATTACATTTTTGACCCAATGATCATTCAGGAACAGGTTATTTAATTTCCACGTATTTGCATGGTTTTGAAGGTTGCTTTTGGAATTGATTTCCAGTTTGATTCCACTGTGGTCTGAGAGAGTACTTGATATATTTTAATTTTCTTAGATTTACTGAGGCTCGTTTTGTGGCCTATCATATGGTCTATCTTGGAGAAACTTCCATGTGCTGTTGAATAGAATGTGTATTCCGTGATTGTTGGATGAAATGTTCTGTACATATCTGTTAAGTCCATTTGTTCCAAGGTATAGTTTAAATCCATTGTTTCTTTGACTTTCTATCTTGATGACCTGTCTAGTACTGTCAGTGTAGTACTGAAGTCCCCCACTATTATTGTGTTGCTGTCTATCTCATTTCTTAGGTCTATTAGTAATTGTTGTATAAACTTGGGAGCTCCAGTGTTAGGTGCATGTATGTTTAGGATTGTGATATTTTCCTGTTGGACAAGGCCTTTTAACATTATATAATGGTCCCGCTGTGTCTCTTTTAACTGCTGTTGCTTTAAAGATTGTTTTGTCTGATATAAGAATAGCTACTGCTGCTTGCTTTTGGTGTCCATTTGCATGAAATGCCTTTTTCCACCCTTTTACTTTAAGTTTATGTGAGTCCTTATGTATTAGGTGAGTCTACTGAAGGCAGCAGGTAGTTCACTGGTGAGTTCTTATTTATTTTGCAGTTCTGTATATTTTAAGTGGAGCATTTAGGCCATTTACATTCAATGTTATTATTCAGATGTCAGGTACCATTGCATTCATTGTGCTATTTGTTGCCTGTGTACCTTGGTTTTTTCATTTTTTGTTTTTGCTTTTTAACTTGTATTTTTGTTTTATAGGTCCTGTGTGATTTATGCTTTACAAAGTTTTGTTTTGATATGTTTCTAGGATTTGTTTCAAGATTTAGAGCTCCTTTTAGCAGTTCTTCTAGTGGTGGCTTGGTAGTGGTCAATTCTCTCTGTATTTTCTGAAAGGCTGTATATATCTATCATATATGATAGGAATTTGCTGCATACAAAATTCTTAGCTGAAAATGGTTTCGTTTGAGGATACTGAAGATAGGGCCCCAGTCCTTTCTAGCTTGTAGGGTTTCTGCTGAGAAATCTGCTGTTAGTCTGATAGGTTTTCCTTTATAGGTTACCTGGTGCTTCTGTCTCACAGCTCTTAAGATTCTTTCCTTCATCTGAACTTTAGATAATCTGATGACAATGTGCCTAAGTGATGATCTTTTTGAGATGAATTTCCCAGGTGTTCTTTGTGCTTCTTGTATTTGAATGTCTAGGTCTCTGGGAAGGCCAGGGAAGTTTTCCTCCATTATTCCCCCCAAATATATTTTTCCAAGCTTTTAGAAATCTCTTATTCCTCAGGAACACTGATTATTCTTAGGTTTGGTTGTTGAACATAGTCCCAGCCTTCTTGGAGGCTTTGTTCATATTTTCTTATTATTTTTTCTTTGTCTTTGTTGGATTGGGTTAATTCAAAGACCTTGTCTTTGAGCTCTGAATTTCTTTCTTATACTTGTTCAATTCTATTGCTGAGACTTTCCAAAGCATTTTGCATTTCTATAAGTGTGTCCAGTGTTTCCTGCAGTTTTGATAGTTTTTTCTTTAAGCTATCTATTTCCTTGAATATTTCTCCCTTCACTTCTTGTATTGTTTTTTGGATTTCCTCACATTAGGCTTTGCCTTTCTCTGGTGCCTCTCCCTGATTAGCTTAATAACTAACCTCCTGAATTATTTTTCAGGTAAATCAGGGATTTCTTCTTGGTTTGGATCCATTGCTGGTGAACTAGTGTGATTTTTTGGGGGGTGTTAAAGAGCCTTGTTTGGTCATCTTAGCAGGGTTGGTTTTCTGGTTTCTTCTCATTTGGGTAAGCTCTGTCAGAGGGAAGGTCTACGGCTGAAGGCTGTTGTTCAGATTCTTTTGTCTCATGGCGTGTTCCCTTGATGTAATACTCTCCTGGTTTTCCTATAATTGTGGCTTCCTGCCAGCCGAACTGCAGCAATTGCTGTCTCTCTTCTGGGTCTAGCCACCCAGCAAGTCTACCTGGCTCCAGACTGGTACTGGGTATCGTCTGTACAGAGTCCTGTGATGTAAACCATCTATGGGTGTCTTAGCTGTGGACACCAGCACCTGTTCTCCTGGAGCTGGTGGTGGGGTCAAATGGACTCTGCAAGGATTCTTAGCTTTGGTGGTTTAATATCCTATTTTTGTGCTGGTTGGTCACCTGCCAGGAGATGGCACTTTCCAGGGAGCATCAGCTGTGGTAGCATGGAGAAGAACCAGTGGTGGGTGGGGCCCTAGAACTCCCAAGATTACATGCCATTTGTATTCAGCTACCAGGGTGGATAGGGAAGGCCCATCAGGTGGGGGCAGGGTTGGGTATGTCTTAGTTCAGACTGTCCTTGGGTGCGTCTTGCTGAGGCTGCTGTGGGGGATGGGGGGTGAGGTTCCCAGGTCAATGGAGTTGTGTACCTACGAGGATTATGGTTGCCTCTGCTGAGTCATGCAGGCTGTCAGGGAAGTGAGGGAAAGCCGGCAGTCGCAGGCCTCACCCAGCTCCCATGCAGTCCGAAGGGCCGGTCTCCTCCCACTGTGCCTCCCGTAACAGCCCCAAGTCTGTTTCCAGGCAGTGGGTGAGCAGAGCTGAGAACTTCCCCCAGGTTACCTGCTTCCCAGCTGGAAAGAAAGGGGCTTGGTTCTACCCCCGCCTGTGGAGAGTCTGCAGGACAGATTCGCACCCTCCCCTGAGTTCTGGCAAAGAGGCTTCTCACCCAGTTCAAATTGTTACAAAGTTCAGCTGGAGACTTCCTTCTCTCTGTGGTGTTTTTCCCTACTCCTCTGGCTTCCCTCCCAAAGGATCCCTGTGGTGCCAGGCAGGAATGGCCTGCTTGGGGACCCAGGGAGCTCCCAGGGCCTTTCCCACTGCTTCCTCTACCCCTGTATTTCACTCAGTTCTCTAAACTGACTCAGCTCCAGTTAAGGTCGGAAACTTCTCCTGCAAAAAGACTTTCAATTTCTCCATTGGGGGTGTGTGTTCGGGAGAGCAGGATCTCCCTTTTCCACTTCCGCAGGTGGGCACTCACAGTATTTGAGGTGTTTCCTGGGTCCTGCAGGAGCAGTCTGCTTCCTTCAGAGGGTCTGTGGGTCCTCTCAGGATTGCTGGTTTGTTCTTGCAGTCGATCTGGAGCTAAAAATTCACGATGCAAGCCTCGGAATGCTGCTGTGTCCATCTGAGTCAGAGCCATGAAGATCCCATATTTTCTTTATCCAGTCTATCACTGATGGGCATTTGGGTTGATTCCATGTCTTTGCTATTGTGAATACTGCTGAAATGAACACACACATGCATGTATCTTTATAACAGAATGATTTGTATTCCTTTGGGTATATAAAGTAATGGGATTTCCAAGTCAAATGGTATTTCTGGTTCTACGTCTTTGAGGAATCACCACACTGTTTTCCACAATGGTTGAACTAATTTACATTCCCACTAACAGTGTAAATGCATTCCTATTTCTCCACAGCCTTGCCAGCATCTGTTGTTTCTTGACTTTTTAATAATTGTCATTCTGACTATAGCATGAGATGGTATCTCATTGCAGTTTTGCTTTGCATTTCTGTAATGACCAGTGATGTTCAGCTCTATTTCGTATGTTTGTTAGCCACCTAAATGTCTTCTTTTGAGGAGTGTCTGTTCATATCCTTTGCCCACTTTTTAATGGGTTTGTTTCTTTCTTGTAAATTTGTTCCTTGTAGATTCTGGATATTAGACCTTTGTCAGATGGATAGATTATAAAAATCTTCTCCCGGCCGGGCGCGGTGGCTCACGCCTGTAATCTCAGCACTTTGGGAGGCTGAGGCGGGTGGATCACAAGGTCAGGAGATCAAGACCATCCTGGCTAACAAGGTGAAACCCCGTCTCTACTAAAAATACAAAAAAAAAATTAGCCGGGTGTGGTGGCGGGCGCCTGTAGTCCCAGCTACTTGGGAGGCTGAGACAGGAGAATGGCATGAACCCGGGAGGCGGAGCTTGCAGTGAGCTGAGATCGTGCCACTGCACTCCAGCCTGGGGGACAGAGCGAGACTCTGTCTCAAAAAAAAAAAAAAAAAAAAAAAAAACAACTCCCATTCTGTAGGTTGTCTGTTCACTCTGATAATACCTTCTTTTGCTGTGCAGAAGCTCTTTAGTTTAATTAGATCCCAATCTTTGCTTTTATTGCAATTGCTTTTGATGTTTTTGTCATGAAATCTTTGCCCATGCCTATGTCCTAAATGGCATTGCCTAGATTTTCTTCTAGGGTTTTTATAGTTTTGGTTTTACATTTAAATCTTTAAGCCATCGAGTTAATTTTTGTATAAGGTGTAAGGAAGGGATCCAGTTTCAATTTTCTGCATATGGCTAGCCAGTTTTCCCAGCAACATTTATTAAATAGGGAATCCTTTCCTCATTGCTTGTTTTTGTCAAAAATCAGATGGTTGCAGATGTGTGGTCTTATTTCCAAGATCTCTATTCTGTTCCATTGGTCTATGTGTCTGTTTTTTGTAGCAGTACCATGCTGTTTTGGTTTCTGTAGTCTTGTAGTATAGTTTGAAGTTGGGTAGTGACACACACACATTTAAAAAGTATCCATGAACCTCTTCTACTGAGTGGTTTTATTATGGATAGATGTTGACTTTCATACTATTTTTTTCATAAAATCTACTACTATGATGAATTATATTAATGTGCTTCCTAATACTGAACCTAACTCATGTTTCTGGAATAAATCTCCTGTAATCATTCATTGATGTTTCTTTTTATGTGCTTTTTGATTTGGTTTTGCTAATTTTTATTTAAAACTCTTTTTTAAATGATTCCCATAATACTTGTTTATTTTTTTCTAACTTTTACTTTAGGTTCGGGGGACACGCACAGGTTTGTTATATAGGTAAAGTGCATGTCATGGGGGTTTGGTGTACAGATTATTTTGCCACCCAGGTAGTAAGGATAGGACCTGTTAGGTAGTATTTTTATCCTCATCCTCTTCCCACCCTCCATCCTCAAGTAGGTCCCAGTGTCTGTTGTTCCTTTCTTTGAGTCCATGTGTACTTAATGCTTAGCTCCTGCTTTTAAGTAAGAACATATGGCATTTGGATTTCTGTAAAATTCTTAAATTAATATTAATAAACTAGATTGAGCTATGGTTTTTACTTTTATGTGTAATCTTTGTCAGGCTTTATAGTTAATATTATATACATAAAACAAAATGGAAAGTTTCACTTTATTTTCAATGCTCTGGATTAACCTAAGTAGCACCAGGGCCATTTGATATCTGAAGGTTGGTAGATTTGACCCACGAATCAATCTTCCTGGTCCTTCTTTTTCAGGGAGCTCTTTTACACCTTCCTCTAATTTTTTCCTGTGGAAATTGCTCTGCCCAGTCTTTCTATCTCTATATGGTTTAATTTTGTTAGGTCATATTTTCCTAGAGATTTATCCATCTTAACTTGGTTTTCAAATTTATTTGAATGCAGTTAAAAAGATTCTTCCCATGGGCCTAAATCCCCTATATATCTCACTAAGGAAAATAAATGTTACTTGCTGAGTGCCCACAATTACATTGATCGTGCTTACTGCTTTAAGGGTGAGTTAACTCTCCTACAGGCAACAATTCCACAGGGACAGTGGTTTAGTTCCATTTTACTAAAGCCCAGAGTGCCCAGTGGCAGAGTAAGGATTCCCACATAGACTCACTTTGATCCAAAAGTCACCATTATTCCATCACACAATACTATCCCTTTACAATGGAACGGGGTGTCTTCAAAAGGTGTCAGGTCAAAACATCTGGTGCCTTTGAAATATATTATGTGCACAGATGCATGATTGGAAGCAAAACATTTCCTTTGTTGACACTCACTCAGTTGTACCTTCTCATAGTTTTCTCCCAGTATGGAAAGATGGAAGAAAAGTCTCTTCTAAAATTTACATATTTGGGAATAGCAGTAAGTGTAGGACCTACTGAAGCCTTCTCCTGTGTGCACTGAAATGATATACTCATCAATGGCATATAGAATTTTTCCAGGGTTCCTCCTATGACAGCAAGTGTACAGCTGTCATTACAGTCATGGGCTTATGATCCCAAAAAGGTTACAGACTGTTCATAAAAACTACAGATGCTCAATTTATGATGGGGTTATACACCAATAAACTTATCTTAAGTTGAAAATACATTAAGTTGAAATGAATTTAATATTCCAATAAATCCACCTTAAAGTTGAAATAAGTCGAACCATCATTAAGTCCAGATGCTCCTTGACTTACGATGGGGTAACCTCCCAAGAAATCTATCCTAAAGTTAGAAAATCCTAAGTCCAACCATTCTAAATTTGGGCTAGTTTGTAGACAATTCCTAAAGAATCCACAAGGAATAATAATCAATAGTTTTGAAGAAAAGACTTAATCACGAAAGTGAACTTTGTAAGGCCACGAAACATGGTGACACTTGTTCTGACTTGTAGAAAACTACAATCTTGCAACAGTGTAATGTGCCCACACCCTGAAAAGATCACCTTACAAGAGAACCTCCATGTCACAGAGATTATCTCATCCCTGAAAATGCGCAGCAGAGCTTGCCTGACAATTCTAAACCTTCAGCATTGGAATGCTTGCAAGTCCGCTTTGCTTTGAAAGATTTATGTTTTTATTCTTCAGGCTCACAAATCTAGCTGTTACACTGGCATAAAATATGTGCCTGAATCAGACCAATGTGCCATTGACAAGGGTTTAAAAAAAATCCAAAAACCTTACAAATCAGGTTGCTACTTTTCCTATTGATTCCAATCATTAAATCAGTTCTTCTGGGTAAAGGCACCTTATTTTCAAGGAAAAGACAGCCTAATGGGTCAGCCTCTTTTCCCGGCCTGCCATTGTCATTGTGACAAGTGGTGGGGCACACTTTGCGTATTGAGCTGTCACCCCAACCTACTTGCCTCCTTCTTCTGTCTGTGAAGGCTGCCCTGGAGGACAGGGTTCATGTTTTATTTGTCTTAACATCACCACAAGCTGGAATATACAGGATAATAAGTATGCTGAATAAATGAACAAAAGGAAACTAAAAACACTAAACCTACCTTCATGCTCCATTCTGATGGGCAGACATGAAAATACCCAAAATTCCACCTAGATTGGAATCAGTACTCTAATACTGCTTACAAGTAAACCCATTGGAATATAAGAAAGGAACAGTTCTCTGTGCCTGGCAGATGAAGACAGCTGAAGGTAAGATAAATTTTTTAGGAGGATTAAGGAAAAGTCCAAAGAGGGCATTCTGGGCTGGATGAGCAACATGGGTGGTGGCCGGGCACAGATACCCCAGTGTCTCCAGGAGAGCCGGTGGCCAAAAGGCTGGGGGTGAAGGTGAGGGCCAGCCCTGGGGCTGCCAGGGTGAGTAGCTTACCTATGTTATGAGGCCAGTGGGAGGCTGATAAGAGTTTCAGAAGACAGAACTGACAGGAATTACATACTTTAGGAAAATAAATGAAGATACAAAAAATTGACATCCAGAGCCTAGAAGGCAACGGGCAGGTGCTAGCCCAGCTTCTTAGATGTTGTCCACTGCATACGCTTGCACCTACTGCAGACTGAATCTTGGTTTATCAGGGAGCAGTTGAGACCCTGGATTTCAGAAAAGAAAGACAAAATTCCTAGCACCCAGGGATGAAATGCAATTGGTAAAAGCCCATTATTCCCTGACCTGTGATTCACCAATCTGCATGTGCCATGCTGGACGACGATCCAGTCTACCTGATGGAAATGGTTGGGTTTCCAACTGGTTGGGTTTAGAGGAAAGCACTTGCTTACCTGATGGAAAGAGACAGGCTTAAATGGAATAGTCCTTTCTCGTGATGCCTTTCCCCTTCTTTCTGCCTTGAGTGAGGAAATAACATCTGCAAGTCCACCCACCATTCTGGGAGTATAAAACATGATGCAAGAGGACAAAACCCAAGAAAAGTTGGGTGGAGTAGGAAGCTATTTCCGATGGTATCATGGAACGCTTGCACCAGCCGTAGACAGTCCACCCCTGGACTTCTTATTATAATTCTCATCTAAGTATCTACTTTTTCAAGCCAGTTAAGTCAAATGTCTGGTTACTTGTAGCTGAATGTATTCCTAATTGAGAGATAAAGGTAAAATGACTCAGATGTCTGAACTAGAAAAGAGGCAATAGAAAAAAAAAAAAACCCAAGGCAAATACCATTTATAAACATAGATTTACAACTTAAAGATTAGCAAATGAGTCCAAAACACAGAAAAAGAGATAAAGAGACAAATTAGAGCCTTGGAGCCGCTGCAGCCATCTTGGGTGCTTGGTTGTGGGGGTTATTAGGGTGGAAGGAGTTGAGTCTGTGGGGTTCTGGAGATGCCATTACCAACCCTGGAGTGCCTCATTCTCGTACATGTGAGAGAAGTGAATTCTCCTCTTGTTAAATCTGCCATAATGTCTCCTCTCTGTTACTAACAGCCAAACATGATTCTCATGCCAATACACTATCTTAACAAATTTGAGGAGAAAAACCATATGGTCATCTTAAAAGATGCCAAAAAGCCCAGTTATTCATTATACCAAGTTGAAACAAACCAGGAATAGAAGGAACCTTTTTTCTACTTATTAAATGATATTGATTCTAATTTTTTAGGACTTATCAGACCTAATAATGAAAACTTTAGAAGCATTTCCATCAAGGTTTAGAACAAACTCATGACTAAGTATTACAACAAATGAGAACATTTTAAATGGCTGGAACAAGATCAACATCCAAAAATCAACACTCTTCCTACATGTCAACATTAGCCAAGTTAGAATTTTAAAAACAACACAAAAAAATCTATTTCATAATAGCCAACCAACCCCCACCAAATCTCCTGTAAGTTAATTAGGAAAAACACACAAAAAGAAGGAAACCTAAATAATAAAACTTTAATGAGGTATAGAAAGAGAACTTCAATAAACGGATGGGAAGACTATATTGTTAAGATGCCAGTTCCTCTCTAATATGTATAATAAATTGAATGCAATCAATACAGAATTTTTTGTGGAAGCTGACAAACAGTTTCTAAAACTTAGAAGAATAAGCCAGTAATTCCAAGACAATTTTGAAGAAAATAAGTTGCATGTTTGTTCTCCCACACTTCACACATAAAGATATTGTGACTAAAGTGATGGATACACAGGGATAGACAGAGACACATGGACCCGTGGAGGAGAACAGAAAATGCAGAGATGTGTGAGGGTAGTGGGGGAAGAGAGAGAATTTGGTAGATGATAATGGCAGATGCCCTTAACTTCCCATCCAATACCCATTCCCCTTCCTTATTGCCAACAGACCTTTGCTTTTGCTCATGGCTACAATGTGCTCAGCCCCATGTAGTAAATCCACGGGCTTAATACATGGGCTGATGATTGGGCTAAGTGAATCAAGACAATTCTGACTTCTGCTTTACCAGTTTTTCCTGCAGCTAAAAGTATCCATGTGGCCAGTTCTTTCTCCTCCATGAGCTGCCAAAATGCAATAGGAAATCTGCTAGGCTACTTTTGGCAAATGTTTTGCCTTCCTAAGAGGTATGCATAGAATCCTCCCACCTTGAAGTGATGTGATACGAGAAGCTGTGCTGGCCTGTGACCATGAGGGACGGGTCAAGAGAACCTGAAAGATGCTGCCATGACATCACTGAGCAGTCAACCCAATGGTGCACTGGCTCCCAACTCTGTCTTGTGAAATTAAACATCTCCGACGAAGCTGAAAGCATCTCTAACTGACAGAATGACACACGTGGGGAATACTAAATTTCTAAAAATCCTGTGGGAAAAGGACCACATTATAAAATTTATAAAATAAGTTGGAAACCTAATTGGAAAAAATAAAGCAAGATTCCCTACATCATATCACTGACCAACAAATTTCACAGGAATTAAATACACATAGACAAGAAGTAAAACTGTAAGTGTGCCAGAGAAAAGTATAGGTGAATACATTTATGACCTTGTGGTAATAAAGTGTGCTGGAGACCCTGCCTGATGTTGACCATGGCCCTTGCCTTTGTGTTTCTAGGTCACATTTCTTGGCCTCCCAAGGCCAAGCAAGGTGTGGCCACGTGACTTAAGTTCCATCAAAATAGAATATGGCATGGAAGGAACCTGAGCCATTTCCAGGCCTGGCCCCAGTCTCCCACTGCATCCCCACTTCTCCCTTATCTCTTATTTGCCAGCTCAGCTCATTAGAGAGGATTCAGCAGGGAGTCAGTGACCCCAGGGGATAGTAGAGCTGCTGGATGGGAGAAATGTGGGTCCCTACATGATGGTGTGGTCTCTATCAGGCTGGCACATGGCAAGAAATAAAGCTGCCTTGTGTTAAAGTGCTGAGATTTGTGGGGATGTTCATTTTAGCATTTAGCCAGCCCTAACTAATAAATAAAGCCTTTTTAAGAGCTAAAAAGTGAAGGTCCATCCAATATGGTTTGGCTGTGTCCCCACCCAAAATGTCATCCTGAATTGTAATCCCCATAATCCCCATGTGTCAAGGGTGGGATCAGGTGGAGGTAATTGGATCATGGGAGTGGTTTCCCCTATGCTGTTCTCATGATAATGAGTGAGTTCTCACGAGATATGATGGTTTTTATAAGTGCCTGGCATTTCCCCTGCTTGTATTTCTCCTTCCCGCTGTCCTGTAAAGAAGGTATCTTGCTTCCCCTTCACCTTCCACCATGATTGTAAGTTTCCTAAGGACTCCCCAACCATGCTGAACTGTGAGTCAATTAAATCTCTTTCCTTTGTAAATTACCCAGTCTCAGGCAGTTCTTTATAGCAGTATCAAAACAGACTAATAGAGTAAATTGGTACCACAGAGAGTGGGGCGCTGCTATAAAGATACCCAAGAATGTGGAAGTGACTTTAGAACTGGGTACAGGCAGAGGCTGGAACAGTTTGGAGGGCTCAGAAGACAGGAAGATGTGGGAAACTTTGGAACTTCCTAGACTTGCTGAGTGGCTTTGATCAAAATGCTGACAGTGAGATGGATAATCAAGTCCAGGCTGAGGTGGTCTCAGATGAAGATGAGGAACTCGTTGGGAACTGGAGCAAAGGTGACCCTTTTTATGCTTTAGCAAAGAGACTGGTGGCATTTTGCCCCTACCCTAGGGATCTGTGGAACTCTAAACTTGAGAGAGATGATTTAGGGTATCTGGTGGAAGAAATTTCTAAGCAGCAAAGCGTTCAAGAGATGACTTGGTGCTCTTAAAAGCATTTAGTTTTATTCATTCACAAAGATATGGTTTGGAATTGGAACTTATGTTTAAAAGGAAGCAGAGCATAAAAGTTCAGAAAATTTGCAGCCTGACAATGCGATAGAAAAGAAAAACCAATTTTTTGAGGAGTAATTCAAGCTGGCTGTAGAAATGTACGTAAGTAATGAGGAGCCAAATGTTAATCACCAAGACAATGGGGAAAATGTCTCCAGTGCATGTCAGAGGTCTTCACAGCAGCCCCTCCCATCACAAGCCAGGAGGCCTAGGAGGAAAAAAGCGGTTTTGTGGGTCGGGCCCAGGGCCTTGCTGCTTTGTGCAGTCTTAGGACTTGGTGCTCTGTGTCCCAGCTGTGGCTAAAACGGGCCAATGTACAGCTCAGGTTGTTGCTTCAGAGGGTGCAAGCCCCAAGCCTTGGCAGCTTTCATGTGGTGTTTGGCCTGCAGCTGCACAGAAGTCAAGAATTGAGGTTAACCTCTGCCTAGATTTCAGAGGATCTATGGAAATGCTTGGATGTCCAGGCAAAAGTTTGCTGCAGGGGCAAAGCCCTCATGAAGAACCTCTGCTAGGGCAGTGCAGAGGGGAAATGTGGGGTCACAGCCCCCATACAGAGTCCCCACTGAGGTACTGCTTAGTGGAGCTGTGAGAAGAGAGCCACTATGCTCCAGATCCCAGAATGGTAGATCCACCAACAGCTTGTACTGTGCACCTAGAAAAGTTGCAGACACTCAACACAAGGCTGTGAAAGCAGCCAGGAGTGGGTCTATACCCTGCAATACCACAGGGATGGAGCTGCCCAAGGCTATAGGAGCTCACCTGTTCCATCAGCATGACCTGGATGTGAGACATGGAGTCAGAGGAGATCATTTTGGAACTTTAAGGTTTAACATTGCCCTACTGGATTTTGGACTTGCATGGGGCCTGCAGCCCCTTTGTTTTGGCTAATTTCTCCAATTTGGAATGGCTGTATTCACCCAATGCTTGTACCCCCATTGTATCTAGGAAGTAACTAATTTGCTTTTGACTTTACAGGTTCATAGGCAGAAGGGACTTGCCTTGTCTCAGATGAAATTTTGGACTCGGACTTCTGGGTTAATGCTGGAATAAGTTAAGACTTTGGGGGACTGTTGGAAAGGCATGATTATGTCTTGAAATGTGAGAACATGAGATTTGATTTGGAAGGGGCCAGATGTGGAATTCTATGATTTGGCTATGTCCCCACCCAAAATCTTATCTTGAATTGTAATCCCCATGTGTCAAGGATGGGACCAGGTGGAGGTCATTGGATCATGGGGGTGGTTTCTCCCATGCTGTTCTCATGATAGTGAGTGAGTTCTCCTGATAGTGAATGAGTTCTCATGAGATATGATGGTTCTCTAAGTGCCTGGCATTTCCACTGCTTGCATTTCTCCTTCCTGCTGCCCTGTAAAGAAATGTGCTTTGCTTCCCCTTCACGTTCAGCCATGATTGTAAGTTTCCTGAGGACTCCTCAGCCATGCTGAACTGTGAGCCAATTAAACCTCTTTCCTTTATAAATTACCCAATCTTGGGCAGCTCTTTATTGCAGTGTGAAAACAGACTAATACACCATCAAAATAAAGTTGATAAAACTGATAATAGCAAAAACCAAAGACAATAAACAAAGTTCTGTATGAGAAAAAAATCATAGATATTTTAAAGTTATATAACAGAATAAGAAATTCTGGAAAAAACATAAAAACAAGGGATTGATATTCAAAGGACGAATTAAAAAATTTACATATTATATGAATATGTAATTTACAGAAAACTCAAATGACTAGTCAACAAATGAAAAGAGAATCAACCTTAGTCGTAATGATGAAAATACAAATTAGACAAGATAATCACTAACCACCCTCACCCAAGCCCTCATGCATCAAATTGGCAAGGGAAAAAAAGCCTGAAAACATCAAGTCCTGGTGAAGTGAAATTGGTAGTTTTTAACACTGCTAGTAGGGGAATATTGGGCTAGTGGTGAGGTCAGCAGGGGGCATTTTTTTAGGATCTAAAATTGTTTTTAATATAGAATACACATTTTAATATAGAATACATATATAGAATTGTAACTGTACAATTCTGCCTCTCAGTATCTTGCTGAGAGAACACTCTGCTTATGTGTACAAAGAGGCATGTCTAAGGATGTTCCCTACAGCATAGCTGGAAATGTAAAAAAAGTTTGTCCATAGGAGACTGGCTGAATCAAGCCTATTATATCAGTACCTGGACTACATTACAGGTGTCAACATGAAAGTGTCTCTAAGACACATCAGAATATTAATGTGTTATAGCATGGTTAAACAATACTAACAGGAAAAAGGTCTCATGGGTAGAAAACTGTCCAGAAGGAAAACTGGCTATGGTCATGAGGGCTCTTAGGAGCTCAGGACCCGGGAGGGAAGGAGCAGGACACTCATCTCTACTTTAAGGCCTCCCAAACTCTTTGCCCCCTGCTCACATAATAAACCATACTTCAAGCATCATTTCCTACTGAAGCTATTAAATAAGATACAAGAAATGACAGGGGTCTGGGCTCCAGCATGGAAGCAGATGCAAGCAAGAGAAGAGTAGAAAGGTGCACTTTGTTTAGCAGCTGAAGTGATGTGGGCTGGAGAATCCATGCAGGCTGTGCTGGCACAAACCCCGGGGAAAGGCAGGGCTAGTTTTGAGTTGAGGTTTTGCCATTCTCTTCAAGTGTGGTCTTTAGGAAGTCACTAAACCCCTGTGAATCCACTTCCCCATCAATACATGCGGAAGATACCATATCTTTCTTAGAACTTTGTTAAGTTTAAATAAACCTAAATAAAAACATACTATTGGTCTGCCTGCCTGTCTGTCCACCTATCATCTATCTTCAATCTATATTCTATCTCTCCCTTTCTTGTTCCACACACCTACCTACCTACCTATGTATCTTTTGATATATATTTTTTCCTGTCCGTATGTATCTATCTTTCTTATTAATTTTCTCATTGTCTGTCTGCCTTCCTCTTTCCTGATTTTCTGTCTCCCCTTCTGTTGGTCATGTGTCTGCTAAGTAGATGTCTAACTATCCATGTTTCTTTCTTTCTGCCATCCTGTCTATTTCTACCTGTCTCCATCCATCCATCCATCCATCCATCCATCCACCCATGCACCCACCCACCCACCCAGCCACCCACCTATGCATGTTTCTGGTTGTCTGTTTGTCAGTATGTCTGTATGTCTTTGTGTTATATATCTGTCTATATGACTACCTGTCTGTCTCTCTATGCTGGAAACTCTGTTTTTCTGTCTGTCCATCTGTAATCTCAATGTTTTTCCTTCTTGTCTGTATGTCTTTCAACCTATCTTGTTTGTCTGCATATCTACCCATATGCCTATGAATGTATTTATCTGATTATCCAAAACCTGCCTGAATGTCTGTCTATATATCCCCCTCCCTCCTTTCCTTTCTCCCTCTATACCTTTCTGACTGTGTTTCACTGTCTAATAATGACTGTCTAATTTCTCTCTGACAGTCTAATTTCTATTGACCACTGTTGACCTACCTTCATGGTGCTTGACACAGAGCAGAGCCTCACTCAAGGCTAGTTTACTTCCCCCTTTTCAGTTCCTTTCACTCCTTCATTGCTCCATTCCTACACTCAGCTGCCATTAACTGGGCCATTGCTCTGTGTTATGTGCTAGGGATACAACCTAAAATTAGGCAGGGTCTCTACCTTCTAAGAGTATTTGGGCTGCTGGCCTAAAAAACAAATTAATGAGGCAGTTATATGATGCTTAGAGCTATGAGAGACAAGATGGTGTCAGGCACAAGGGAAGGGCACCCATGCTAGACTGGAGTGGAGGAGAGAGTGAGAGAGGCTCTGAGGAAGTGACTTCTCATCTGAAAACCACAGAGGACTGGGGATTTTGCAAAATAGAGGGCTGAGCTCCATGTAATTGGGGAAGGGGTATGGACAGTGGTGCAAAGCCAGGAAAAGGGAACGGGGTCCATGTAGACCTGGAGAACAACAGAGCCAGGACACAGTCAAAAATTCTAACTAAGCAATTCACAAAATTCAGACAAGAGAGACCAAAATTGACCTAAATAAATAGAGAGATGTATTGTTTTTATGGATTTTAAGATATACCACAGTTAAGATGTCAAGTATAGTCACACTGATCTATAAATTCAATGCAATCCCAGTCAACACTCCAGCAGGTTTCTTTGTAGGCACAGACAAGCTGATTCTAAATTTATATAGAAAGACAAAGAAACTAGATTAGCCAAAACAACACTGAAAAAGAAAAAAGTTAGAGGACTCACACACTTGATTTTAAGATGTGTTATAAACCTCCTGTGGCCAAGACAGTATAGTATTGGGATAGTAAAGGATAGACACGTTTATTACCAAAACAAAAGACAACTGATTTTTGACAAAGGCACAAAGACAATTCAATGGAGAAAAGATAGACTTTTCCAAAAAATGATGCTGGAGCAAATGGACTTCAGTAAAGTAAACTCAATCTACATCTTAACACCATATATAAAAATTAACTCTGAATGGATCATAGACTAGGTGTGCCTGTATGTTTAGGTGTCCATGTGTGAGCATGTGCATGCATGTGCTGTGTGTGTGCGTGTCCATGTGAGTGTGCATGTGTTTAATAGTGTGTATGTGTGTTTGTGACTTCTGTGTGCATGTTTATGTTGAGTGTGTGTGAATATATGTGCATGTTTGCATGCACATGTGTGTGTGAATGTATGTGCACATTCGCATAACTGTGTGTGACTGTGCATGTTAAAAAGGGACACAGGGAAGGGTGTCTAAGGGACATTTGGTTAGAAATTCCAGTGGGCTGGTTGCTTATACTTGGAAGTTTCCAGACCACTTAGAGTTCCACTTAGAGTAAGTGAAACCAAGAGAGTCGATGGCAGTGGCTCTTTCCATTAAGAAAAAAGAATTAAGATTTCACAAATACAGGAGAATTTCAGCTTTTGGGCTTTCTCATCGGCCCATATTAGTGGACTACTTACACATGTCAGCGACTGGTAAAATTCAGTGTTTCATTTTAGTGTCTATCTTTTCAAATAGAATAAACAACTTTCCCAAATAAAAAAATAAACATAAAGGAAATAAATATCTGTCATCATGTATGGCTCTGAACTTTTAAAATAGATAACAGTGAGATAGGTGGATTCTGAAGAACCCACCCAACTTTCTATAATACCCTGTCAACTTTATGACCTAATAGATTAATCTACTAATTGTTTTCTTCTTTAGTTCCCTGGGTTTTCATTTTTAGTCACTAGAAACACTTATACAAATACAAATCCACGCAGGCATTCCAAAAATTCCTGGGGACAATTTATGTGTAGTCTCTGGTTCTCACTGCCTCAGTTTTGAAATGAGGATAGCAGTTCCTATTTTAATATGGTTGTGGTGGTGATTACATAGCATAGTGCCTGGCACACAGCAAGTACCAAAAAAAGGATAGGTACCTCATAAATATATACATCTACTATACACCCATAGAAATAAAAAAATTAAAAAGATAGGTATGATTATGATTATTGTGGTCATTATTTATGTATTTATTTGCAACATATTCTTAGACTAATAACCTTGGAAACCTAATAAAACCGTCTGGAGTTCTATTCCTTCAGAAGATTTGCTTTTGGTACTTTTTATATCAAAATAACATATAATTTTTAAAAGGTTGGTTCTGAATTGAAACTGATGACTATGAAGTCCAAGTTTATAGGATCAGCTGTTTGAGTCAGAAAGAAACTGCATTCTTAAGCAGAAAATTTATTTGTCCACACTCCCCTGAGGAAAGAATGCTAAAGCCAATTTCATTCAAACACTAAGCATTGGCTCAAGACCAAATAAGAAGCATTGCAGCCCTGGATGATGTAGCCACAGTAAGTTGGAAGCAATTGATTTCAACAAAGAAAACGATTTTGCTACTGGCCAAGGATGGGGAATCTTTCTGACCTGCACATTGTCTCCACAAATAAGGTGCCTCTAGTTAAGCCTCCCTAATCAATGGCCAAGGATGCAATTACAGTTGCAGAGAAGTGGAACTCAAATGGAGTGGGAATAAAGAAAGGAAGATTAATAAATAATAGGAAAGGGGGAGTAGAGAAGCAGGAGAAAGGAGATGGGAGAAGCCGGCAAAGATGAAACACAGCTCTGCTGAGAAGCATATATCCAAGAACAATCAACACTATAAATTTCATGGATGCTGCATCAGTTACCTATTGCTGTGAAACGACAACTCCCAGATTTAGGGACTTAAAATAACACATATTCATAATCTCACCATTTCTGTGGGGCAGGAGTCAGAGTGCACCTTCTCAGGGTCTCTCACAAGGCTGCAACCAAAATGTGAGTTGAGGCTGCAGTCTCGTCTGAAGGCTCAAATGAGGAAGCATTCTCTTCCAAGCTTACTCATGTGATCATTCACAGAATTGTTTCTGAGGGTTGTTGAACTAAGAAGCTCAGTTCTTTGCCACGTGGGCCTTTCCATAGGTGAGATCACAACATCAGAGTTGTTTCATCAGAGCAACCATGTGAGAAGAGTCAGAGAGAGCCTGAGCAAGACAGAAGTCACAGTGTTTGTATCCTGGTCTTGGAAGTGACATCTGTCACTTCTGCTGTATTTTGTTTATTAACAGCAAGTCACCATGTCCAGCCCACACCCAAGGGCAGGGGACAACACAAAGATGCGATGTCAAGAGGCAGGAATGGTTGGGAGCTGTGTCAGAAGCTGCCTCCCACACATGGCCTTGCAGTATCTACACCGGAGCTCAAGTGCATTGTGCAGGCCAAAAAGCAGCACCTTCACCCGGTGCTACGTGATCACTCACAACTTGTCAATCACCATATTTTAGCTGATTGTTATGGAAACGTTGATTCCAAACTTGAAAAAGGGAAAAATGATGATTTCTGGAATCTGTGATATTCTACTAGAATGCAAATAAGTCTGACTGATCCCATTCGGAAGCTCTTGAGCAGTGTGACAAATATTTATCTAATCATTCACAATTGGTTAAATAAAGAGGTTTATAGCCCTGTGAGATTAGCCTGCAGAATTGATAGCTTATGACTTTTACTGCCTAGTAAACAAGTTAACTCCAAATTTGGCATTTTTTTCATTGCTTTGTAGAGGTTTGCCTTAACTTAGCATCTTATTTCCACATTTGTTTCCCAACAGAACTTAAAAATCCCAGTTACTGGCTGGGTGCGGTGGCTCACGCCTGTCATCCCAGCACTTTGGGAGACCAAGGCGGGTGGATCATGAGGTCAGGAGATCAAGACTATCCTGGCTAACATGGTGAAACCCTGTCTCTACTGAAAAAAACAAAAAACAAAAAACAAAAAAATTAGCCGGGCGTGGTGGTGGGCGCCTGTAGTCCCAGCTACTCGGGAGGCTGAGGCAGGAGAATGGTGTGAACCCGGGAGGTGGAGCTTGCAGTGAGCCGAGATCGCACCACTGCACTCCAGCCTGGGTGACAGAGCGAGACTCCATCTCAAAAAAAGATCTCAGTTACCAAATGCTTGTGGAGCCAGATCATTTGTCTTTTCGCTGGTTCCCTTACTGATGAGTTAAATAAAGCTTTGGAACATGGCAACAGATGACTTTGCCTGAGAATTGAGCTTTCGCATGCTCTAGGAGTAAACCAGAACCAAGATGTACATAGGGAATTCAGCAAAGTGCTGAATAGACACTGGGTTCCTGGCCTTCTCTTGACTGGCTGACCCACCTTCACACACTTATGGGACACAATCTCTGTGTGGATCGCAAGCCCCCAGGGGATTTAAGAACTGCCCTCAGGGTGTGTCTTCAAGCCTTTTGTGAATTTATACTTATGCCATCTCACGGGGGACTGTGTCTCTTTCCATGGCTCAGCACCAGGGCTTTGAAGAGTAAGCCCCAAAACCAAGTTCTGAGTATGAGGGTTTCCTGGCTGGTGATGCTGTTGAACCCACACTGGGGAACACATACTTCCGGGCTGCTGCTGTGCAGGAGAAGGGAACAGGAAGAGGGAGACGCAGGGAGGGGCCTGGCCCAGCGCCGTGGAGGAGGAGGGGTCCTTTTCCCCTGAGTGTGGCCAAGCACCTGCAAGCCTCCTGGGAGTGGGCCTCTCTGCAGGGGCTTTGCCTTGGCTTCCAGCCACCTCCATTTGGTTCTCCAGCACACAGGCCATGAGTGTGGAGCTCACTCAAGACTAGAGAGCTCAGGTTTCCAAGTGGACAGACATTCTGCAGGATGTGCTTTGGGAAACTGAAAAAAAGCAGCCCTGATATTTCCATCCACACACTCAGGTGAAACTCAGTGATTTCCTTGGTGTTGATGCAGAACCAGAGGTTTGCTTTCACCTGCACTTCACTCCTCCCATAACCTTTGGGTTTGCTCCTGGGAAAGCAGAAAAGCCACAGTCCCATCTCCAAGGAGGAGATCCAGAGGACGAGGAGACAAGCAAGGATTCCTGGCATGTAAACAGCTGGTAAGAAGGAAAAAGGAGATGTGGAAAGGCTTCAGGGAAGCCTGGGGCTGGAGCCTACCAGAAGAGTCCTCCGGTCCTGGCAAACCCCAGGCTGGCTGGGTTGATATCGCCCCAGAAAGCAGGGGAACCCCACAGGGCCATCCCTTCAAGCTCAGCCCGACAAGAAGCCGACAGAAAGCATGTCATCTGGATGCAGGACACAGAGCGGTCTTCTCTGTGAGCACCAGCTCTCATCTGCTTTTAAGAGTTGTGGGGAAGAAAATGAGGCAAGTAACCTTTTCAGAGGAAGTATTTTTAAGATACTAACATGTTTTCCAACAGCAATTTTTTTGAAGACTCAGTCTAATTCATATTCGTGTACAGCTTCTAAAATAACCTATATTTTCACAAACTGTTTTCTTGGTAAAATTTTCAAAACATTCTCAAGGAAGATGCATTCTGTGGCAATGGTATGCCAATAAAACTAAAAGGACTTGATTTAAGTAGAAAAAAAAAACCACACATAATCTTCAGATAAAAAGCCCAATTGGTTACTGACTGAAAGGCAAACCTGACAACAGACCAGGGAGGTTCAGGCCTAGCGAGGGGAGGCAGTTAAGGCTGACCGAGAGCAGGAGGAGGAAGCCGATGGGGGAGTGCACATCGGGACAGTGTTCGCTGATGAATACTTCCTGCCATAGTGGTTTCATTCCCTATGCAACCTTTTAACTGCAGGGACACAGAGCGTGGGGCCTCTGCTCTGTCACTCAGATTTATTAGCATTTTTGCTAAAGGTCTTATAAGAGATCTCAGGAATAAAAGCAGCATCCGGTGGCTCTAGCCCATGTTTCCTGTGTCTGATAATAATTAACAGCTACTGCTTAGCAAGGACAGCCAAAGGCTGTACCCTCTGCCATATGCCTCCTGCGATGGTCACTCCCAGTCTCCTAATTGTAATTATAAGGACACTGAAGGTTTGTGAGGAGAAATGTTTGCTTGCAGTCACCAGGCTGTTGTATGACAGAGACAAGATGCATACCTAGATGCCTATCTGAATGGTCTAACTTCAGAGTCCTCCTCTTGACCACCTCAGTATATGCTTCCCTTGTGTGATGACCCCACAACCACAGAAAATGTGAAACATGAAGGACTATGTGACAAAGAAAGTCTGAGGTCCCAATAAACTAATGGGTTAAAAATCATAACACAACCATCAAGGGATGCTAAGATCACTGGATGAAAATCAGCCAGGGAAGAGAATGTTCACAGGGCTTCAAAGTTTGCCCCATTGCTTACTAGTAAAAGACAAAGAATGTAAAAAGTGACTTTACAGGCTGGACATGGTGGCTCACACCTGTAATCGCAGCACTTTGGGAGGCCAAGGCAGGTGGATCACCTGAAGTCAAGAGATCGAGACCATCCTAGGCAACATGGTGAAATCCCATCTCTACTAAAAATACAAAAATTAGCTGGGCGTGGTGGCAGGCGCCTGTAGTCCCAGCTACTCGCGAGGCTGAGACAGGAGAATCGCTTGAATCCGGTAGGTGGAGGTTGCAGTGAGCCGAGGTCGTGCCACTGCACTCCAGCCTGGCGACAGAGCGAGACTCCATCTCAAAAAAAAAAAAAAAAAGTAACTTTATAAAGAGAACTCTTGTAGAAACGACCTTAGCCCAGTGAACAAACTTATCACCATGAGCCACGGTGTGCCCACTGATGTGCTGGAAAGAGAAATGGAGGAAATGTCTATCTTAATCTAAGTACGAGGAAATAATCAGACAGGTCCAGATTGTGCAGCACTCCATAAAACAAGTGGCTCAGACTCTTCAAAGACGTCAACATCACGAAAGAGAAAAACGAAAGCAGGCCTTTAGTTCTGATAAAAAGAGGCATAACTGAATTCAGTGAGTGATACTTAATTGAACACTAGGCAGGGAAAAACAGCTATGATGAATATTTGGGGGACAATCAGGGGTATCTGGGTAGGGACAACATATTTGGATAATATCACTTTATCAATATTGTATTTCACAGTGGTAATAGTGCTGTACTTTTGTAGAAGGTAGCTGTGTACTTAGGAGATGATGCCAAAGTGTGTCATGATGTCAGCAACTTACTTTCAAATGATTCAGACAAAAAGAATCAAACACACACAAACACATATTTACCACCTGTGTGTGTCTGTTTGTGTATAAACAATTGGTAAATCTGGGTGAAGAATTACGGGTGTTCACTTTTCTATTCCTTCAAGTTTGCTGTAGAATTAAAGCTTATAAAATAAAAAGTAGGCAAGAAGGTATATAAAAATTTTGTTCCAAGAGTCATAAAGCAAAAGAATGGCTATGCTCTCAGTCAGATTAAAATTGTATTATTGGATAAGAAGTAACAGGAAACAGTAAAAGTAAAAATAATTAAGTGTGTTAAGATAATGGCACTATTTTTCTTTTGCTTATAATATTTAAAAAATCAATAATGGTTGCAACAGATGACAAATTTTGCACTGGTATAAATCAAGTCACTTGTCAATCACTACAGTTGTTTTTTTTTTCCTTTTAAAGAATAATGCCTATTATTCCAATCTCAAATTCTAATGCAGTATGAAATACATTTCATGACTCTTTCTCAATGAACCTTACACTTTATCTGGGCTTTAGATCTGATTTCCAGGGAGTCCACAGAACCACTACCAGCTCTATTGTCAGAGGCGGTGACTGCACTTGCCCCTTTGGCCTGCCATTAAGGCCCCACGAACACAGGACTTACTTTTCAGACACCTGATTCTGGAGGTGTGTGGCAGTCAGGCATGCAGGCCAACACTGCGCCGTCCCTGCTGGAAATGGCCCATTGTTGCCCCAGTGGAAGGTGAGACCACAGCGCCTGAGAACACTGGAAAAGACAGTGAGAATAAAAGAGAATGTTCACACTTCATGGGAAGTGAGAATTAACAATTTCAATTTTAGGATTAATTTTTTATATTTTAAAAATTAAATATTAATGTTTCAAATTTTTAAATGATTTTAAATATTTAACATGCATTTGAAATTGGCTGGTGAATCCCACACCCCCGAATCCCACTCCCAACACACGATCCCACCCTTTAATTTTTAAATGAATGTCCCATCAGGAGACAGATGAGGATCAATGGGAAAAGTCTCATCTGGTGGACTTAACAGACGTGGCGGTGAGCTCAGAGCCCCTAGAAGCTGATGTGCCAGGGGAGGGGACTGTGCTTCTCAGCGGGGCTCGAACACTGAACTCTGACTTCTGAGATTCTGGTAGAGAGGTTCTGGGGGTGTGATCTGCAGGGAACCTCAAAGTGAGGGGGCTGTTCATATTCCACACAGTGGAACCAGGTACACCCCATCTCGACTGGGCATCCCCTAGGTCAGCAGATGTCTGTATATTTTTACCTTTTTAGGCCATTTATTTTATCTAATAACTTATACATAAAATTTAATTTTTACTCAGTCAAATAACATACACAACCTCTAATTTCCACATAGGATAAGGTCCCTAGTTCAATCTAATTCCCATCTCTTCCTCTGATACCTGCTATATTTTGTTGAAATCATTTAAAATGTTGATTTGAAATTGCTTTTGATTTTTGGGTTCTACTTTCTTAGGAATCATAATTCTTAACAACTGCTTTAAGCTTCAGTTCTATATTATTACTTGTAACACAACTGTGTTTTGGTGTTTGCTAATTGATCATGAATAATTTGCATATCTCTCATTGGTCCTTTATTAATTTTTAATTTTACTAGAAGGCTTGAGTAGTACTTTCAAAATGATTTTGTAGGCAATAAATTTTCTGACTTCTAATGCAAAAGAACAGAATCAATAGCCAAGACAATCTTGAAAAAGAAGAATAAAGTTGGAAGTCTCACACATCTTGATTTTAAAACATACTATGAATCTATGGTAATCAAAGCATGTGGTGTGGGCAAAAAGACAGATTTATAGTCCACACAAGGTAGACCAGAAATAAATCCTCAAATATATGGTTAAATCGTTTTCCACAAGGGTGCCACACATGGCCTTGCATAAATGGCCAAAGGTTTTCCACAAGACCATTCCATGTGGAAAGGACAATCTTTCCAATAAATGGTGCTGGGAAAACCGCATATCCACATGCAAAATAATGAAGTTAGACTCTTACCTAACATTGTATGCAAAAATTAACTAAAAATGGATCAAAGACCTAAATGTAAGAGCTAAACCTATAAAACTCACACAGGAAAATACTGAGGAAAAGCTTTATGAAACTGGATTTGACAATTATTTCTTGGGTATGACACCACGAAAAGAACAGGCAACAAAAGGAAAAATAGATAAAATGGACTTCATCAAAATTAAAAACTTTTGTGTACCAAAGGACATTATCAACAAAGTGAAAAGGCAACCAACAGAATGACAGAAAATATTTGCAAATCATATATCTGATAAGGGATTAATATCCATAACATATACAGAACCCCTGTAACTCAACAAGAAGAACCTGAAAAAATGGAAAGATATCCCATGCTCATGGATTAGAAGAATTAATATTGTTAAAATGTCTATATTAACCAAAGTGATTTACAGATTCAATGCAATTCCCGTCAAAATACCAATGACATTCTTCACAGAAATAGAAAAAAGCCTGAAATTCATATGAAACCACAAAAGACCTTGAACAGCTGAAGTGATCCTGAGCAAAAAGAACAAAGCTAAAGGCATCATGGTTGTGTTTTCAAATGATACTACCAATCTATAGTAACCAAAAGAGCATGGTACTGGCATAGAAACAGACACATCAACCAATGGAACAGAACAGAGAACCCACAAATAAATCCACACACTTAACAGCCAACTCAGTTTCAACAAAGGTGGCAAGAACACACACCAGGGAAAACACAGTCTCTTTAATAAATGGTGCTGAGAAAACCAAATATCCATATGCAGAAGAATGAAACTAGATCCTCATCTCATCATATACAGAAATCAACTCTAAAATGGATTAAAGGCTTAAATATAAGACCTAAAATTATGGAACTACCAGAAGAAAACATTGGGGAAACACTTCAGGACATTGGTTTGGGCAAAGATTTTTGCATAAGATTTCAAAAAGGCAACAATAGAAAAATGGGTTTATATCAAGCTAAAAAGCTTCTGCACAGGAAGCAAAACAACTAAGTGAAGAGACAACCCAGAGAAAGGGGGAAAATATCTGCAAACTTCCATCTGACAAGGGATTAATAACCAGATTATATAAGGAGCTCAAACAACTCAATAGCAAAAAAACAAATAATCTGATTAGAAAATCAGCAAATGACCTGAATAGATGTTTCTCAAAAGAAGACATACAAACAGAAAACAGGCATATGAAAAAATGCTCAATATCACTAATCACCAGGGAAATGCAAATTAAAACCACAATGAGATATCATCTCACTCTAGTTAGAATTGGCTTTTATAAAAAAGACAAAAAATAACAGATGCTGGTAAGGATGTGGAGAAAGGGAATGTAAATTAGTACCATCATTATGGAAAACAGTATGGAGGTTCCTCAAGAAACTAAAAATAGAAGGACCACATATCCAGGAATCCCACGGCTGAGTATATATTAAAAGGAAAGGAAATCAGTATATTGAAGAAATATCTGCACTCCCATGTTTATTGTAGCACTGTCTGCAATAGCTGAAATGTGGAATCAACCTAAGTGTCCATCAATGGATGAATGGATAAAGAAAGTGTGGAATATACACAGAACGGAATATTACTCAACCATAAAAATAATGGAATCCCGTCATTTGCAGCATCATGGATGGAACTGGATATCATCATGTTAAGTGAAATAAGCAAGGCACAGAGAGACAAATATCACATGTTCTTACTCAAATGTGGGAGCAAAAAAAAGTGGGTCTCAAAGAGGTAGAGAGTAGAACAGTGTTTACCAGGGGCTGGGAAGGGAAGTGGGGAGGAAGGGAAGTTGACTAATGGGTACCAACATGCAGTTGGATAGAAGAAATTCATTCTTGTATTTGATACCATAGTAGGAAAATTATAGTTAACAATAAACTACTTCCTGGGTCCCTTTCTTTGTTCACATTTTTTCCCTCAGGAATTTTCAAAATTCCTGTTCTCTCCTGGCTCCACTCAAGACCCAGCTCAAATGCCATGTTTGTCACGAAGCTTACCTAAGAACAGCCTTTGACCCAGGGGTCCTGTCTCCCATGCTGGACTTGGTCCCCTGCCCACCTCTGGGGTGTTCACTCCACGGACGTGCAGTCCCCTGGCTGAAAGAATGAAGGATGCCCACCCCCACCACTAACAACCCTCACACACTTGCACTGGGACAGACACTTTTCCTGGCTTTATCTCTTGGTGGATGGCTTTATCTCTTAGTCTTCCTAAAAGCTTCAAGAGAAGAGTGAGTTTCTAGGAAATGGGCTTTAATTCACACAGTGATCACTCGGTCTGTCTCTCAGGAAGGTGCAGGAGAGATGCTTAGGCCAGGTGTTCATCTCTGCCTCAGGCCTGCTAGTAAGTGGTTTTGTTTATGGTTCCCTAATGGAATAAAAACTTACAGCATGTCCTGGACGAATTTTCAGGAAATTTAAATTCTGGAGAAGTCTGTAACAACTTCTGGAAATAAAGAGGAGAGTCTCTTTTTTTTTTGTACTGTAAGATACTGTAAGTCCAAAATATGTCCGTAATGAATTATGTAAAGATACAGAAGGCTGAAGTGCTTCTTGAAAATGCCACTACCTCTAGAGGGAAATGCAAGAAAATAGCCATTGGGTAAAATAAGTTCAGATCCACAACAAAACAAAAGGGAGGGGGGTAAGGCTATCAGCTAAACTAAGGGTGGGATGAATGCTTCCTGCACATTTTAATCCTGGGGAGAACAGTAGTTTCTAAAACAAAACAGGCATTTTAGACCTGTATTCTGGCTCTGAAATGCAGAATGTGGCTGGATTGGATGTGGTGATGCCAGGCAGACACACCCTTCTCAAAGCCCCCAGGGCTGACAGCGGGCCCAGGGAGTGTGCTAACGCTGTGGACACACCGCGTGTCTGGGGCGCTCCAGGTGAGAGCAGAGACCCAGGTCTGTCAGGTGCAAGTGAAAGCCCAAAGAGGCTGTTCTAGCTGAATCCTCCTCTCCATCCAGCCCCTTGGTGTCACTGAAGGCCAGCACACACGGGAAACCCATCAGCCGGGCTTCCCCAGGTCTGGGATCAGTACTAGTCATGTCCCCTACTTGCCTATGGTCTAAAAAGCCACCACACCTGCTTTGTCCCTGCATCACCACGGGACTTGGGCTGTTCCAAAGGTCCTGGTGAAGATGAAAAGGGACCTCTGAAGATGCTCCAGGGACCCGAAGGATTCACTGCTCTAAGCTGACACTATTGTAAAGTAAAAATACAAGGCACTGAGAAGGGCTCAAGATGAAGGCAGGACTACGGGACCAGAGATGCTTCCAGGACTGACTGCTGGGAAACAGCAGGTACAAAATGAGCAGCAGCTACCCAGCAGGGTGCCATGTGACCTTAGTGACCCCGGAGTGGCGCTCAGAAGCCAGGACACTGCCCTCACAGAGCCAGTGGAGGGGGCCCACGCAGCGCAGGTGTGTGAAGGGTCAACAGGCACTGGCATGCTCTCTGGCATCCCTCGGCTGGGGGCCTCCTCCCTCAGGCTACCTGGATCCTGGGCTCTTACCGCTCTCCTTGTCCCCCACTCCTACCTAGGTTTTGCTGTCTTCTTTCATTCAGTTCTCCCTCTCCCTGTCATAACACCCCTCCACCCTTCACAAGCCCAGATCCCCTCAACCCCCCTTCCCCCGGGAAACCTTTGCTCATCATTCAACCAAAAAACTTTTTGTAACACCAGTTTACTTTATTATTATCTACTCTCAGCAAGTCTCAAGAATTTTTAAGGATACATTGTTACAATAGTTACCATGTTATAATAGTCCCCATATATCCCTTGAACTTATTTATCCTGCCTAAATGAAATTTGTATCCTTTGACCAACATCTCAACCCACCCCACCTCCCCCAGCACCTGGCCAATACCATTCTGCTCTCTGCTTCCGTGAGTTCACCTTTTTTGGATTCTACACATAAGTGAGATCATGCAGTATTTGTCTTTCTGTGCCTGGCTTATTTCACTTAACATGATGCCCTCCAGGTTCATTCTTGCCATATGTGACAGGATTTCATTCTTTTTATGACTGAATATTATCCATTGTGTATCTATACACGTTTTACATTTTCTTTTTTTTTTTTTTTTTTTTGAGACAGAGTCTTGCTCTGTCACCCAGGTTGGAGTGCAGTGGCGCGATCTCGGCTCACTGCAAGCCCCGCCTGCCGGGTTCACGTCATTCTCCTGCCTCAGCCTCCTGAGTAGCTGGGACTACAGGCACCCACCACCACGCCTGGCTAATTTTTTGTATTTTTAGTAGAGACGGGGTTTCACCGTGTTAGCCAGGATGGTCTCGATCCCCTGACCTCGTGATCCGCCCACCTCGGCCTCCCAAAGTGCTGGGGTTACAGGCGTGAGCCACCGCCCCGGCCACGTTTTACATTTTCTTTATCCATTCATCTTTGGATGAGCACAGGGTGGTTCCATGTCTTGGCTATTGTGGATAGTGCTGCAGTGAACATAGGAGTGCAGGTAACTCTTTGATGTACTGATTTCATTTCCTTTGACTATATACCAGCAGTGGGATGGCTGGATTACATGGTAGTTCTAGTTTTATTTTACTGAGGAACCGCCACACTTTTTCCGTAATGGCTGCACTAATTTACATACCCACCAACACTGTACTAGTGTTCTCTTTTCTCCACACTTTCACCAACACGTATCTCTTCTCTTGTGGGTAACAGTCATCCAAACAGACATGAAGTGATTGATATTTCACTGTAGTCAGCTAGCAAAACTTTAGTTTATTATTCATTTGCATAAAATCCAGATCCTGCACAAACCAGCAACATTTTAATGAGCACTTACTATGCTAGGAGGTGTAGGCCACGAGGCAGAAATAAAGTTGAGTGGTTTTGCCGTCAAGAGCCCTGTAATCTGAAACAGGAGACAGACCTGGAGACCGACACCCGCAGCTCAGCCCGCTCCCTGGTGAACGCCTGAGATGCAGAGCAGCCCCCGTCCAAGGGAAGTCACGGCTTGCCTTGTCATCTGCCTCCGGGGAAAGGGAACTCTTCAGAGAGAAGGAGATACTTGGCTTGGGCCTTAAACTCTAAATAAGAGTTCCCAGAAGGGTAAGGAGGGCAGAGGTCTCTGGTGTTTGCTGAGGGCCTATTCTGTGCCAGGCCTTCACTAGGCAGGCATTGCTAACTTCTCTCAGGTAAATTCTCTCACACACACCTGAGGAAGAGGGGCTCAGGCACACACAGGCCTGTCCTTCTACTGCCCCACGGAGGAGAATTCTCCGCAGAGAACCTCCAGTGCAGACACGGGTTGGGGGTGGGTGGCCTGCACACGAAGGAGTCCCCTGTGCAGGGGGTTGGGGAAGGATTTGGTGTAGCTGCGGGTGTGAGTGACAGGGCACAGGGTTGAGGGGGGCACAAGGGGCTGGGGGTGGACAGGCAGAATGGGCTGTCCCTGCAGCACCATTACAGAGAACTCCTCTCCACAGAGGGGCAGCCGCTGGCGTGTTGAGGCCAGCAAGGGCTCAGGCCAGAAGCGCATTTTGAGCGTGCCTGCTGGCAGCATGCTGGGGACTGCCAGTCTGGCAAGTCACAGGCAGCACCTAAATCTGCTGAAGGGAGAGGGTCTCTGCAGCTCTCCTGCAGTTCCCTCTGATCTGAAATCTTGGTGCCTTCCCTGCACTAGGGCAGAATCTGGGCCCATCGCCTTCTCACCATCTAGATGATGCCTGTGTGCCTCTGCACCCGGGCCCCGTGTCCTCCATGGACTGTGCCTGCTCCACTTCCTCCCACACCTGCCTGCATCCCTCACCAACATATCACACATATTCCACTCCATCCCAGTGTGCGAGCCGGCCCTTCAGCTCCAGAGAGACCTCAAAGGGCCTGTGTCCCAGTGCTCAGAGGCACGCGTCCTGGTGAGAGGTCAGACCCAACGGCTGCTGGTCCACCACCCAGATGACTCAGAGGGACTCAGAGGGAGTTAGCGGAGTTCCCATGAGTAGCAGCCTCTGTCACCCAGATGGGGGTGGGTGCCCACTTGGAGGGCCTGGGGCCAGGTGTCTGCAGCCTTTCAGAGCAAATGCAGCCAGGAGAGGAAAATAGAGGAGGAGTGGGGAGTCCAAGCATCTTGTTGCTCAGCAAAAGCTGCCTTTGTGCCCAGGCATCAAGGTCAGGGAGAGGAGACTGCTGCTCTGTCACCTGTCCTGGGTGTGGGGTGGCCTCTGCTAACTTCTTCCCTGGGGGAACTATAACTCTAAAATGTGTTCAAGTTTCCCAAGAGAAAGAGGGTGCTGGCTGCTCACCTCTGCTTCCTGACCTCACTGTTAACCCAACTTCTCAGAACCAAGATAAATCATCCCTTTTTTAGCTTCTACTTGCTTTCAATTGCCTAAGCACAACCAACATTGCATTTGACCTGCACACCAATCCCAGGGCCCAGTGACATGTCCAGGTGACCTGGGATTTCCCGAGTGGACTCCTCCCCTCTACCTGCCTCCTTCCCCAGGCGGCCCCTCCTCACCCTCAGGTTTAATGCTGCTACCTCCTTAGAAAGGCCCTCCTTGGCTGCCCTTTATGAATGATGTTTCTCAACCTTTGCTGTCACTCACTCACCCACATTACTTTCTGTGGCGTTAGCAATCACCCTGTTAATCTGTTTACTCGCATGCTGTCTGCTGAATCTTGCTAGGCTGCTATCCCATTCGGGTTGTGACCAGGGTCCTCCTGAAGCCTGGCCTCCAGGGGGCCACAAAGACCCAGCGTCTGTGGTTTTAGGCTCAGGGGCCACAGAAGACAAGGGTTTCAGAAGAATGAGACTTAGAGCTACTTGGGGTTCAGGAGGTGAAATTGAAAAGATTCTTCTACCTGACCCTGAAGCAGAAGAGGACATTTCTGAGTGTCTCCTCGTACCAGGCATGCGCCATATTCTCTATCATTACATTTTCACAACAACCCTGCGCTGCAGGGGCTAGCTAGCATGCACACCTGCTTAAAGACCACCTGTCCTGAGCCCAGAGGAGTGAGACAACCTGCCCAGGGTCACACAACCAGTCACCTGCAACCTGAACAGCAAAGCCAATGCGCTGTGTTAGCATTGCGCCACTTCTCGAAATGTGCTGAGATGTGAACAATGCTTTATCCCAGCTTGAAGACACTGGTCACCTTATCTCCACAGCCCCTGAAGCCCCAGAGGCATCTCCGCCATCTAAAAAGTCATTCCCTGATAATCGAGCCCATGGTCCTGCTACTGCTCATCAGGCAGCTTCACTGACTCCCACCAGGACAGCAGCCAAGCATTGTTCCTTCCTCAAACTACACACATTCTTTCCTAACCCTTCCCTCCCCTCCAAGGATATTTTCTATTTCAAAATCGTTAAAATTATGCTAGTGACAATTCCATCTTTTATTAAATATAATTTTTTTCAAACTAGGAATGGAAACAGTCCCTTATTCTCTGGTTATTTGTTCAAATTTTCACATCAAAGCTAAGCAGCTGAAACACATTTTACTCTAATACCCTGGCATTTATCCAACTTGGTCCCTTTTATTTATGTTCCTTCCCTGGTATCATGACCTGTTGATACTTCTGCAGAGACCAGCAAGAGGGGTCCCAGAGAGTCATCCCTCCACCCCAGCTCTTCTCCTTCCAGTTGACCCAACCCATGTGGCACTGACAAGCCTGAACAGTGGTTCTCAAAGTGAGGCCCCTGGCCCCCAGCATCAGCACTGCTGGAGATTTGTTAAAAATGCAAGTTCTCAGGCTCCACCTAGACCTGCTGAGTTGGAAGTGGGGGCACTGCCCAGCAAGCTGTGTTTGCACCAGCCCTCTGGGGTGGAGAACCACTCATCTAAAGGCTACCGAGGCCTGGGCCCCAGCCTCTGCTAATAGCTTCATCTTCTCTCTTTCTTCTTAAGCAGTCTCAGGAGCACATTTGTTCTCATTTCTCAGGAGACCCGCCTTTCACAGTTATCCCTTTGCTGCTCTCATACCTGCAAGCTCCTCCTCTCTAATCCTTTTTACTCCCAGCTTGTTTCAAACACACCCGGGGGCCTCTTGTTGTGAAGGCATCTGCCCTCCTGTCCCACAGAATCAGTTCCCGCCTCCCTTCTCCTGGTGTGTTGCTTTGGCAGTGTACTTACTCTTTCTGAGCATCACATTGCCCTTCTTAAAAATAAGAGTAATGGCACCTATTTAACAGGATGGTGATAAGGACTTACTGAGATAACATTCGTAGAGGGATGTGCTAGGAGGGTTAATTCCAGCAGGTCTGAAATTGGCCCGAGCTGCTTTGCTGAAGTACGAGACATTCTGCATCAAACTATGAAAGGCAGTGATTAATACTTTTTTTTTTTTTTTTTTTTGAGATGGAGTCTCGCTTTGCCACCCAGGCTGGAGTGCAGTGGTGCGATCTCAGCTCACTGCAAGCTCCACCTCCTGAGTTCATGCCATTCTCCTGCCTCAGCCTCCCGAGTAGCTGGGACTACAGGCGCCCGCCACCACGCCCGGCTAATTTTTTGTACTTTTAGTAGAGATGGGGTTTCACCGTGTTAGCCAGGATGGTCTCAATCTCCTGACCTCGTGATCCGCCCGCCTCGGCCTCCCAAAGTGCTGGGATTACTGGCGTGAGCCATCGCACCCGGCCAATACTGTTGTTTTTACCCGTGGGTCCGAGGTGAGTTTCAGGGTAGGTTCTGCCTGTTTGTCCTCATTGTTTATGGATGACTGTGAGACTGATGTTTTGCACGTGTTTGGGGAGGGGGCTCTGATGTTAGAGCTGCTCATGTAGCAATAATGTGCTTATGTGACCAGAAGGCTGCAAAAAGCCCCACTGTGACTCCACTGGGCTGCGTGGATCTGAGGTGTTCCTTCCTTGCATGGGTACGTGGTTCCGAGAGAAAAAACACATCTGGCTCAGGCCTGCAGAGGGAAGACCACTGGAGGCAGCCCGTATCGGCCTCAGTGTGTCCACACTGCTTGCTCTGAGGCAGCCTTTGGATGCAAGGCAGGTCCTTGCCTTCATGCTTGTTGCTCTATCACATCCCTTCTTGTCAATAAACCACAGACTTGTGAGCACTGTCCTTCTGGGCCCTGTGAGTCTTCTTTAGCAATCGAATCTGTCTGACTGCGCTGTTAGTGGAAGTGACGTTACAGTTATGTTTCCCTCTGCATTGTTAACAAAGAAAATTCCCCGTTGAACCGCTCACAATAATTGCTGTCCACTTCTTTCTTCATCACTTACTGCGTTCTCTGCACTCTCCTATCCCCTGCCTACATCTGGATTCCATCCCTACCACCTGACTGAAACCACAGCCACAGAAGTCACCCCCTGCTAATGACGGAATCACTGACCTTCTAGCTCTTAGTTAACACAGTGGTCATGCTGCCATTGTGAACTCTTCCTTATACATGGCACCATCATCCTTCATCTCCCCACGACTTCAGTTTGTCTCACTGATTCCTTTTCCAACAAACTATGGGTATTCTCCCAACTTTGTGCTTGGCTTGGCTCTTTCTGTTGGATAACTGATTTATACTCACTAAATATTCATAACACCTGTGTTCGGGTGACTCCCAAGTGGCCCTCTCTAGTCTTGTTCTCTTTTCCACCCTTTGCCCTGCTCTCTGATGGGATGTGCACTTACACGTCTCACAGGTACCTCAGATTTCTTAGAACCAAACCTGCCTTCCTTGCAAAACTTACCTGTTCTTCAAGTCAGTCAAGACTGAAAAATTGAATTCTCCCTTGACTTCGCCCTCTCCATCTCAATGAGTTCTGAACTTCAGATCTCTTTCTCTGTGAATCAGTCTTTCTCTTTTCCTCTATCTCTTTCTCTGTATCTCTCACTCCTCACCTCTTCTCCCCAATTCAGGCAATCATAAAATCATGATATTCATAGAGAATGGCCTTTTTCTGCTTTCCTTGTCCCTTGTATAGATGCCACTATCACAGGCCACCTGATATCATTCAGTGGTGTAAGAATATGTCTTGAGGATTTTCCTCTGAGCCCCCAAACCTTTCTAACTCAAAGGTGTGATGAGAAAAAGATACCTGCATCATAGTCTCAAAGTATCTCCTGCAAGATATTTACTAATGACAAATGGAAAAATGGTAACTTTGCACTAGAGAAACCTGACAGATAGCACCTTAGTCAAGGGACCAAGGTCAACATGCCAGTATAAGACATATCAATAGCATGTGCACCAGCACAGAAACAAGCAGAGCACATCAGCCGTCTCCTTCCCTGTAGTGCACAGCCTCACCCTGATCTAGTTGTGAGAAAATATTAGACAAACCCAAATGGAAGGTCATTCTACCAAATAACTGACCAGTTCTCTTCAAAAGTATAAGGGTAATGACAAGGAAAGACTTAGGAACTGTCGCAGATTAAAAGCGACTAATGAGACATAATAACCAAATGCAGGGTAGGACCTAGATTGGATTCTAGAACAGAAAGAGGACATTAGTGAGAAAAGTAGTGAAATTTTTGTAATGATGTTGGTAGAATAGTTAACACGGTTGTGTCAATGTTAATTCTCTGGTTTTGATAATAGTACTGTGGTTTCGTAAAGTGTTAACATTTGGAAAAACTCGGTGAAAGGTAAATGGGAACTCTAAACTTTTTACAATTTTTTCCTAACTTAAAAAATTATTATTTAAAGTTATTATAATTTAAAAAAATATTTAAAATAAAAAGCTTAAAAAGATGACACAAATGATCAATATCTGGAATGAAAAAGGAATATTGGCCCTGGAGGCATCAAAAGGATAATAAGGTAATATTATGAACAATTCTACATATATAAATTTAGCAACTTAGATGAAATGGACCAATTCCTTGAGAAGCCCAAACTACCTTAATTAATCTAATATGAAACCGGTCATTTGGATAGTCCTACAACTATGGAAAATTAAATTCAGAATTTAAAAGCCTCCTCCAAAGAAATGTCCAGGCCTAGATGGTTTCACTGGAGAATTCTACCAAACATTTAAATATGAATTAACACCTATTCTACTGTCTCTTCCAGAAAACAGAAGAAATGAAAACACTTTCCGACACTTCTATGAAGCCACAATTACTCTCATACCAAAACCAGACAAACCCAGTGTAAACAAATAAAACTATAGACCAATATCCCTCATGAATATAGATGCAAAAATCTTTAACAAAATATTACTGATGGGATTCATCAATATTGAAAAGTAATTATATACCATTATTAAGTGGGGTTCATTTCAGAAATGTAAGTCTGGTTTGATCTTCAAAAATCAGTCAATGTAATCCACCATATTAACAGACTAAAAAGAAAAATCACATGATCACATCAGTTGATGAAGGAAAAAAATTCATAAAATTCAACATCCCCTTCATGAAATAAGAATAGAATACTTTCAACTTAACAAAGAGCATTCACAAAAAACCTACAGCTAACATCATATTTAATGGTGAAAGAATGGTTTTCCCCTAAGATTGGGAACAAGCAAGGATGTCTGCTCTCATCACTCTTATTCAGCATAGTGCTGGATATTCTTGCCAGTGCAATCAGGTAAGAGAAGGAAATGAATGGCATGTATATTAGAAGAAAAGGAGTAAAACTTATTTGCAGATGACAAGATGTCTAATGCAGAAAACCTCAAGGACTCTGAAAACTTTTAGAACTAAGAAGTGACTACGGCAAGGTCACATGACACAAGGTCAACATAAAAATCAGTTGTATCTCTCTGTAATATCAGTGAACGTGTGGACACTAACATTAAAAATGTAATTCTATTTATAATCATTCAATAAAAATAGTTATAAATCTAACAAAATATGCATAGGACTTGTATGCTGAACACCATAAAACATTAAAGATATAAAAATCTACTAATTAAATAAATGTAGAAACATACTGTGTCCACAGATTGAAAAACTCAATACGCTAATGATGCCAATACTTCCCAAATTGATGTATAAATTGACAGACAATTCCTGTCAAAATTCAGCAAGATTTTTAATAGATATGGACAAAGTTATTGTAATATTTATATGGAGAGGTAGAAGAATTAGAATAGTTAAAATAATTTTGAAAAAGAAGGATAAAGTGGGAAGAATCAATCTAGCCAATTTTAAGGTTTACCATATGACTACAGTAATGAAGACGGCAGTACTGGTGAAGGAATAGAAATATAGATTGAAGGAACAGAATAGAGAACCCGGAACTGATTTTTGACAGAGGTGAAAAAGCAACTTGACAGAGGAAAGATGGTCTTGGCAACAAATGGTGCTGGAACAAGGGACAGGCATAGGCACAAAAAACAAGAAAGAAAGAAAGAAAGAAAGAGACTTGACCTAAGTCTCATACCTTGTATACAGTAAAAATTAACTTAAAATGGATCACAAACTTGAATGTAAAATATAAGACTACAAAACTTTTTGAAAATAAACATACGAGAAAATCTTAGGGATTTAGGGTTAGGAAAGAAGTCGTTACTAGGCTTCATACCAAAAGCATGATCCATAAAAGTAAAAATTGATAAACTTGAACTTTTTGTTCTGTGAAAGAGAGTAAAAAGACCAGCTACTGATTGGGAGAAAATATTTGCAAACCATGTATCTGACAAAGGACTACTATCTAGAATATATAAAGAATTCTCAAAACTCAACAGTTAAATCCATTAGAAAATTGGCAAAAAAACCACAAAGAGACATTTCACTGAAGAGAAGGTATATATGACAAATAAGCACATAAAAATGTTCAACAACCTTAGCCATCAAGGAAATGCAAATTAAAACACAATGAGTTATCATTACACATCTATCAGAACAGCAAAAATAAAAAACAGTGACAACACCAATAGTTGACAAGGACGCAGAGAAACGGATCACTCACATGCTGTTTGTGGGAACGAAAATGACACAGCCACTCTGGAAAGCAGTTTCTCCTAAAACTAAACATAAAACTACCATGCAACCCAGCAACTGGATTCCTGAGCACTTATCCTAGAGAAATGGAGTCTTCACATTCACCCAAACACCTTTATAAGGATGTTCATAGCAGCTTTCTTCATAATAGCCTGGAACCAGAAATGATCCAGAACCCTCAAGGAGTGAATGACTAAACAAACTGTGGAATGCCCATACCATGAAATACTACTCAGTAAGGAAAAGGAATGAACTCTTGATAACCACAACAACTTGGATGAATATCCAGGGAATTATTCCAAGTAAAAAAAAAATCCCCAAATTACATATTATATGATTCCATTGATATAACATTATTACAATACAAAATTGTAGAAATGGAGACAGATTAATGGTTGCCAGAGGTTAAGAATGAGGTTGGGTAAGTGACTGTGGATATAAAGAGCAGCACTGGGGAACCTTGTGGGATGGAAATGTTCTACATATTGACTACATCAACATTAATGTCCTGGTTGTGATATTGGACCATAGTTTTGCACAATGCTACCATTGGGAGAAAACAGGTAAAGGGGACACTGGAACTCTATTATTTCTTACAACTGCAGATCAATATACAATCATCTCAAAATAAAATGTTTAATTAAAAACATACTTTGCCCACTCCTGGAGACCCTTTACAGCTCTTCCTTAAATACTGATTTTTCCTTAAGTACTGCCTGTATCAGGGCACTACTGTCACTGAACATTTTGAGGCACTTTTTTTTTTTATCTTACCAAGTCTCTGCCTAGCTTTATTGGGCTTTCACATCTTGACCTGTGCCGACCTATTTCTCAAATATACCTATTTGAGTTACATAAGTTCTGAATTTTTGTTACAGTCACTCATGGCAGTTTAATCTGGACAAATCATGGACTCTGCCAATTTCTGTTTCCTCATCCACTTCCTTGCTGTTCACAGAGCTACTTTAATTAAAGATATCTCTTTAATTAAAGGTACTGTGAAAATTCAGACATATAATGTCCCCAGTGTTCCCCCTCAAAAACATTGTCCAGAAAGAAAATGAAGTCAGACACTATGCTGACTTCTAGCCAAGGCCATTGCAAGCTGACGGTTCACAAGATGCACTCTTTTCTTCTGGAGATCTGTCCGGGAATATTCTGTAACATTGACATGACTGCCATAATTTGCAGAAGCAAAGTTCTATTCTTCCTCTTAAAACTCCTAAACAGTGTTTATTTTATGAAAATTCTCAGGGTGTGATCAAAGAAAACCCCCCTGGATACGCCGTGGATTTCATACAGTACTTTTGCCCAGCTGTGTTGGCATCTGCTGGTGCTCATCAGAAATTAACGTTCTCAGGCCCCACTCAGACCTACTGAACCAGAACCCACATTTCAACTGTATCGCCAGAGATGCTTACACACAGCAAAATTTGAGAAGTGCTGCTCTATAATGGATATAATGTAATCCCTGGCTCACAGGGTTGATGTGAGAATTAGCAGAATACCCGGTACTTACTCTTTCCTTTTCCATCACAGTCAGCCTAGTGTCAGGAAATTACTTCCCTCTAGCCCTTCCTTGCACTGGCCAAGAAATGAAGACAACCTTTCAGACACGATCGGCCCACAGGATGGAGAAGCTCAAGGCCCTGATGAGTTGGGACCCATTTATCCTGTTCTAGTTTCCTGCAGCTGCAGAAACTCACATGAAGTTGCTGGTTAAGTGACAGCTTTTGCTTCCCACTTGAACAGCTGTTTTTTATTTGCTTCTTTGCTTTTATCTTGTAGTCTATACTCACTGTCCCATTTCCGTCAGTACTGACTTTCATCTTGTTAGATTCAGTGCACCACAACTCCTGCCTAGGACAAGCCATCTGGACTCCTTTTGGCTCTAGTTGCCCGGCCTAACCTCCAGGCAGAATCACACACTCACAGCTCTGCGTACTCACAGGACCGGATCCACACCCCAGGGACCTCACTATCTTAAGGAGCATCCCATCTCATTCACCTGCTATCTCCTCACTGGGAAGTTCCTGGAGATCAAGAACTGACACATGCATATTTGCAACCCTACGACTTAGTGCTGAATAAAACTTAACCAAATAAATGACAATTTGATCTGTGGGCCACGAATGTTCTCACTGTGCAAGAGTAGGTGTCAGGGCACCTCAGCCTGCCCATCAGCTGCCTGTTTTTTATAAATTAAGTTTTACTGGAACACAAGCACAACTGTTCATTTATGTAATGTCTATTGGCTGAGTTGGCTGGTTGTAAACAGAGACCATAGAGCCTGCAAAACTTGCAATATTTACTGTTGATCCTTCATGAAAAACTTTGCTAACCCTTATTCTACAGCATTTAGAAAATGGCTAGATGGGAAGGAAGACACAGCCTCACAGCAGTCTGCCAGAGACCCCTTTCTAGGCTTAACTAAAGGACTGACAGACAAATGTGTTCTCTGTATATAGTCATTGACAATGGTGACTCCTATCTCATTAAAATGACATTCAGGCTACACTTTTCCCATCTTTACCATAGGACTGTCATGAGGAATTTACAAGAGCAGAGTGTTATAGCTTGAAGGGACTTTTGAAGTCACTTAGATCCCAAACTTTCATTTTACAAATGGAAAATCTGGTCTTGAAAGTGAAGTGACTTCTCTAAAGAGAATAACAGGTAAGTGAGGGTTTAGAGATTTGAACTCAACTCTTCTAATTCCAAATAAACTTTTTTTCACAATTACACTATGCTACCTCTTTAATCAAACGTACTCCAAAAATTCAGATGTATAATGTCCCCGGTGTTCCCCCTCAAAAACATTACCCAGAAAGAAAATGAAGTCAGACCCTATGCTGACTTCTAGCCAAGGCCACTGCAAGCTGACGGTTCACAAGATGCACTCTTTTCTTCTGGAAATCTGTCCCGGAATATTCGGTAACATTGACATGACTGCCATAATTTGCAGAAGCAAAGTTCTTTTCCTCCTCTTAAAACTCCCAAACAGTGTTTAGTTTACGAAAATTCTCAGGGTGTGATCAAAGAAAAGCCCCCTGGATGCGCCGTGGATTTCACACAGTACTTCTGCCACACATCTGCAATCAGCGCCTGGTCCCTGAGGTATCTCTGTTGCCTCTATCTTCTATTTGTCCGTATACATGGGATGAGGAAAGGGTCCAATAATTTTCTTCCCAATTTATATGAAATGATGCTAATAACTTATTAAACATTGTTTCTCCTTGGATTCTATGTATGAGCACCAGGTCTAGTTTACCATGTAGTGCACACTTGTCTTATCCTGAGAGTTGCTACCACGGTATGCCATGTGTCTTGCATGTCAAGATTCTATTCAGATCTATTCAAGATATTATGGAATGTGTTTTCTACTTTTGAAATATAATTTCAAAGAACTGTGGCTTGTGTTTAAAAATGGTAAGTTCTAATTAAATGACAGCACATGTATAAACTGGAACATAGATACTGAAATTACATTTTTGAAGTTTTATATTTCTTGGGGAAACACTTAGGAAGTGAAAAAAATCAAGAGAAAACCATATATATTAAAAAACCTCAAGAATGTAAAACTGCATATGTAAAAGACTAAAGGAAAAGATGCTAAACTGTTTTCATATAGCCATATCTGCCACTCTATTTCTTTATCATTCTGGGTTTCCTGCATTATTTAAGAAGACCTCTCTCAATTGAGATTATATGGATCACATTCTACTCTTTTTCCTACTATTTACATAATTGGATTTTTTTGCTCTACATTTAGGTTCAAAACCCATCTGGAATTTATTCATGTGCGTGCCTCAGTGTTGGCATCCAATTTTATTCCCTTCCAACATCATTGATTACAACAAGATACTTATTAAATATGCCATCTTTTCCAAGTGAGTTAAAATATATCTATACTTTGATCTGTTTGCAAAATCTCTTCTTTCAGTGATTTTAATTTTTTTCATTTTTGGCACCAATACTATATTTTTTGATGAGTGTAGCTATGTGACACCTTTATAGATGACACAAGACCCCTCTTACTATTCTTCTTGAAGAATTTCTTGCTGACATTGCTGGACAGCTTGGGCTCAGTTAAAACAAAAACCTAGAGTACTGACCAAAATTGCATTACAAATACATGTTAATTTCAAAATAACTGATGGCTTCAAATTCAGCTTCCCCATCCAGGAGTACAGTATAATTCTTCATTTATCTAGATTTTTAAGTCCTTTAATAAAAAGTCATACTTGTCATACTTCTTGCTTTTGGTATGAATTCCTATGGTAAAACATAAATATAATATATACAAAGTAAAAAAGAGATTGGGAGAAACTCCCAACCCATCTGACCAAAAGTTAGAGTTCCTAATATATAAAGAGCCTGCACCATAGAGAATTAAAAGGGAGAACAGCCTTAGGAGACAATGGGCAGGAGCCACTTCTGTAAAAGAGAGGCTGGGGACAGCTGACAGCCTGTGAAAGCACACACCACCTGCCCCGCACAAGCAGTCAAGCAAATGTGAGATGACACAAGACACTTTTGCTTTTTAATCCAATGAGACTGTAAAACTTAAAAAGAGTTTCTAACATCCGGTGGTGGTAAAGATGTGGGGAAACAGCACTTCATACATTAATGGTGAGAGCATGAATCGAAAAAAGATGAATCAGCAGATTTAAAAAGTTAAATTGCACATGCCCTTTGCATCACAGTGTTAGGATTTTATTCCACAGAAATTAAGAGTTTTAATAAAGAAGAAGACATGTGTAAGAGGCTTTCCCCTCCTCAGCATTATTTGGGATGGCAAAAGCGTGACCACCATCCATAGGGGAGAGGCGGGAGGAATTTGGACGCAGCCGCACTATATTGTAATGAGCATACACTTTCGCACTGTCATATCTTTCTTCCTTAAGTCATGTTTCCTTTGCAGCCCTCCTCTTTAAGACTGATTTATATTCAGAATCAAAGAGGCCACTGATCAGCCCTGAGCCTTAGTGCTGACTTTTCTTAACCTCCTTAGCAAGAATATCCTCTAGAAATCCAGGTTTATTGGAGGAAAAGGAAGCAATTAACCAATTTTCTAAATTCCAATAGCTCCATTAGCATTTCAAGGGTCTTTTGAGGGAGACCCAGACAGAGAATTTTACTATCTGTCACGGACAAGGGGACTTCAAGACTCGATGACTAAGAAATGGAAAGCCCCACTTCAAGGGACTCTGACGGGGAGGAAGCTGGGGAAGGAGGCAGTGAGAGATACAGGTGGCCTGGGCTGTTTCTGGGCCCAAGGCCCCAGTGGAGGGGAATGTCAGAGAAGATGCGAAAGTGACAGCAGTCGAGGAGTAGATTACACTCTGCTCCTCTTTGGGATTGTGGGAGGAGACTAGACAGAATCCGAGCGGAATGCCACAGCATACACGGTAATGCAAAAGACTTGCAGGACAGAGAGGGAGAGAGAACACAGGCCACTCCCAGGTCGTGCCCAGGAAGAGCTGTGTGCGCTCCTGCAGAGGGCTGAACAGGCCAGACCTCCTAGCTATGCCTGCTAGAGCAAGGATGCTATGGCCTAGGACCACAGGATGAATCCCCAAGACTCAGGGCTGGAAAAGCAGGACTGGCAGACTCAGAAGCAGAGAGCTGAGGGACCCAGGGGCATGAACACTCACAGGAAAGGGCAGGAGCTCCATGAGATACAGACGTCCACAAAGGTGCCAGCGGGGCACCACAGGTGTGGACAAACCCAGCAGCATTCTCTGGACACCAGCCTGCACACACGTGGGGCACCTGGGAACCTGCATAGGGACAGCTATGAGATCCCCGGATACACTTGTGGCTCCAGTGTCCTTACTAAAGTGCCCCCTCACTCCCAAGAGTTTTACATTTGCACAACAGATGATGTGGCCAGGGAACCAGGAGGAGATGGGGTCCTGAAGAACCGGGCATTCACCAAAGAGGATTTACAGCCGCAGAGCATGGGATGACACTGATGGAAAGGCTGAGGGCGGGAAGAGACAGAACACAGAGCACAGGAGGACACATCAGTTAGAGGAAAATAAAGCTCCATTTGCTTTGCATATCTGTGTGTGGTGGTTCTATATGCAGGCCTGCTGCCCATGAAAGAGGACTGTGCAGCTGCCTTAAAAAATGTTTTTGTATGTGTGTATATGCAAATATATGTGTATATATATATATACACACACATATATTATACACACACATAAGTGTGTGTGTATCTGGGAATGCTTCCATAGTTTATTGTTAACTAAAGAAAACAAGTTGCAGAGGAATATATGGTCTAAGTCCTTTTGTTAAGACAAAACAAACAAAACAAAATAAAACCCTATAAATAGTCATGTTTGTGTAAGTACAGAAAAAGTTATGGAAGTATAAACTGCATCCTGGGAGATAGAACAGAAGTGGGAAAAGAATACGACAAATACAGAGTCACTGGTCACCACGAGTGTGCACTGATTTTGTAATAGAAATAAGGAATAAAAATGTTATCAGTCACAGCCATGAGTGGTAGGATTCTAATTGTCACTTTTGTCTTTGTTTCTTATGTGTTTTCTGCACTTTCCCTAATAGACATCTGTCTTTTTTGTAATCAGAAAAACGTAGATATTAAACAAACACAAAGGCACTGAAGCCTTCAACTCCATTTGCTATTTATCACAGAAAGGGCTTTTTCTAGTCAGGCCACAATCAATTCAGTTGAATGAACATGAACTGAAACGCACACCTGCACGTGCTCCTGGGGTGAGTGTTCTGAAGGACAGGCACCCACCACTGGGCCACCAGGACATGAATTTCACCCAGCCGCACGGCCATGGGAATACCTGCCAGAAAAGTTCTCAGACATCCAGAATGGCCTCCAGCCCTGCATAGAGGTGCAGAGGGGGACAGCAAGATCTCAGGGCAGGGGGCACCAGAGGGAGACCTGGGAGGACAAGGCCAACAGCTGGGCAGTAAGAAATAAGAAGAATGTGTGTTCTTCTGCTGCCGGGTGGAATGATCTGTGAATGTCTGTTAGGTCCACTTGGCCTACACTGCTGTTCACACCCACGCTTCCTTTTTGATTTTCTGTCTGGAAGAGCTATCCATTATTGAAAGTGGAATACTGAAATCCACTATTATTGTATTGCTGTTTCTCCCTTTGCTGTCCATAGAAGCAGTCCCAGTCAATTTCTACAGCTTTACCTCCTGCAATAGCCAAGCATCTGGGGCCCCCAGGCCACAAACTTGGGGTAGGGGAGTCTTTCTTTCTAACTGCCCAGCTACCTTGTCCTCCCAAGTATTCCCATGGCCGTGCGGCTGGGTGAAATTCAAGTCCCGGTGGCCCAGTGGTGGGTGCCTGTCCTTCAGAACACTCACCTGAGGAGCACGTGCAGGTGTGTATTTCGGTTCATGTTCATTCAGCTGAATTGATTGTGGCCTGACTAGGAAAAAAAAAACAAAACCCTTTCTATGGTGAATAGCAAATAGAGTTGAAGTCTTCAACACCTTTGTGCTCATTTAATATGTATGTTTTTCTGGTTACAAAACTGACAGATGTCTATTAGGGAAAGTTCAGAAAACACATAAGAAACAAAGATGAAAATAACAATGATCTAGAATCCTATCACTTAAAGGCTGTAACCGATAACATTTTTATTCCTTATTTCTATTACAAAATCAGGGCACACTCATGGTGATCAATGAATCTGTATTTGTCATATTCTTTTCCCAGTTCTGTTCTGTCTCCCAGGATGCAGTTTACACTTCCATAACTGGAAGCCCACATAAAACATGTTTTCCTTCCTTTCTTTCTCCCTCTCTCTTGCCTTACCTTACTTTATATCACCACTCTCCAGAATTCTGCAAGCTTCACTTGCTATAAATCACCTTGAAGACACCTGACTCTCCAGGAGGATTAAATTCTAAATTATGCAATGATATCTGTAATACCTACAGAGTTTTTGGAAAATGGAAAAATACAAACCAGGAATGACAAAGGCATCACCTCCCTAACATCTCTTAGAGCAAGATACTTTGCAAAACTGCACTGCTTTTAAGTTAGAGAGTTGATTCCATGTTTTATACTGAGGTTCAAAGAACATATGAAAAGAATGCATATTTGAGATTATTGGAAATCAAGGAGAAGAAATGCCTTTGATGTTTGTGTCATCTCAGATTAAGATACATCAACTGCATTACTTAAAGTGGCTTTCCCTATGTATAAATGCTGAGTGGCTGGAAGGCCATGGCCACTTACCAGGACAATGGCCTGAAAGGTGATTTTTCCTGCTTCCTTGGCAGACGGCGGTTATTGTGTTTTTGTGTTTCTGTCTCACTTGAGCGTCTACATGGTGCAGCAATATGAAAGCTCAACTATGGCCCAGAGCACTTCTGGGCTAGTGGGAGGCTTCCCCTCACACAAGAGTGACCCTCCTGAGTGATCAGCTACCTCTGCTTAGGGCGGTGCAGAGGGTCAGTAGTTAACTGCTCAAAGGGAAACTGAAAGAGCAGGACTTTGGGGATGTAATCAAAATGCAACTTATTTACTTATTGTTTTAAATCTCTTTCTGGCCCCTTTAAAATGCATTTAGTTGAGAGAATTCCAAAGGGTCCTTCCTGGGGAAGGTGCTGTGCCTGGCATCTGTCTTCTGCTAACTGCTCTGGGGTAGTGGTGTGGAGGTGGGGGAAGGAGCATTTTGGACTGAAGGGACTGCTTCGTGTCCTGTCTCGGGCTTGGGGTCCGGCCACCGGAGGAGGCTCAGCTGCTCTCCTGGGAGCCTCTTTGGAGATTTCCACGGTGGGGTCACTCACGTGCAGCATTCCTACCGCAGGCAGCTGCACGCCTCCTCTTAACAGTCACTTTCTGCAGTGTCAGCGTACTAGGCATCTGAAGTCCTCCTCTAGCTTCTTGCTACTCGGGTCCCTCTCTCCTTCCACGCTGCCCCAGTGACAGGGCCCAACACCACCCCTGCCAGCTCCCACAGGCACGGCCCATCCGGGGGCCATAATGGTCCTCACGCACTCTGACAACCGTAAGGAATGCATCCTGGTCCCTTTCCTCACTCATGAGATGCCCAGATCCAAGCATTGGCACCTTTATCTTCAACACTCTCTTGATCCTCAGCCTAAAGGCTCCAGGTGAGGGGTAGGTCACCTTCCCCAAGCCCCAGAAACAGAAGGACATTGAGTTGACAGTGGCATTCTAACAGCTTTTTCAAAAATTTCTCTTCACAGAATCCTTTCTCCTCCCTACATCTGATTCCTTCTTTATATTCTTGATCAGTTCAAGGTGTTCAAAAATGAGGGAAATGATCCTAGCTCATTCCTTCCTAACTGGGGCTTCTGGCCTGGCATCTCATTTTAGATGTGTCATCTGTTACACTTCCATATTGCTGTCAAACTTCAATTCTGACATTCTGTTGCATGTGGCTTTATAGAGGTCATATTTGACAAAAAAAAACATTGTGGAGTATTTGAGAGAGTATTTATGTCCATAGTAAATGTGCTGAGTCCATGGGAGAGCCATATGAGAAAATCTGTCTTCTTACTTCACAGTATACATGAAAATCAACTCCAAGTTGATGGTGTTTCTGAATGTAGAGGGTAAAACAATAAATCCTCTAGAAAGCAACATGGAGGAGCATCTGCATGAACTTGGGATGGGCAAAGAGTTCTGAAACAAGATGCCAAAACTACTATTAAAATGGTAAAGTACGCTGGGCATGGTGGCTCACACCTGTGATCCCAGCACTTTGGGAGGCTGGGGCGAGCAGATCACTTAAGGTGGGGAGTTTGAGACAAGCTTGGGCAACATGGTGAAACCTTGTCTCATCTAAAAATACAAAAATTAGCCAAGTGTGGTGGTGCATGCCTGCAGTCCCAGCTACTCGGGAGGCTGAGGCAGAAGAATCGCTTAAACCCAGGAGGCAGAGGTTGCAATAAGCTGAGATCGTGCCACTACACTCCAGCCAGGACAACAGGGAGAGACTCTGTCTCAATAACGACAACAACAAAAAACCCTAACAGATAAAGTAGATACATTAAGAACTTCTCTGCACTAGCAAACAACCTAGAGAAGGTGAAAAGCAACCTACACAGAGAGAAAACATCATTGCAATCCATAGACTCAGTAAAGGACTGGTACCCTGAATAAACACTTCAGAAGTTAATAAGAAATAAACAGTCAATTCAATAGCAGAATGGAAATATATTTGTACATACACTTCACAAGATGACATCTGAATGGCCAAAAATCAATGAAAAGTTGCTCAACCTTATTAGTCATCAGTGAAATTAAATTAAAATGAAAATTAGATACCCACCAGAATGTCTAAATTACAAAAATTGAAAATACCGAGTGTTGGCAAAGATGTGACGCAACCAGGGCCCTCCCACGGAGCTGGTGTGAGTGTAATTAGTAAGGCAACTTGGAAAAACCGCTTGGCAGAATCTACCACAGCTCATCCTACACAACCCCTGTAAGCCAGTACTTTCAGCACTCGGTACCTACACAACCAAAATGTGTACACCTGTGCACCAAAAAATACGGGAAATATCGCCATAGGACTAAGAACTAGAAGCAGCCCAAATGATAACCAATGGATCCACTGGACAATTGGAATATATGGATAAACTACAGTATACTCACACATGGACAAATAGTACATGAATAGCATAGTATGAATGAATGAACTGGTGGTACACACAGCAAACATTATTTCATTCCATTCATCACACTGAGTTTAAAAATAGGCAAAACTGCAGGTGAGAGGTCAGGAGAATGGAAAGACTGAATAAAGGAGAAAGAATAGGGAGAAGGCTCAAGGGGGCAGATGCCTGCATCTCATGTTCTAGTTTTTGAGCTGGGCAGTGATTATTTAATAAAAAGGCATATTTACATTTTTTTTATAATTCATGAAGTTGTACATTTGATGTGCATTTTTCTGTATGTACATTATTCTTCAATAAAAACAATGAGCCGCAAAAATCTATGGGCCATAAAACAGCCCTTATGCAAAGCTAATAAGCTTGTGAAGGACTTTTCCAACTTCTGTCAGCACACATTTTTGAAAAACAGCATTAGTGGCATTCAGCTGGACATTTGCTGGTGTGCTATTGATCAGTTCATTTAGTTTAAGTATTTTTACTAACATGAGCAAACCACAGTCTGCCGCTTTCTCCAATTTCTTCTCAACACAGCCACAAGAATCTTTAAAAGATGTAAATTGGCCAGGCGTGGTGGCTCACGCCTATAATCCCAGCACTTTGGGAGGCCGAGGCAGGCGGATCACCTGAGTTCAGGAGTTTCAGACCAGGCTGGCCAACATGGTGAAACCCCGTCTCTACTAAAAATACAAAAATTAGCCGGGTGTGGTGGTGGGCACCTGTAGTGCCCGCTACCTAGGGTGCTGAGGTAGGAGAATTGCTTGAACCTGGGAGGCTGAGGTTGAAGTGAGCTGAGCGCACCACTGCACTCCAGACTGGGCAACAGTGAGACTCTGTCTCAAAAAAACAAAACAAAACAAAAGATGTAAATTATGTCACATCCTACCTTGCTTGAAACCCAATAGCTTCCCACTGCACTGGAGTGAGACCAAACTTCTTTCCAAGCCTTCAACTGTCCTGCCTCACTTCGCTGTTCCACCTCTGCAGCTTCAGATGGCGCCTGGCTGTCCAGAACCAGCACTGCAGGCTGAGCCTTCTGTGTGCCCCACACACAGCCTGCTGCTTCCTTGGCCTCTGTGCCCTGGCACTGACTTCACCTGGAAGAGCTTCCACAGTGCTTCCCTTCCCCCTCCTTTTAGTTCAAGTGTCTGCTTCAATTTCACCACTGCTAAGAAGCCTTCTCTGACTTCCTTGCTGAACTACATTCCCCATTATTTTACTGCAGTACCAATCACTTCTTTTGTAGCACTACCATTGTCTGTAATAACACTACATACATCATCTGTCCATTCATTGATCCATCCATCCAGTCATATATGCCATTCTGTTCCCTGGAGAATTTAAGTTCTGGGAACTTGCTTGTTTTGTCTTTTCTATCCTTGGGACCTTAGTACACAGTTCAGGGGATGCTGCAGCCACTCAGTGAAAACAAGTTGAAGAAATAAATGAAAATTATAAAGTCAACTGGCCATTCAACACATTCCTCTGCTTTATCTCTGAGCATTTCATCCTTTTCCTAACTCCAAAGTGACCCTTTCTTGAAGGGTACACTGCTATTTCCATTCAAGAAAATTCTATCGAGTCCTTCCTACAGGTGCTAGGCTGCACACTGTTCTGAGGGTACAATAAGAACGGGTGCTGCCCACAGTGCAGTGGTGCAGTGAGACGCAAATAGAGAGAGCTGTGGCTCATGCTGGTTTGTAAGGAAGTTAGATAGTTACAAAAACTATAAAAACGAATATATACATATTAAAATGTTTATAATTTATAATATAAATATGAAAACGATTTTTTGGCAGAAACCCAAAGAAACAGATAATAGCATGAGAAATATGTGTTTTTTATATATATAAAATAATTTACAATTATATTATTTAAACATATTTTATATATAATAGTATATAAAATATATATAACATAATACACATGTATTATATATAAAATATACAAATATATTTTAATATATTTATATACAATACATTATATAATACATATTACATATTATGTATTATATGTAATATTAATATATTACATATGGATTAATTACATATTATATATTATTACATATGTTATTTCAATAATGGAATTTGTATTAACACCTTTGCTCTGTGTTCTAAAAGGAGATCATCTTGCTGAGACACATTAGCATTCAAAGATGGAGGAGCAAATGACGTGTGAGTGGGCACAGCCTCCACAGAGAGCAACAGGACAGCGGGGAGCATGAGCCTTCAGACCATGGGCACACATGGACCAGCGATGGCTCCCGTGAGAATGTGCAGTGGGGAGAGACAACACATGTTCTGATACCTTTGTTACTGCATCTCAAAGGCACGCTGGAGGCAAACTGATGAGAATCCAACAGTGGGGAATGCTGCATGGAACCTGGCCTATCAATTATAGTGAGATACTTTGCAGATTAAAAGTTATCAAAAGATGAAGACTTCCCAGGGCTAGGTACCTGGACTACACTATGCAGAATCTGTGCATATGGACAAAGGGAGGAGGCTGCATGGGGAAGTCCCTGGCTGAAGTTGCCCAGAGGACTTCACCGTGAAGATGAGCCACAAAGCCTGTGGCCTGTGAGGCCGTCACACATCCTGCTCGGTAATGTGGCATAAAAGGCCTTCTTTAACTCTGCCTACTTTATTTAAAATTTTATTTTGAAATAATTTCAGATATATAGAAAACTTGCAAAAATAGTATACAGAATTCCTACATAACCTCACAACTAGAGCCCCTCGAAGGTTAAAGTTTTACATTTATCATTCTCTCCACATACGAGTCTGTTCTACAGATACTATTCAGGTTTCATCCATTGTCCCAACAATGTCCTTTGTAACAAAATGGTTGTTTTCTGTCCAAGATCCCACATTGCATTTCGTTTTCATGTTTCTAATCTAGTTTTTGAAAATCTGAAACAGTTTCTCAGTCTATCACCTTATTTTCTTTTAAAAAATTTTTATTATACTCTAAGTTCTGGGATACATGTGCAGAAGGTGCAGGTTTGTTACATAGGTATACACGTGCCATGGTGGTTTGCTGCACCCATCAACCCGTCACCTACATTAGGTATTTCTCCTAATGTTATCCCTCCCCTCGGCCCCCAATTCCCAACAGGCCCCAGTGTGTGATGTTCCCCTCCCTGCGTCCATGTGTTCTCATTGTTCAACTCCCACTTATGAGTGAGAACATGCAATATTTGGTTTTCTGTTCCTGTGTTAGTTTGCTGAAAATGATGGTTTCCAGCTTCATCCATGTCCCTACAAAGGACATGAACTCATCCTTTTTCATGGCTGCATAGTATTCCATGGTGTATATGTGCCACATTTTCTTTATCCAATCTATCATTGATAGGCATTTGGGTTGGTCCCAAGTCTTTGCTATTGTGAACAGTGCTGCAATAAACATACATGTGCATGTGTCTTTATAGTAGAATGATTTATATACCTTTGGGTGTATACCCAGTAATGGGATTGCTGGGTCAAATGGTATTTCTAGTTCTAGATCCTTGAGGAATTGCCACACTGTCTTCCACAATGGTTGAACTAATTTACATTCCCACCAACAGTGTAAAAGCATTCCTATTTCTCCAAATCCTCTCCAGCATCTGTTGTTTCCTGACTTTTTAATGATCACCATTCTAACTGGTGTGAGATGGTATCCTTGCGCAGGGCTCAGTCTATCATTCTGCAACCCTGATACCCTACTTAGGGTAGAATGTCCCCAGTCTGGGTCTGCCCTGTGAGGCCTCATGATTAGACTCTGTTGTGTATTTCTGGCAGGAACACTGTGGAAGTGATGCTCTGTCCCCTGTGAACCATATCAGGGACAAATCATGTCTACTTGGTCCATGTTGATGATGCTTATGTTGATCTCTTGGCTAAGGTGATGTGCATCAGGTCCCACCCCTAAATAGTTACTATTTTTGTGTTTGTATCTTGCAGAGATATACTCTTTGTAAATATTCTGTTTCTCATTGAATTTCTCCCCCATTGGTTTTAGCATGCAATGAAATTTCTGTTTGCAACAATTAAAACTTGGTGGTCATCAAATGGTGACTTTCTATTTCCTTCCTTTCTCCTACATTTATTAGCTGACACTCCACTATAAGAAAGCACTTTCCCTTCTCCCCCACTTATTTCTCTATTCATCCATTTCTTTCTTTTAATACAAACATATGCATTTTTCTTAAGAATCATCACCTATTTAATAAATAATCACCTGTTACTATAATTAGTAGTTTGAGGCTCAAATTGTCCCAGTGCTCATCACACAAGCCCCATCACTCTTTGGCCACTTGTTTTTTCCTGAAGTGCTAGTTCTGCAAACACATCATGCTTCTCTGCAGCTCTTCTGATGGCACCACCCACTTATTGGCTGGATAATTCCCAGCACTTGTTAAACAGCCCCCTTAGAAGCTTTCCCCAACTTCTCATGTTCCCGTCCCAAATCTTGCTGCTACCACATGACTCCATTGTTATCACGGACTGTGCACTGTGCTTGTTTGTTTAGGCTTATAAGCAGTTGGTTTGTGATTCACATTTCTTTATTATCCTTCTAAGGCACCTCCCTGGTCCACATGAGGAACTCAATACATGTATGCTGAATAAGTGATTAGGAAAAAAAAAAAAAACTGTGTAAACCCTCTGACTTTATATAACCTGCTATTCTACAGGCTTCTATTAGATAGAGTCTCATCACTTTGTTGTTGGGATCTATATCTTTGGTCATTTTTTCCCATTGTTTTACATTACTGAGAAATGCATTATTGGTTCACATTCATGAAAGTTCTGGCATTATGTTTTATTTTTATTTTAGAGACAGAGTCTTATTCTGTTGCCCAGGCTGGAGTGCGGTAGTGCAATCACAATTCACTGCAGCCTTGAACTCCTGCACTCAAGCGATCCTCAGTCTCCCAAAGTGCTGGGATCACAGGCGTGCACCACCATTGCTCGCCCATGCATTATGTTTGAAATCCCTCCTTCATTGTTGGCTACAACATACTCCCTTATTTTCTCAAGAACTTGGACATGTAATGCACATCTGAAAGTAAACATGCCAAAACTCAGCTGCAGAGAGGCTGGTATTTCCTTGCAAATCAAACTCTCCTGTAATCTTCCACATCTCTGATCAGGGCAACCTCAAGCTTCCATTTGTTCAGACCAAAGATGCAGGAGTCAACTTTAACATTTTTGACACCTGCATCTGGCCGATCAGCAAGTCCTGTTGGGTTCTAAATATAATTTGAAGAGACAGCCCTCCTCTTGGCACTGTTCCTCTGCCACCATCCTTGCCCAGCACTGTCATTCCTCCCTTGCAATACTGCAGCTCTCTCCTTGCCAGCGTCCCTGCCCTGCCACGCTGACTTCTGGTTTTCAAACACCAGCCACGGTGATCTTGTTAAACTGAACTGGATTAAGTCCCTCTGCCCAGGCCTCTCCAATGACATCACATCTTACTCTGAAGAAAAGCCAAGTCCTACCACATCTTACAATGCTCTGAATGATGTGATATCCTGTTCCTCTCTGATATAAACTACTTCCTCTCCCTTTCTCCCCACCAGCACACTCCCTCTGGCTACTCCCTGAAAGTGTCCCCTCACCCCTCTGACCATACACACTCCAGCCTCAGGCCTCGACCATCCTCCCCGTCTGGGGATAGCCCATGTCCCCTTCCTCAAGTTTCCTGGTGCTTCAATATATGACACATATATACTATATTTTTTCCCTTTTAAGCTTAAACGCTAATATAATTTGTATTGACAAAATAATTAAGAAATTCAGCTGCTCTCTGTAAAGGCTTAATAAAAATGTAAATTGTAATATAATGGAGAATTAATTGAAACACTCCAAAGCAGAGAAAGAATCGTGGAAGAGTTTAAAATTGCTCACAAGACTAACAGGGAGCCCGGTGAATTGGCCATATTGTATAGAGTGTTTATGTAGCTTCCATCTGTGCCACATCCAATAGTTGTTATTTACAGTCATGTGCAGATAGATCATGATGTTCCAGTCAATGGTCTGCATATACAATGGTGGTCCTATCAGATTATAATGAAAAATTCTCATCACCTAGTGACATCATAGCTGTTGATAACATCATGGCACAGTAACTTCATTTTTTTTTTTTTTTTTGAGACGGAGTCTCGCTGTCGCCCAGGCTGGAGTGCAGTGGCGCGCTCTCAGCTCACTGCAGGCTCTGCCCCCCGGGGTTCACACCATTCTCCTGCCTCAGCCTCCCGAGTAGCTGGGACTACAGGCGCCCGCCACCTCGCCTGGCTAATTTTTTGTATTTTTAGTAGAGATGGGGTTTCACTGTGTTAGCCAGGATGCTCTCGATCTCCTGACCTCGTGATCTGCCCGCCTCGGCCTCCCAAAGTGCTGGGATTACAGGCGTGAGCCACCGCACCTGGACAGTAACTTAATTTTTAAAAATAAATTTAGTGCAGCCTAAGGGCACAGTGTTTCTAAAGTCTACAGCAGTGTAATGTCCTGGCCTTCACATTCACCACCCTGGCCTTCACATTCACCGCTCACTCACTGACTCACCCAGAGCAGCTCCCAGTCCTGCAAGCTCCATCCATGGTAAGTGCCCTAGACAGGTATACCATTTTTATCTTTTACGCTGTATTTTTACTATACCTTTTCTAAGTTTAGAAACACACATACTTACCATTGTGTTATAGTTGCCTGTAGTATTCAGTACAGCAACATTCTGTACAGGTTTGTAGCTTGGGAGCAACAGGCTATACCACATAGCCTAGGCATGTAGTAGGCTATGCCATCTAGGTTTGTACAAGCACACTCTACGATGTTCACACAATGACAAAATCACCTAAACGTATTTCTCAGATTGTATCCCTGTGGTCAAGCAACACATGACTGTACCTCTATGTAATCAGTGTGTATGCTGCATGCACACATCTATGTATCTATATGTCTGGATACGCAGTGTGTGTGTACATGAATGCTTGTTGCTTTTGAGGTCAGCAGGGTGCAATATTTCAGTACAAGGCAGCAGATGGTTTACAACTGGGGAGAAGGCATTAGAACAGTATCATGAGGTTTGTGTGAAGGCCATGCTGATGCTGCTTCAAATGTCCACACTGTAAACACACAGAGCCTTTGGGCCACCACTTGTCTCCTGTGCAGTCATAGTAGGTGGCTTAGGTGATTAATTTCCGCCAGAGATGCTGCCTTTCCTTCGTCAATGCAGGTTTTGTTTTCTCCTCCCTTACAGTGGTCTTCAGCCACAGTTAGCCTTTTCAAGCATTTTTAAGGAATGAGTTGAAAATCAAGTAAAAAAGACAAAGCCCTATCACTCATTTCCTCCTCCATCTTTTGAGAAAGACATTAAGAACTCTGTCTAATAGAAAACAATGTAATCATTTCTAAATCAACGTGATCAACAGTTGGTTTCCTTTTTCTGCCCATAAAATTAAAATTTTACCTTAAATAAATGAAGACCATTGAAAAACCATGAAAGTGTATCCCACAGAGAAGACCAGGGATGCCTGCTCCTCACAGCCTGGCTGTGTCACGGGACTGAAGGCAAATGCGCTGCACAGCAGCCTCCGCATCGGACCCAGGCTCCTAGGCCAGGGACTGCATCTTTTTCACTGAATTCCCGATGCCCAGTGCAGCATCTGGCTCGAAGCCGGTGCTCAATAAAACTCTGCTGCCTGCCTGCCTGAGGGAATGGATAAATAACTGAAGGAGAAGAGGCGGGGTCTGCTTGTGTGAACTTAGACTAAGGGAAGATCTGCCAGGACTGTGCCATGAAGTCACAGTGGCACACAGTCTGTGGCACAGCCTCATCAGCCCTTGCAGGTTCTGGTTATTGAGCCAGACATACCATAGGGAGTGAAGGGCCCCCGATCCCTCTGAGGTCAAGGGAATCTCTGGCAGGGACTGGGAGAGGGTGTAGGATGAGCTCTGATTGGTATGGACACAGTCAGTCCCTCCTCACCTCAGCCACGCAGGAATGGCCCTGAAGTTTCCAAGCCTGCCACAGCTCCCATCTAGAGAAAACCAAGCTGTCCAGGTCCACACAGGTATATATTCTATGGCCATTACACAAGACTTCTTGGTAGATATTCATGGATCTCTCAGAAAATGGGCAGCTTCTCACAGAACAGACATGGGTGCCCACTGACTCCAAACACTCTCACTGGCTGGAAATCGCAGGTTTGCAAACACACTCCTGAATGCACTGCCAGTTTCAATGCATAGCCACGTGGCATGGAGTGACAGTTTGCATGGAATGGTGGCCCTGTCAGGGAGACAAGGTTCATCACAGAAAGAGGCCTGGGGATGCTGGTTTGAAGATGGATGGAATGCAGGCAGGACCACTGCGGCCCAGGGAGTGACCAGAGTCAGCAGAGTTGCCACCACCCGGGGCCCGGGAGGAACTGCTAATGAGCCAGGCTGGGCTGCAGGATGTTTGGGTTGAAAGGTCCCTAGCACAGTGGTCCTTGTCCACTTCGTGGTCTTACAGTTGGCAAAACAGGCCTAGACAATATAAGATTACATCCCAGAGACAGCGATACACGCAGAGGCCATGGGATTTCCAATTGGCTGTCAAAAAGGAAAGTTCTGAGTCCCTGGCCTGTCTGATTGCCTGAGCAGCTGTGACCCAAATCCCCTTAGCCCCCTGATAGCAGTGTGGATAGGAAGAGAGCAGGGAAGATGTTGCTGGCTGGAGCCCTCAGGAGTGCCTCAGCGTTGCTGGAAAGATGACCAGCAGTCCTTCCTACTAGCTAGGACAGTGATTCCACCATGAGGACCATGGGGCAGAAGTCAGGAGAGTGGAAGATAGGATGCAGGAGGGCAAGGAGGTGAAGGAGGCAAGGACATGGAGCCCAGCCAGAAAGGAGGGGAGCTCCTGCAGAGCCTGAGAACTCAGGATGGCTGCGTGGCAAGGGATTGAAGCTTTTGGGAGGAGGCCCGGAGGCCTGCCAGCCAACTATTCAGCTGATGGCACGGCTCTGGAGGTGTTGCCCCACCTCAACACACAATCTGCCCTTGCTTGTGGTGCCAGTGCTACATGGGGCACAATTGCCCTGCCGCCTTCTGAAAGTATATGTACCACTCCCCACCCCCTCACCCCTGCCCTACCCTCTCCCTTTGCCCATGAAATTTGGCCACTTCATCTCGGAGGCCAGCCTTGCCGAGAGAAGGAAACGCAAGTCATACATCCTTCTGGACTTTCCCTTGACACTCAAGCCCTCAACTTTTTCAATGATATAATTAAGATCATATGATATGTTCTTGGGTGATTTGTTTTTCCTATGCCATAGATATTTCTCTGTGTCACCAGAGAGAGCTAGTTCATTTCCCCCGACTTGCTGCATTGCTTTCCCTTGTGTACATGTACTGTGATTCCTTTAACCATTTTTGTTTCATGGGCTTTGTCTTCCTATTACAAAACAAAAGTAAAATTGGGACACTTGTCTGACTCTCTCAGCCTGCAGAGGCAGAAGTTGCTGTAGAAAAAAAATCCTGCAAGTGGAGTTGCTGGGTCAAAATGGAATTGCAAAATTTAGACAGAGACCGCCATATTGTCCTTCAAGGACCATATACCAAGTAACGCATCACCAGTCACTAGCCAGGTGAGTGCCGTCTCCCCACACCCTCGCCAAGACTGGACATCTTTATTATTTTGTTTACCAACATAGTAAGTAAAACGTGGTACCTCAGAGTTTTGTTGTTGTTGTTAATTGGCTCTCCTCTACTCACGGAGCTGGTTAACTTTTCACATGTTTATGGGCTATTTATATTTCTTCTTTGGTGAACTGCCTATGTATATATTTCCTGATTAATTTTACTTGCTCATTTTTCTTATTGATCTGAGGCACTCTGTGTATTAAGGGCATTATATTATCACTGGTGGCTTGTCTTTTCATATTAAAAAATGATTTTCCCTACAGAAGTTGAAAATTTAATGAAATAAAATCTGTGCTGTTTCTCTTCTATGGCTTGTGGGGTTTTGGGTTTGCTTAGAAAATTCTTCCCGTAAAATAAATACTATTCTCTGATATCTCCTTGTAATAGTTCTTGGGGTTATTTTTCTCCTAAACGTTCACACTTTAATACATCTGGAAGTAACATTTGCAAATGGTAAAGGGTTTCCCTAGTGAATTGCTTTCACATGGATGACCAAGTGTTGCTACACAGTTACATGATCTGTCCTTCATCACTGATTTGAAATACCACATTTATCATACACAATATGCCTTTGATGCAATCCTAAGGAGATAGGAATGGGTGATAGAAGCTGGAGTGGGGCTTCAAGGAACTGGGATTGTTTCTGCTACTCACAGAATGGGAGCATACATAGAAGCTGAGCCATGCAGTTGCTCTCACACACCTGAGATCGCATCTTTCACAGTCAGAATACAAGGGCAGGAGTGCTGGGGTCCTGAAACCAATGTGAAAGGACCATCCAGCCTTTACCTGAAGGCATGTTCCCTGGATTATGGTTGTTCGAAGGCTGACTCACACACAGTGGAAAAACTAGACATGATGTTTTAGGGAAAAGAGCTTAAGGGTAGGTCCTCCTGCTGAAGCCAGCTACAATTAAGTCAAGAGGGGGCAGGGGTTGGGGGCACGAAAGCAAAGAAATGCCACTTATCTGAAATCTCCAAGAGGAATGTGGATGGCAACTGGCACCTGCAGCTGATAAGGAACCACCAGATTCCAAGCCTCTGTGCTATGAGCGATTGCGGGGCAGAGGGATCGGAAGCCTCATGTAGCAGAGACCTGGGACTGCTCCAGACACAAAATGAGCCCAGAGATCCCCCATGACTACAGGTAGGAAGCAGGCTGAGAAAGCTGCCACCTTGCAAGGATGCCACGGTCTCTTTAGTGCCCTATGCTCCAAAGAGGGGCCAAGGCCAGGAGAGTAGGAAACGGTGAAGCCCCTGCCCTGCTGGGAAACTGAACGACCAAGGGTGATGGGACCTCACAGCCTCTGCCCAGTGGAATTTCAGGGTTTCTATGGCCATTGACAGTCACCTGTCTCCAGTTATTCCGTTCCTGTTCTACTACTGCATGTTGTTGTGTGGGTGTGACTGTATGGTTGTGTGGTATCAGCTAACTTGTTCTTTTATTTAGCCCATGGGTCTCCAGACTCAAAGAAGCTATATCTGCATCTTACAAAGAGACCACTGGGCATCACGCAGAAGCCCGTGACTTTGAGGCTGATGAGACTTTAGGATGTCTCCCACTACCTTTGATATTTGTGTACCAAAAAGACTGAATCAAATATTCGGTGACCAAAAGGGTAGACTGTGGTTGGCATTAAAACTGTTCACTAATATCCACTTTTCTTCTGCTTCTGGGCTCTCAGAAGAATTGCAGCTCCTGGCCTCCCCAAAGATACACGTGGATCTGTAACTTGCTTTGACCAATGAAATATAAGTGGCAGGTGTCATTTTAAGTGGATGCATTTAATTGCCAGTGCTTACCTCTCCAGTCCTTCTCTTCCTCCTGCCCCTAAGCCTGGTGACCTCCTGATGGCAGTGCTCCATCAGCCTGGAGGAGAATGGCATGTAGCAAGCCCTGACTTCCCTGTGCACCAGGAGCAGAAAATAAACCTTTGTGGTTTGAGCTGCCGAGATCTGGGGGCTATGTGTTACTGTATCTAACTTAAACTAATTGAAAGTACCTTCATTCATTCCCTTGGACTCAAATATCTCTATATTGATCACTCTCAGATTTATAATTCTAATGTAGTCCTCAACCCTGAGCTAGACAGAGTTTTTTTCGGTTCTGCTTTTCTTAACCTATGAATATTCAAGCACCCAGGACTCCGTGTTGAGCTCCTTTTTCTTCTCTATCTACACTTTCCTCCTTTGTAATCTTATTCCGTATCGGGCCTTAAATATTTAAGCACTAGGGTCTTCCAAATTTAAATCTCTAGCCCTGACTAATACCTCTCTAGTACACATCGCTTAATTCCTGGATAGTTCCTACATGACTCTGGACTCTTGAAACTGAATTTAAGCATTGTCTCTGTCTCCTGAATTTCACTATTGAATCAACAACCATTATTACCTAATATAAAAAAGCTCCTTGAAGACATCAACACACACACACACACACACACACACACACACATACACACTTTGTGAAATAGTGTTTGCATTTTTCCCACTTAAGTAGTAAGACTGGAGCAAATTTCATAATTAAAAAAAAATCCCTTGAACAGTGTAGCTAAGAAGAAAGGAAGGAAGGAAAAAAGGAAAGGGAGATCTAAGCTTGATCACATCAAACAGAAAATGTAAACACTACGAACAGAATGTTATTGTACCCCATTAGCAACCTGTCTTCAACAAATCATTTTGCGAAGCAAGAATCAGAACCTAAACTAGACCCTTTCCCAAGACGTATATTCCTTAAGAAATATGCCCTTGAGAACATTGCTCTCACAGGACACTTCAGTCATCAGTAACTTCATGTGGGCTCCAATGGCTGCAATGATCCACTGCACCTATCAGCCAAGAGCACATTCTAGAGGAGTTCTCAATGTTAGAAGTGACGATGGCATTGCCACGGTTCTTTTTGTCAACAGTGTTCAATGGGAAGGTTGTTCCTGCATAGGTCAATTTCTAGGAAAATCCACCTGAATTAGAGAGGGAAAACAGCAAAAATAGTAACAGAAAAACACATGCGGCCTGCTTCACTATGTCCTATTACGATACATGGAAACGTCTGAAATCTTCACTTACATCTCCCTATTTTGACTCCTAATCAGAGAGGTGAGGCTGACTGAGAGGGAGACAGGAGGCTTTGGACCAGGGCCATGGGCCATGTGGGAGCAGGTGCTAGCTCCAAGCGCTCATTCTCCCCTAAGAGACTCTCTCCCCTACCAGGTCTCAAATCCATCACCCCATCATGTCCAGCACAAGAACTTGGCCATGCATCCATTCTCAGCCTGGTATCCCATACTCCGAGTGGCTCATCTCTCAACCTCACCTCATATCCCCACCTTTCCCAACCTTCCCACAGCAGAGCTTGTGCTGATTTACAAGGCTGCCTCTATTTTGTACAAGTTCCTACATAGTCCAAGGCCTGTTCTAGGCTTTCCAGTTTCTTCCACAGTACCAGCCCAGGCAGGAATACCACATGTTGTAGTTACTGTTCATTTGAAACGTTGATCTCTCCATCCACCCTATGATTAGCCAAGTATTCCTTTTCATCTCTTCTACTCACTATTTAGTAATTACTGTCGTTTTTCAGTTGTTTTTTTTTTTTTTTTGGATAGTCTTCCAATTATAATAGTATGCATAAATTATCAGAGGTAAACTTTAATCAACATTATACTATTTCACATACGTGTAAGCACATATACAATATTAGCTCATAATTTTTCTTGTAAATTTGTTTGAGTTCCTTATAGATGCTGGATATTACACCTTTGTTAGATGCACAGTTTGCTGAAATTTTCTCCCATCCTATAGGCTGTCTGTTTACTCTGTTGGTGTTTCTTTTGCTGTGCAGAAGCTCTTTAATTAGATCCCATTTGTCAATTTTTGCTTTTGTTGCAATTGCTTTTGGCATCTTCATCATGAAATCTCTGCCTGTACCTATGTCCAGGATGGTATTGCCTAGGTTATCTTCCAGAGCTTTTATAGTTTTGGGTTTTACATTTAAGTCTTTAATCCATCTTGAGTTGATTTTTGTATATGGTGGAAGGAAGGGGTTCAGTTTCAATCTTCCATACATGGCTAGCCAGTTATCCCAGCACCACTTATTAAATAGAGAGTCTTTTACACGTTCCTTGTTTTTGTCAGGTTTGTCAAAGATTAAATGGTTGAAGGTGTGCGGTCCTATTTCTGGGCTCTCTATTGTGTACCATTGGTCTATGTATCTGTTTTTGTACCAGTACCATGCTGTTTTGGCTACCGTAGCCCTGTAATATAGTTTGAAGTTAGGTAGCATGATGCCTCCAGCTTTGTTCTTTTTGCTTATGATTACCTTGGCTATTCAGGCTCTTTTTTGGTTCCATATGAAATTTAAGATAGTTTTTTCTAGTTCTATGAAGAATCTCAATGGTAGTTTAATAGGAATAGCATTGAATTTATAAATTGCTCTGGGCAGTATGGCCACTTTAATCATATTGATTCTTCCTATCCATGAGCATGAAATGTTTCTCCATTTGTTTGTGTCACCTTTGAGTTCTTTGAGCAGTGTTTTGCATTTTTCCTTGTAGAGATTTTTAACCTCCCTGGTTAGCTGTATTCCTCGGTATTTTATTCTTTTCGTGACAATTGTGAATGGGAGTAGGTTCCTGATTTAGCTCTTGGTTTGACTGTTGTTGGTGTACTACTACTATTCTTATCAGTTCTTTTGTTCATTCTTCAAAATAATTGTATCCAATTCCCCGAAATGCAATATTAGAACTCTGATTGACAGTGCATTCCAGCTTTGGGTTAATTTTGAAAAAATTGACATTTTTTATATTAACGTGTTTCACCTGCCCCTGCTGAAACATGATCAGCTTCTCTAGCTTGTCCTGTCTCCATACCTGTAGCTTTCAGGCATCCTCTGAACACTCTTGTTTTGGATGGCTGGTTGGGTCTCCTCTTTCTCTTGACTGCTGATTGTATTTCCCCGTTATGTGGCTAAGACTTGAGTCTTGAATTCTTTTTCCGACAAACTTGCCATCTGAGAGCACTCAGACAGCATCCTGCCTATAGTTGACCCCATGGTGACAGTTCCAGCCATGACTTCATTCATTCAGCAGATATTTGTGGGGTATTATGGCCCTGTGCCATGCTAGGCACTGAAGAGACAGTGGTGAACAAGACAGATGTAATCTCTGTTCCCTAATAGAGCCACAGGCATGCTCAGGATAGAGAGCCAGAGGGCTGACCTGGTCTAGGCAGCCAGGGGGTGCTTCCTAGAGGAAAAAGCGTTTAAGTTGAACTCTGAAGGACCAATAGGAATTAGTCAGGCTGAGCAGCAGGATGTGAATGTTGGGGTAGAGGAGGTAGAGGGTGGAAAGAACACCCAGGCAGAAGAAACAGCTTATTCACAAATCCTATAGTTGTCCAGATAGTGAGTGGGGCCCACGGTGAGTCTGGTAGAGGAGGGGGTGTTGGTGGAGGGTCAGAAAGAGCCAGAGTTGACCAAACTCAGGGGAGGTAATGGTGACAGATGTCAGTGTCATCTGGCTAGATTTGCTCTGAGCTGGGCTCTGTTCTCAGCCCTTTGTGTTTGTCTCAGTTCACCCTCACAGCAATCCACTGAGTTAAGATGTAAGGAAATGGAGTGCTGATACATCACCAACTTGGCCAGGTTTGCACGTCCCCAGGATTATGAGTCAGGACTGAAACTCGGCCTCCGGAGCCCACTGTGGCAAACTAAGATGCTGTTAAAGAGCTTTTTTTCAGGAGACTGGCTGAGGCTATTGTTTTTTGGGGGCAAGGTGTCACCCAGGCTGGAGTGCATGACAAGATCCTGGCTCACTGCTAACTCCACCTCACAGGTTCAATCGATTCTTATGCCTCAGCCTTGCAAGTAGCTGGGATTACAGGTGTGTACCACCATGCCCAGATAATTTTTGTATTTTTAGAAGACAGAGTTTCTACTAAAACACCCTTGATCAGGCTGGTCTCAAGCTCCTGGCCTCAAGTGACCTGCCCACCTCAACCTCCCAAAGTGCTGGGATTACAAGCATGAGTCGCCACGCTCGGTGTGACAATCTTTGTTTTAGCAAAAACCGTCTGGGCAATTGTGATCCTCAGAGTTTTCAGAACGACTGCTCTAATCTGAGCATTTCGGCTATGAATTATTTCACTCTTACTCCCACGTTAGCAGAATCACAAACATGGTGAGGTGTTGGGTTTCCCTTGTTATTCAGTTTTAAATATTTTCTAAAAATTTGTGAGATTTTATTGACCCATGAGTTACAAGTATTTTTCTTAATTTCCCAACATTTGGGGGATTTTCTAGATTTCTTCTTGTTAAGACATTTCTAATTTAATTCAATCATGGTCAGAGAACATATTCTAAACAATTTCAATACTTTGTTACAAAGATATGTTTTGTGGCCAAGAGTATGGTCTGTTTCAGTGACTATTCAGTGTGGTTTCAAAATAAAGGTATTGCACAATTGTGGGAATTAGCATTCTATAAATGTTAATTTTTTCAATTTTATTAATATCATTCAAATCTTCCATGTTTTCACAGAATTTTTATCTACTTATTTTAAAAATATCCAACAATAATGAATTTGTCATTATCAAGTTCTCCTTTTAGTTCTGTCAATTTTTCCTTCATATATTTTAAAGTAGTCTCATTTTACACAGACAAAATAAGGATTGTTAATGCTTCCTAATGAACTGAAACTTTCATTATTATGAACTGTTTTTATCTCTAGTAATACTCCCTTAATTTTTACTTTGTTATTAATATAGCTACTCAAGCTTTCTTGTTGCTAGTGTTTCCATGGTATATCTTCCTTCTATTTTATAGGTCTAACCTCCTATTTAAACTATGTCTCATAGAAACTGTATACAGCTAGTCCTTCTTCTTTTTTTTTTTTCTTTTTGAGACAGAGTCTCACTCTGTCGCTCAGGCTGGAGTGCAGTAGTGGGATCTCGGCTCACCTGCCTCTAGGGTTCAAGCCATTCTCCTGCCTCAGCCTCCCAAGTAGCTGGGATTACAGAGGCGTGCACCACCATGACCACCTAATTTTTTCTTGTTTGTTTTGTTTTTTTGGGTTTTGTTTTTTTTGAGATGGAGTCTCTCTCTGTCACCCAGGCTGGAGTGCAGTAGTGGGATCTCAGCTCACCTGCCTCCAGGGTTCAAGCCATTCTCTTGCTTCAGCCTCCCAAGTAGCTGGGATTACAGAGGCGTGCACCACCATGCCCACCTAATTTTTTCTTGTTTGTTTTGTTTTTTTGGGTTTTTTTTTTTTTTTGAGATGGAGTCTCTCTCTGTCACCCAGGCTGGAGTGCAGTAGTGGGATCTCAGCTCACCTGCCTCCAGGGTTCAAGCCATTCTCCTGCCTCAGCCTCCCAAGTAGCTGGGATTACAGAGGCGTGCACCACCATGCCCACCTAATTTTTTCTTGTTTTGTTTTTCTGGTTCTTTTTGAGACAGAGTCTTGCTCTGTCGCCCAGGCTGGAGTGCAGTGGCGCGATCTAGGCTCACTGCAAGCTCCACCTCCCAGATTCACGCCATTCTCCTGCCTCAGCCTCCCGAGTAGCCGAGACTACAGGCGCCTGCCACCACGCCCGTCTGATTTTTTGTATTTGTAGTAGAGACGGGGTTTCACCATGTTAGCCAGGTTGGTCTCGATCTCCTGACCTTGTGATCCGCCCGCCTTGGGCTCCCAAAGTGCTGGGATTACAGGCATGAGCCACCGAACCCAGCTGTAATTTTTTTTTTTTTTTTTTTAGTAGAGACAGGTTTTGCCATGTTGGTCAGGGTTGTCTTGAAGTCCTGACCTCAAGTGATCCACCCACCTTGGCCTCCCAAAGTGCTGGGATTACAGGTGTGAGCCACTGCACCAGCCTAGGTCTTTTTTTTTCCCCAATCTAGTATGACAATCTCTGCCTTTTGATGGGAATATTTAGGCTACTCATATTTAACAGTTATTAATATGGTGAGGTTTAAGTGTATCATCTTGTCATTTGCTATTTGCCCTATTTTATCTTTCTTTCTTTATTCCTCCTTTCCTGACTTATTCCTGATTAAATGTTAATTTATATATTTTTTTTTTTTTTTTAAGGCTAGTCAAGTGAAGCAGTGGGAGTGGAGAAGAAACAAATCTGTAACTAGTTGCAATCAGGTGTAAACACCACCGCACTATGATTAGCCAAGTTTTCCTTTTTATCTCTTCTACTCACTATTTAGTAATTACTCTTGTTTTTTAGTGTTTTTTTTTTTTCTGGATAGTCTTCCAATTATAATAGTATGCATAAATTATCAGAAGTAACCTTTAATCAACATTATACTATTTCACATACATGTAAGTACATACACAGTATTAGCTCATAATATTGTATTATGGGCTATACAGGGCATGGTGGCTGGTGCCTATAATCCCAGCACTTTGGGAGGCTAAGGCAGATGAATCACCTGAGGCCGGAGTTCAGGACCAGCCTGGCCAACAGGATGAAACCCCACCTCTACTAAAAAATAAAATTAAAAATTAGCCGGGCATGGTAGCACACACCTGTAATCCCAGTTATTCAGGAGGTTGAGGCACAAGAATCACTTGAACCCAGGAGACAGAGGTGCAGTGAGCCAAGATCATGCCACCACACTCCAGCCTGGGTAACCGAGTGTGCTCTCTCAAAAAAAAAAAAAAAAAAAAAAAAAAAACACATACAATATATACATAAAACAATATACACATAAAGTATAGGGATACAATAAAATTCACATTAAACACTTCTGCATATGTTCCTCCAACCCTTTATACAATTGCTGTCATATATTTTACTTCTACTTATGTTATAAAACACACAATACATTTTTCTGGCCTTAATCAATAGATTTAACAAGTTATGAAAAATTGTTTATTTTCCAACATATTTACCACTATAGTACTCTTCAGTTATTCTTGTAAACCCAGGTTTATATTTGCTCATTTAACATGAAAAACTCATTTTAACATTTTGAGTCAAATTCTCTCAGTTTGGAGACTAATTTACCCATTTTTTTCTTTATTTCCTTTTTATTTTTGAGAGTATTTTGGCAAAATACAGAATTCTGGGATAGCAATTTTTTTCTTTGAACACTTTAAAAATATTGTTCCACTGTCTAATGGCATCTATGGTTTCAAATGAGAAGTCAGCACACATTGATGTAACTGTTTCCCAACATGGACTATATAGGATTTCTCTAATTGCTTTTAGGATTTTTCTCTTTAGTTTTGATTTTAAGCAGTTTGACTATGATGAGCCTAGATGTAGTCCTCTTTGGTTTATCTTGGTCAGGGTTCAATGTGATTCTTGGGAATGTGAGCTGACATTATCATCAATTTGGAAACATTTTCAACAATTATTCCTTCAAATATTCCTTCTATCTCATTCTTTCATCTCCTTCTGAGGGTCAAATCATGTGACTGTTAGATAATTTTATATAATATTATTCCACAAAGTCTCAGACACTGTGTTCTGTTTTCTTCATTCTTTTTGCTTTGTGTGTCAGTTTGAGTCATTTCTATTAAACAGACCTATAATTCACTGATTCTTTTTTCTATTATGTTCTGTGATGTCCATCCAATAAGTGTTTTTGAACTTTTATTATAAAATAATTATAAACTCACAGGGAATAGAAAAAGCAGTACAAAGAAGTCCCATATGCCCTTCCTCCAGTTTCCCATAATGGTAACATCTTACATAATTATAGAACAATATCAAAGCCAAAAGTCTGCCATTGGTACAATGTGCATATATAATTCTACATCACTTTACCACATGTGTAGATTCACACAACCACCTCTGCAATCAAAGTACAGAACCAATCAATCATGATGAAGATCTCCCTCATGTAATCCTTATGCACTCAAACTCTCCCTCTTCCCCCAATATCCCTAACCCCTGGCAACCACTGTGATATAGTTTGGCTCTGTGTCCCCACCCAAAGCTCACCCTGAATCGTAATAATCCCCACATGTCAAGGGTGGGACCAGGTGGAGATAACTGAATCATGGGGGCGGTTTCCCTCATGCTGTTTTCACAATAGTAAGTTCTTACAAGATCTGATGGTTTTATAAGGGGCTTCCCCCTCCACTCGGCACTCATTCTCTCCTCCCGCCATGTGAAGAAGTGCCATCTGCCATGATTGTAAGTTTCCTGAGGCCTCCCCAGCCACGTGGAACTGTGAGTCAATTAAATCTCTTTTCCCTATAAATTACCCAGTCTTGGGTATTTCTTCATAGCGGCATAAGAATGGACTAATACACACTGATCTGTTTCCTCACACTGTCATTTCAAGAATGGTATATTAATATGACATTTCACTCACCTAATGCCCTTAAAAACCATCCAAGTTGTTGGGTATCAATAGTTCATTTCACTTTACTAAGGAGTATTCCATTCTAAGGATATAACACAGTTTGTTTAATCATTCACAAACTGGGTGACATTCTAGTGTTTCCAGTTTCAGTTTATTACAAATAAAGCTAGTATGAATAGTCATATATAGATATTTGCATGAACATAAGATTTCATACCTCTGAAAAAAAGCTCAAAGTGAATATTTAATATGTTATTCATATGGATATGTAATATGGAGTTAAAATATGGTAAGTAAATGTTTAGTTTACCAAATGGCCAAAATGTTTCCAGAGTAGTTGTACGATTTTACACTCCCATTAGCAATGTACAGAGCTAGTTTTTCAGCATCCTTGACAGCACTTGGTACTGCCACTATTATATTGTTTTAATAGGTGTATAGTTGCAGAATTAGTTTGCTTTTCTTTAACAGATAACAATGACAAGTATATTCTCATGTACTCATCTGCTATTCATATAGCCTCTTTGGTAAAATGTTTCTCATGTCTTCTGCCCATTTTCTAATTGAATGTTTTTTGCATTGAGGTTTGAGACATACTCCAGATATGAGTCCTTTGTCAGATATGTAGCTTGTAAATATTTAGTCCATGTGTCTAGCTTGTCTTTTCACCATTTCAACAGGGTCTTTGGTGGAGCAAATGTTTTTAATTTTGATGAAGTCCAATTTATTAACTTTTATTAACTTTTTTCTTTTCTAGATGATGCTCTTGGTGTTAAGTCTAAAATCTCTTTATCTAAGTCACAGTCACCAAGTGTTTCTCCTCTGAACCTTCAGGATAATATATACTAAAGACTCTCGATAACCTTATTTTCCTCCACAGAGCACTGAGTTGTGTGTTCTGGCAAGTAGCGTCTGGCCAGTCACCTCAATCCTGTGAAGGCTTCTTTTTGCTTTTGTTAGTACCAGTCTTTTCTTGTTTTTCCTTTAGCCCTAGGATGTAGCCCTTAGTCCCAGTACATGATTCTTAGTCCTAAGGTGTGGCATGGCCCTTCTCACATTTCAATGGAAAGTTCAAGGTGTTTACCAAGCCCCTCTTAACTTGGTGAGACTTCACCTCCAAACTCTATCTCCCTAGCTCAAGCAACTGCTGGAATTTCTGCTCAACTCTTTAACCTCACAGCTGCTGCTTTCTGCTGGCTTCCACAGGGTGTCGTTCAGCACAGGCACAACGTCAAAGATAGCCAATGACTGTAGAGGAACTTGTACACATATTTTGTGACTCTGCTGTCACTATGATTTTTCCCTACTCATTCTCCACCACTCTTTCCCAGCAGGGCCAAATTCCAACCTCAGTTCCTTGCCCCAGGAAGAAGTCACTTCCTGCCTAAACTCTATTCCCTTGGTGTGAACCTAGCACATCTGCAGGATAAACCAGTTAAATGTACAGCTCAGCCAGGTCACTTCCCTTGTTTCAAGTAGTGTGTTGCCTCCAGTTTCTACCTATTTTTGTTTTTATATTCCATCCAGATCTTTTATTATTATTATTGGCAAGAGGGTAAGCCCAATACAGCTCCTCGACCTTTACCAGAACCAGAAGCCCAGGTGTGGCTGTTATGTTAATTTCCCAGTTTGGGAGAAGTATAAATTCATACCTCAAAACATGATGAAAATTGAAAACAAAAAACTGCAGTTGAAAATTTATATGGAAGACTTTTTTTCCCTCTTTCTAGAGCTGAAGATAAAAATCAACAAACTTTGGCTGGGCGCCATGGCTCATGTCTGTAATCCCAGCACTTTGGGAAGCCAAGGCGAGTGGATCACAAGGTCAGGAGTTTAAGACCAGCCTGGCCAAGATAGTGAAACCCTGTATCTACTAAAAATACAAAAATTAGACGGGTGTGGTGGTAGATGCCTGTAATCCCAGCTACTCGGGAGGCTGAAGCAGAGAACTGCTTGAACCCAGGAGGCAGAGGTTGCAGTGAGCCAAGATTGCACCACTGCACTCCGGCCTGGGCAACAGGGCAAGACTCAGTCTTCAATAAATAAGTAAACAAACAAACAAACTTCTTTGTTATCTCTCTGTGTAGGTAAGTGAGTTGCCTTTTTTTTTTTTTTTTTCCAAATTCCCCATTTTATTGATAGCTCTTCAAGGCTCTTAGCTCCACCTAACTGCTTCAGGCAAACCTCTGACCTCATCTTCTATTCTTAAATTGTATCAAACCTCAAAACTATTATACAACAGCAATAACTACCACCTCATCTTGTCCCAGGCAGCCTTAAAGTGTTACCAGTTCAGGATTTTAGTTGCCCCCATTTCTGACTTTTGAAAATTTCCCTCACTTTCTTGTTCATTCCCACGTGTATTCCAAAGTCTTCTTGTTACATTTTACCTTGCATTTTTAGGTTTGTTTGTTTTGTGTTTTTTGTTTTTGAGATGGAGTTTCACTCTGTCACCCAGGCTGGAGTGAAGTGTTGTGATCTCGGCTCACCACAACCTCTGCCTCCCAGGTTCAAGCAATTCTCCTGTCTCAGCCTCCTGAGTAGCTGGGACTACAGGCACATGCCACCATGTCCAGCTAATTTTTGTATTTTTAGTAGAGACAGGGTTTCACCGTATTGGTCAGGCTGGTCTCAAACTCCTCACCTCAGTTGATCTACTTGCCTCGGCCTCCCAAAGTGCTGGGATTACAGGTGTGAGCCACTGAGTCCACCCTCTACGTTTGTTTTTGTATTTTTTTTCTTTTGATGTGGGAGGATCACACATAATTTGCAAGATTATTTCAATAGCTAAATTGCCATAATTAGAAGACCACATGTTATTTTTATAATTAGAATATTTACAAAATCATAAATGCTACATGGAAAAACTATAGGGAAAAATAAGTCCATGTATATGTATATATAATTCATACATCTCAGAAAGTGCAACAAGTGCTGTTTGTTCTTAAAAAAGATTATAAATTAAAAATGAGGACTATAGAAAATAAGGACAATGACAGAACTGACACCGTGTAGTTGTTCTAGAAATGAAAAGCAATACTACTCAAGCTAGGAGACAGAGAAGAGAAAGTAGTGCAATTGTGCATCTTAATATGGAGCAAGAGCCCAAAGTGGAGCACACAATCTCACAGCCTTTGAAACAGATTCATCATATGCTATGTTTAGAGTTTCCAAAGGCACAGAACTTTCAGAAAGAACTAAGTTAAATAATGCTTCCAATCACCATATACCCACTTTTAACATAAAATTCAATTCTATAACCAATTCAGTAGAAAGCTAAAGAACACAGTACCAATATACTTAAGTCAATAATTCTTATGATATTTCACTCTTTTAAAGAACTAAATCATAAAATGTGATTATCCCACAAAAAACATGAGGACATAGAATGCAAAATAAATTTTTCAAATTAAATTAGAGGCCAGCATTATTCTAAGGAAGTAACTCAGGAACAGAAATCCAAATATCTTATGTTCCCAGTTATAAGTGGGAGCTAAGCTATGGGTATGCAAAGGCATACGGAGTGGTATAATGGACACTGGAGACTCACAAGTGAGGGAGGAGAGAGGGATTAAAAAAACTACATATTGAGCACAATCTACACTACTCGGGTGACCAGTGCACTAAAATCTCAGACTTCACTGTTGTACAACTCATCCATGTAATCAAAAACCACTCATACTCCAAAAGCTATTGAAATAAAAAATAAACATTAAAAATATATCAATTAATTAATTAGAGGTCAGGTGCAGTGGCTCATGCCTGTAATCCCAGCACTTTGGAAGGCTGAGGCAGGTGGATTGCTTGTCACCAGAAGTTAGAGACCAGCCTGGGAAATAATACGAGACACCATCTCTACTAAAAGTAAAAATTAAAAGATTAGCCAGGCATGGTGGCATGTACCTGTAGTCCCAGCTACTAGGAAGGCTGAGGTGGGAGGGTCAGTTGAGCCCAGGAGTGTGAAGTTGCAGTGAGCCATGATCATGCTACTGCACTCTGGACAACAGAGCAAGACCCTACCTCAAAAAACAAAAATTAAATTAGATTAATTTCAAAAACAATCATGGTGATAGTGAATTAATAATCTGTTGAGGCCAGGTGTGATGGCTCATGCCTGTAATCCCAACTCTTTGGGAGGCTCAGATGGATGGATAACTTGAACCCGGGAGTTTAAGACCAGCCTGGCACCTGGTACACAGTAAGCATTCAATAAAGCTAGGCTAAAATGATTTTTTTAAAACTAAAAAGACCAGCCTGGGCAACATAGGAAGACTACATCTCTACAAAAAAAAAGAACAAACGAAAACAGCTGGGCATGGTGGCACACACCTGTAGTACTAGCTACTTAGGAGGCTGAGGTGGGAAGATAGCTTAAGCCCAAGTAGTGAGCTATGATTGTGCCATTGTAGTCCAGCCTGAACAACACAATAAGACTCCATCTCAAAAATAAAAATAGTAATAATCTGTTGAAAAAAAGAGAAAATGCAATGGCGATTAATGACAATATAATGATTAACATTTCCTGAACTAAAATTGTATGTTTTATTTTAGAAAAATGTTAAAACAGCAGTTATAATCTACATGATTTTTAATATTATGTTCTTATTGCATATATCACGTGAAAGGTAAAGTGGCACTGCAAAGGAAAAGATGTACCTTTACTATGGAGCTCTCTGGCAGCACCACTTTAATCAAATGGTCAAAGTAGGCACAACTAATAAAACTTGACACTGCATGCTTCCTGATGAGTTGAAATATGAAGTACCCAATATCACCTACGATATGTTCTTATCAAAAAAAAAAAAAAAAAAAAAAAAGGTTTAACCCAAATCTAATGAAGCTTCCAGACCTAACTTACAGTTTATAGGGAATGTGTGGACTAGAGGAATAAGTTAGCAATACCAAGAAAAAGCAAGTAGACAAATCTGCAATGTGGAACATTCTACAGGACAAACAGCCTGGGCTCTCCAAGAGTCAATGTAATGTGGCTAGAAAAAATAGAGGAATAATCCTAGAAAAAAACATTAGGAAAGAGACTCCAAAAGTGAATTATAGAGAGCACCAAGTTGTTTCTTCTGAAGATGCAAAGGTGATTTATTTTTAGGAATTCCATTAATATAATCCACCTATTAATAGAGATGGGAAGAAAAATTCTATACTCATATCTTCAGATGCCATACCAAACTCAATAACCATTAATGTTAAAAACAAAGAGGAAACTGGTAAATACTTATTTAACATGATTTATGCCAACACCAAGCATTAATGAGAATACAGAGCACTGAGCATTCTTTCATTAGTCAAAGCATTTTAACTTCTACAACCTTTTTGGAAAACAGTTTAGATTACCCCCTAAAGTTGAACACCCACATATCCTATAACCTACCAATTTTATTCCTACACATACCCAACAGAGAGCTTGCGCAAGTGCATCAAAATGTGTTTGCAAGGTTTATAATAGCCAAATACAGAAAACAATCCAAATGCCCATCGCCAGTGATGTAGTATACTCATGCACTAAAAATGAACTACAGGTACCTGCAACAAGGATGATTCCATAAACATAATATGAAATAAGAGAAGCCAGATACCAAAGTATACATATCATATGACTCAATTTAAATAAAATTCAAAAGCAGGCAAAATCATCATAGAGTTGGAAGTTATGGTAACTTCCTTTGGCGCAAACGGAGAGAACAGTGATCAGGAGAGGGCACAAGAGGGTCCCCGGGTATGCTGGCAACGTCCTACTTAATGTTCTGTTTCTTGACCCAGTGGCAGTTTCTTGGGTTTTCACACTTGGCAATAATTCATGAAGCAGTACATTTACCTTTTGTACATATTTCTGTATATTTCTAACACTTCAGTAAAAAAGAATTATAATTTTCAAACCAGAAAGAAAGTACAAAGTCATCCCTAAATATCTAAAAAATAATGGAAACATATATAACTATATATCATATTGGTGACAAAAGTACGAACTGAAGAATTATTTCAATTGATTTTAAAACTCACTGTTTTGACTGTATATATCATCCAGTGGGTTATATCACCAGGGAAAAAAAGTACTTACAATGTTCTTTGTAGTTTTGTTGTTAGTAACAATACGTGTACTACTATTTTTAAACTATTCTAAACTTTAAGCTAAAAAAAAAGATCATTATGTTAATATTATTAATGGTCAAGCTTTTTCTTTTTCTTTTTTTTTTTTGAGACAGTCTCACTCTGTTGCCAAGACTGGAATTCAGTAGTGTGATCCCAGTAGCCTCTGCCTCCTGGGTTCAAGCAATTCCCATGCCCCAGCCTCCCAAGTAGCCAGGATTACAGGTGTGCACCACCATGCTCAGCTAATTTTTATATTTTTAGTAAAGATGGGATTTTGCCATGTTGGCCAGGCTGGTCTCGAACTCCTGAGCTCAAGTGATCCACCTGCCTTGGCTCCCAAAGTGCTGGGATTACAGGCATGAGCCACTGCGCCCAGCCAGGATTTTTAGCTTATGAGAAGAAAAATAAAAATTGTAAATCAAGAGGTAAAAATGAATTTTAAATCTGAATTGGGGCCAGGTGCAGTGGCTCACACCTGTAATCCCAGCACTTTGGGAGGCCAAGGCGGGCGAATCACCTGAGGTCAGGAGTTTGAGACCAGCCTGGCCAACATGGTGAAACCCTGTCTCTACTAAAAATACAAAATTAGTCAGGCATGATGCTGCATGCCTGTAATCCCAGCTACTCGGGTGGCTGAGGCAGGAGAATCACTTGAACTGCGAAGGCAGAGGTTGCTGTGAACCGAGATCGCACCATTGTACTCCAGCCGGGGAACAAGAGCAAAACTCCATCTCAATAAAAAAATCTGAATTGGAAAGGTATCAATAAACTCAGAATTTTTCTCTTTTTAAGAAACAATAGTACCCAGATCTGAACTCTGAAAAGCTCTACAAGAAAAAGAAAAAAATCCTAGAGAACCCAGACTGTGTTCTCTAACTACATCTTCTAACAAAAAGTAAATGAGATTCCTTATAAAAGTGGTTTCAAAACTAGGGGCTGACTATTCCCAAAACAAGCCTGTGAAAGCTCACTGCCGAGAAGCCAGCAAGCTATCAGAGACAGGAGTAGGCTCATGTCAACGGGAGAAAGGAGCAAACTTGAATGGCTCCCACTGGATGGAGATGAAACAATTTAAGCATCAAAAAGACTAACGACTGCAAAGGACTAGATGATATACATATACATATATACATCTATAAGTTCTTAAGAATATAAAATCAATTTCACTGGACATTTATGGAGATTTCTAAGGTACCAACTCACTGGACATTTATGGAGATTTCTATGGTACCAACTCTTTATTCTGAAAACTGACCTATGAAGAGAAACAATCAAGCATTTATCCTGCCTTGAGAAACAAATTCTATTTTAGGATAACCAAACAGTTGATCAGGGAAAGCTCTTCTGTAAGAAAACTTCCAACTACAAATAGAAAGGAAATTACAGAACAAGAAAATTATCATTTTGCATCTCTAAAGGATTATTACATGTAGACAATAATCAATTGATGTTAAAACTATTAAATAAAAGAGTGATGAGTTCCTGGCTCACAGATGAGGGTATGAAGAAAAAAAAGAGTGATGGGAATATTTATAATAAGGCCAACAACATCTGACTCCAGTGATCAACTTTAACCCCTCTAATAGAGGTATATAATGCTTAGTTGTCTCACTTTCTATGAAGCAATAGGAAAAATACAGCACCAACTATGAAAAATTCCTATTTCCCTAAGCCATGCCCCCAAAAAAGCACTGAACCAAGGGTCCACATATAAGCAGCCAGGTGCAAGAAGGGAAAGGCAGGTGATAAAGGACTCTGTTAAATAACACCAAAAGGGTGCAATAAAGCTTCTGATGTTCCCATTTGGGCCAAGACAAGGGACAATTTGTAACAAATAAATGACATTAAAAAAAGAGACCAGGAATTAAGACACTTAAGGGTCACATTATCTAAACACAATCCTGGCTCAAAGAAAAATTACAAAATGACATGTATGAAACCATCAGGAAAATCTGAACACTAACTGGGTGTTAGATGATATTCAAGGACTACTGTTGAATGTATTGTGAGTGATAATGAAATTGTGGTTATATATTTTTCTAATCTTTTTCTGTTAGAAAAATACATTTGCTAATAAAATGATATCATTTTATTTAAAATACTCCAGTGAGAGAGAGAGGGGGAGAAAAAGGGAGAGGGAGAATGAAAGCAGGAGACATAGATGAAACAAGATTAGCCAATGTTGATGACTGCTGGAAGCAAATGATGCTTCCTCATTATTGTAGTCTCTCTACTTCTATGTATGTTGACATTTTCCATTATAATAAAAAAAAATTTTCAGACGCTCTTGCTCTGTTACCCAGCTGGAGTGCAGTAGCATGATAATAGCCCACTGCAGCCTCAACCTCCCAGGGTCATGTCTCAGCCTCCTGAGTAGCTGGGACCACAGATCCGCACCACCACGCCAGACTATTTCTATTTTTTCTAGAGACAAGGTCTCTTTATGTTGCCCAGGCTGGTCTCAAACTCCTAGGTTCAAGTCGTCCTCCCACCTCAGCCTCCCAAAGTACTGGGATTACACCCGTGAGTCACCATGCCCAACCGATAATAAAGAAATTTAATGAAAGGGTTAACCTAGAATGTCTGTTAATATTCCTTTTGGCTGGGCATGGTGGCTCACGCCTGTAATCCCAGCACTTTGGGAGGCTGAGATGGGTGGATTATTTGAGGTCAAGAGTTCCAGATCAGCCTGGCCAACATGGTGAAACCCTGTCTCTACTAAAAATACAAAAACAATTAGCTTGGTATGGCAGTGCACGCCTGTAATCCCGGCTACTCGGGAGGCTGAGGCAGGAGAATTTCTTGAACCTGGGTGACGGAGGTTGCAGTGAGCCAAGATCGTGCCACTGCACTCCAGCCTGGCTGACACAGTGAGGCTTGGTCACCAAAAAAAAAAAAAAAAAAAAAATTCCTTTCAGTTATTGCATTTGATGAGTCTGTATTAATTTCCTAAAATATATCCACTGCATGCTTCAAACTAAATATATTGGCTTAATAACAGAAATATTTATTTAAATTACATATAGAAACCACAATGATTACACAGTGGTAAATGTGTTATCTAGGAAAATAAGCTTCAGATAGTTATATTTTTCTGTGAAAAAGATACAGATGCCAATAAAGGCTTCTAAATGCATAAAGGAGATCATGACCAGTTATTTTCTATAGCTGTTAATGAGAGAATAAGATAAAAGAGACTTAAATTATATTACAAGGACAGTAAAATAGATTTTTGCTTTATTTTTTCTTTCTCTTTGTAACAAATTACACCATCATAATCTTCTAACATTCTTTTAATCATTCATTAAACCCTTCAGCTTTGACTGAGTGCCTGAAATACACATTACTTTGCTGGCTCGGCACTGGGGGGTACAAAGGTGAGTAACAAAATGAGGTTCTATGCCTTTAAAATGCTTATAGGGGCCAGGTGCAGTGGCTCACACCTGTAATCCCAGCACTTTGGGAGGCCGAGGCAAGTGGATCATTTGAGGCCAGGTGTTCAAGACCAGCCTGGCCAACATGGTGAAAATCTATCTCTAGTAAAAACACAAAAATTAGTGGGACATGGTGGCATGAACCTGCAATCCCAGCTACTCATGAAGCTGAGGCTGAGAATCTCTTGAACCCGGGAAGCAGAGGTTGCAGTGAGCTGAGATCACACCACTGCACTACAGCCTGGGCAACAGAGCGAGACTCTGTCTCAAAAAATAAATGAATAAATAAGTAAAATAGAAACTAAAATAAAGTGCTTATAGGATCTTCAACCACAATTTTTCTTGTTCCCTGATAGTAAACCTAATAGAGAATTCAGGATTTATCTTACACTTGAAATTTTGTTACTGATTACTGAAAAATTATCTACAAGCACGCAACTACGAGTTTTACAGAAACCTGGTCTCAGGAGTTATGAACCAAAGATTCACCAGTGGATTCCGCAGGGTTTTCAGATCCCCTGAAATCATGTGCTAGGTGCTGACTGCATTTTTCTGGAGAGGCTATAATGGTTTTCATTCATCTGATTCCTCTCAAATAGTAAAAATCGCCAATGGAATGGAGCCACACATCCCGTAGCAGAAAATTCTAAAAAACCAGGAAAAAGATGAAACATGGTACCATGTACCTGCTCAGCCTCTACAGATCCTGCTTCTGGAAGTTGAAACAAATTCTTAAAACTTGCACAACTTTTTTTCTAGTGTTTGAATGACCTCTAGTGGCTCCTTAAATTATCACAGCCAATTGCTCACAGCAGGAATTAGGTTGATGCAAAAGAAATTCACAGATTTTGCCATTAAAAGTAATGAACTAAAGAACTAAAAGGTGTGGAGAAATAACAAAATTAAGATGGCATCACAAAGGAGCACCTGGCTCAATTTCAAGTTATTATATAAGCTCCCTACTATCCAACCAAATGTAGTTCACAATACAGTGTGTGTAATTCAAAACAGTCCACCAGATAGTTCAGTACACACCATTTTTTAAAATGAAATAAGTATGATTTTCCCTAAGTTCTTGCATTTCAAATTAATAAAGCATCAGCAAACACCCATGAAGAGAACGGTACCGGAATCAAAGATACAAGAACCTCGGGAATTAACACCCACCCTTTCCTCTCAGTTGAGGCAGGACCAGGAATAATAAAATACAACGTTGACAAAGTACAACAACTGGAGTAGGAGAAATACTTTGAGAATACAAACTGGCCACAGAACTCAACCTGAGTGAGCACAAGTAACAAATATGGCTCAGGAACTCCTGGGCCAAACTCTCCAAGTGGGAGTGCAGCAGCCGCAACAGCAAGTACCAGTAGAACGAGGGCAGCACATCACCCAGGGTGACCAGCAGGTCCTAGGTTACTTCACATGCCCTCTGCCCAGTCCCTTGAGAATTCCTGCAGCAGCAAAACATACCATTTTCCAGGCACTGCTACAGGGAGTCCCAAGCATACTGATACACTTTCATTCACTTATTTCAAAATATTTGTCAGTATCTAGATATACACAAGACACTGTCTAGGCACCGGGGTGGAGTGTTGAACAAGACAATTCACAATCCCTGTTCCAATGGAGCTTGTAGTCTACTGTGGAAAGAGAAATAAATACATAAAATGCCAGGTGGTGATATATGCTGTGAAAAAGATCAAGTAGAACAACGGGGTTTGGAAATTACAGGGTGCCCATAGTGTTCTTTTCTATAAGTTGGTCATCTCAATTCAGACTAGCCAATCTTGAAGCGCTCAATAGCTACAGTGGCTGGTGGCTACTATACTAGATAGCGCAACAAATCTGAAACTATCATTCATGCCTTTTTAGTTCATAATTTTTATCCTCTTTCTTTCTGAATCCTAAGAGAATTCATCCAACTGATCTTCAAATTCACTAACTCAGCTTCCTAAAGTATCCATACTCTACTGCAACTACTGAATCATTTAATTCAACAGTCATATTTTACATATTCAGAGGCTCTTTCTTCTCAGCTCCTGAGCAACAAATGCCTGCTCTGACGATGCAGGAATATCCTCTAAAATCTTGGGACTTTGTCTTGGACTTTATGTTCTCTCCCATCTCCTACAGCTACTCCATCTCACTGGAGACCTTTTGCTCTGAGCCATCAGAAGGAACCCCCATTTTTAAGATCCTAAGCCTTCTCATCTTCCTGGTAATACTGCCCTATATGCTCAATCTTTTAGATAAAAATCTACTCGACACATCTCTGAGAACCAAGTTGGGTACCATCAGTAATCACACAGGTCACAATTCATTTATTTTAGGCCCCCCAAAAAAGGAAAAAATTAGACTTAGTGGCATTTTACTAGTAGCTCAGAGATCCAACAGTTTGCAGGAAATAGAGATGGAATTGTAAGCAAGGGAAATACAGTGAAATTATATTAATCTCCACCCAGACACTATAAGGACAGCTGGGATACTATCCCAGCAATTGGCTACTGCAGTGAACGGCACAGAGAGGAAAGTTTCCAATTCCTCTTAAGGCTCCAAATACCAATTGGCTACTATAGTGGACAACACAGACACAGAAAATGTTCCAATTCCTCTTAAAGCCCCAAATACCACACAACCAGCTTCAGCTCTACAAAATACCCTCTCCTTACCCCCTTTTAACCTCCTTCAGGACCTCTTGCTATTTCCCCTAAAAAGTCTTGGTTCTTTTCACCTACACTGACTCTTGAGCCTCTCCCAATTCAAGGGATAAAACTCTATTACCAATTAAGTGTAATACACATTAACAGAATAGGTAGAAAGTAATCTTTCATACGAAAACACTGAAAGCCAGAAGAATTTGAATTTTGAATTATAAGCTATGATTTAATTAGGAAATACATTAGCTGTAACAAAATGTTGGACAGACTACAAGAAAACGGGAAATGAACAAGTCTTATTCAAAAACAAATGAAATAATGATGAGTAGGGTTCACGAGCCTTGTTAACTCTGCTGTGCCATTTTAATGATGGACTACATTGTAAATGAGCCGCTATGTTTAAGCCTAAAGGTCTATTGAGGTGATAGTTTTCGAACAATTTCCACAATCCCACAAAGAAAAATCAAGTGAAGGTCAAGGAAAGCCGCATGTTCTAAATTACGGAATCAACAACAGTATTTCTTGTCATTCATCACATTTCAGTCATAAAAGACATTACCTCAACAACAGGTGTATTTTCCTGGAGCTCAGTTGTGTGAAAAGCCAGTAAACCAACCACCCAAGCAACGTTGGCCCATCTGTAAACGGAGAGAAAACAGGCTCTGAAGAGTAGGTACTGAGGAAACTAACCCCAGCTAGTTACATAATGCAACGAAGAGCATTAGATGTAAGACTGTGAAACAAAAATTGAATGTGACAGGTCAGGCCCACACTCCCCATTCTCTGGGCATCTACACAGCCCAGAGAATCTCTCCCTCATATACACAGGGAGACACGAACTGTAATGACTGCGGCAATTCTGCAATAGCAACAAAATTTAAACAAGTTATGGTGTAATAGTAAAAGGAAAAATAAAATTTTTTAAAAGCCTTAACCAGAGAAAAGAGCAAAACAGTAATTAATCATTTTATTTCTGAGTACAGAGGCATTTGGCTAAAGGTCTCTTTTCTACTTGTTAGTAGATCAGTGAGTTTCTATGTAAGTGCTAAATATCTGAACAATAACATACCTGTATGCGTTAAGTTTAAAAGAAACTTTTACAATTAAAAGTGTTTAAAATATTGTACTATTTCCATAAACACTAGTCTTAATGAGGTGTTCCTTTAGTGTCCAGCAGAAAACTGAATTTGATAAATCACTATTAATAAATCACAGTGTGATTTGAAAAGGTATTTCATGCAGAAAAATTCGTTTTGAAGAGATTTTTTCTAATTGAAACAAATGGTGAGTTGATGAGAACTGCACTCATTGAGTGATGTCTGCATGTTGTCTGGGGTAATCAGTATGTACCTTAGCTTTTATTTTTTACCTTCTTAAAGTAAACCCATGTGTGGCCAGGCATGGTGGCTCACGCCTGTAATCCCAGCACTTTGGGAAGCCGAGGCAGGCGGATCACAAGGTCAGGAGATCAAGACCATCCTGGCTAACCCAGTGAAATCCTGTCTCTACGAAAAATACAAAAAACTTAGCTGGGTGTGGTGGCAAGCACCTGTAGTCCCAGCTACTCGGGAGGCTGAGGCAGGAGAATGACGTGAACCTGGGAGGTGGCGCTTGCAGTGAGCCGAGATCACGTCAGTGCACTCCAGCCTGGGTGACAAAGTGAGACTCTGTCTCAAAATAAATAAATAAATAAATAAATAAATAAATAAACCTATGTGGCACCCATGGGGGAAAACAAATCAGACTCAGAGAAGTACTACCGGGAAAAGGTCTGCTTTATCACAACTCTAACATACGGAAATAATTCTTAGAAATTTCAACACTTATTAAATTGCCCATTAAAATTTCTTAACATATACAAATTAAAGAAGTCCTAGGCAATTGGAGAGTTAGCATCCCACCTCCAAATAAAAAGATTATAGGTTAAAAGTAATCATTTTGAAAAATATCTGTAGGATAATTGGAAAAGCCATCCTACCACCACAACCCCCCAAGTAGCTGGGACTACAGGCGTGCACCACCACGCTCAGCTAATTTTTTTACTTTTTGTAGAGATGGGGTCTTGTTATGATGCCCAGGCTGGCCTTGAACTCCTAACAAACAATCCTCCTATCTCAGCCTCCCAAACTGCTGAGATTACAGGCCTGAGCCACTGCACCTGCCTATCTCTTTCCAAAGACAAGCTAAAAATACTTTTGAAACACTGAACCATTTTTCAATCTATAAAAGTAAATAATGGCTACCAGATTTAATCAACTAAAATAAAAATCTAACAACATGTCAGTTATTTTCCCTAATATGACCAAAACAATTATTATTAGAATAAGAGAAAACACACTACCTAAAAACCCTATACTTTTAAAATAGAAACTTTAAATAGCTTATGAATAGTCACTTTTTACCAAAATCCTAAATACAAGTACCACATGCCCCATAGACAACACCCTCACAGTACAGGTTCCTTCTCAAAATTCAGGTTTTCTCAGGTCACCACTCCAGGTGCCCCCAGTGACTTGACACTGTACCTCAGAACCAACCCATCTCCATGACGGCATCTAAGGCACCACTGTCTACCAAACCTTCGTGCACTGACAAATGTCCCACATCTGCACTGTTCAATCCAGTATCCACTAGACACATGACTATCAAGCACATAATATATGACACATGCAAGTGAGGAACAACAAATTTTATTCAAATTAATTTTTTTTTTTTTTTTGGGAGACAGGGTCATCCAAGCTAGAGAGCAGTGGCGCAGTCTCCGCTCACTGCAATGCCTCCCGGGCTCAAGTAATCCTCCCAACTCAGCCTCCCAAATAGCCGGGACTATAGGTGTGTGTCACCACACCTGGCTAATTTTTGTATTTTTAGTAAAAACGGGGTTTCGTCATGTTGTCCAGGCTGGTCTTGAGCTCCTGAGCTCAACTGATCTGCCCACCTCAGCCTCCCAAAGTGCTGGGATTACAGGCGTTAGCTACTGCATCTCGCCTTAACTTTTCTTTTAAAAATTACTCCCACAGTTGAGGGTGAGGGAGACAGTGCCCTGGGGTAATTACTCATCTTTCATGTGCCTAGTCCTGGTTACCTCATAAGTAGGACCGATAACAATACATACCGCATGTTGTTAAAAGAATCAAAGGAGATAATCCATGTGCAGAAAGTACCATTGTGTCTGACAATACATGCTGAATGAGTAAGCTACTATTAATTTAATTAATTTAAATGACCCCCATGAAGTGAATGGCTACCACATTAGAGCAGAACTAAAATTTTGCAGTTACTTATTCATTCGTTGACTGGTTTATTGTCTGTCTCCCCGACCAGCCCAGAAGATCCATGAAGGCAGGGCTGTATCCCGATCGCCACTGTGACACCTAGACAGTGCTTGGAGCGCACTCGGGCATCTAAAAATGTTGGTTGAACAAATATATCAACATCAAAAGCAAAATAAACACATTAGTAGGAAAGGAGTGCATAAAAGTATGGCTGTCCAAGGCAAACAAAATGCAAACAGGATTGCCAATGTAAATCTCAGCAGAATTCAAGGCTAAACTCTTCAGAAAAAGATTCCCTTTAAACTAAACACCATATGACCTACAAAAGATCTAAGGTGTGAATCTTTATACACCAAATAACAAAGCACGCAAAGTAAACCCATGGTAGTGGTAAACTTCAATTTTCTTCTCTTCCAAGCACAGAGAGAAGGCAATAATGAATATATTAATCAATACATTCATACATTCAAGCATCCTAAATAAAACTAATGAAGTCAAAGTAACAGACGTATCTATCAAACTCTACACCCTACAAACAGTGACCACCCTTACTCAGTGGGAGGCTGCATAGGATGGTGTCTAACACTCTAGAATTCAAAGTCTTGGACCTAGCTCTGGCCCAACATTGGAGGTGAGGGAGACAGTACCCTGGGATAATTACTCATCTTTCATGAGCCTGGTTTCATGTTGTTCTAAGAATCAGGAGATAATCCACATGCAGAAATTACCACTGTGTCCTGACAATTTGTGCTGACTGAGCAAGCTACTATTACTACATTATTATCAATACTTGACTACATTCATGGCATACATTTAAAATGATTTTATATTAGACCACAAAGATAAATCTTTAGAATTCCCTAGGGCAGAAATTATAAAGGACTCATTTTGATATAGTAAAAGGAGAAAAGTAAAAATAGCAAATATAACCCAAAAAGCCTAAACACTTGTGGAGTTAAAAGCACTTCTCCTGGGCATGGTGGCTCATGCCTGTAATCCCAGCACTTTGGGAGACTGAGGCGGGTGGATCACTTGAGGTCAGAAGTTCAAAACCAGCCTGGCCAACATGGTGAAATGCCATCTCTACTAAAAAATACAAACATTAGCCGGGTATGGTGGTGGGCGCCTGTAATCCCACCTACTCGAGAGGCAGAGGCAGGAGAATTGTTGAACCCAGGAGGCAGAGGTTGCACTGAGCCGAGATCATGCCACTGCACTCCAGCCTGGGTAACAGAGCAAGACTCCCTCTCATAAATAAATAAATAAATAAAGCACTTCTATATACCTTATACACCATATTAAAAAGTGAAAACTTTGGCCAGGTACAGTGGCTCACACCTGTAATCCCTAGCACTTTAGGAGGACAAGATGGAATGATCACTAAGGCCAGGAGTTCAAGACCAGCCTGGCCAACAAAGTGACACTCTGTCTCTTCAAAAAAAAAAAAAAAAATTGTAATTTAGCCAGGCATGGTGGCATGTACCTGTAGTCCCATTGCAGCCTGGGGCACAAAGTGAGACCCTATTTTTTTAGAGTAAGTCTCTAAAAATAATACTAATAATAATAATAATAAAATAAGTAAATGAAAAGAAAAAATAAAAGGGAAAGGGAAAGAAAGAAAGCATCTGTAAATCAAAATCATGTAAGTAACACAGATCCAAACTTATGAGACATTCTCTGTCTTTAACGGTTGCAGACTAAACACTCGACACTCACTTTTCTGAACCCTCTAGAGTCTCTAAAATACAAGCTCTTTTTATTAAATGATAATTGGAAACAAAAAGGAGGGCTAAAAGTGGACTAGAAAGTTTGAGAAAATCTCAGATGACATGCACAAATAGAATTAAGACTGACAGAGAATCAACAAAGGAATCCCCTGTCTAAGAACCACAGGTAGACAGACGTTCCCAAGGAAGCCTCAGGGACTTGGAATAAACTAAGACAAAAACAAAGAATGAGCCACAAGACAATCATCAGATTAAACAACTGCACAAAGAAAAATTGTGTCCTTGTACAAGGAACAGTTGAGCCAATCAGATCCTGTCTCCTTTCCGTCTCCTTCCCCTGGTACACAGAATAAACCCTGCAGCCCTGGCCTCCTGGGTAAACGTGGAAAATCGTTCCTACAGTGAGCAATCCACCTTGCTCACTGGATGGATGGATGTGGGAAGCAGCGACTGTGGTCCTACAGATACTGAAGCGGGAAAGGGGTAAAATGAGGAAAGCCAGCTCCACTGCAAAGAAAAACCCACCCTGGCAATTGCAGAGGCCTCCAGCCTGCCTATCTGATCTTCAGCCAGCTGGAATCCCAAATTAAACTCAACCAGTCAACAGGCCTCACATACCACATATCAGCCCTTTCTTTAAAGGAAAGGCTATTGGAGAAAGAGACTTAGGCACGAATAAAGGAAACTCGTATTGCCAACTTCTATACCAATCAATTTAATCATTTATTCATAATATAAACGAAGAAACAGAGATCACCAGGCATTTGAGAAATAAACAGCATTAAAAAGCAGGACCATGATGAAAAACAAGTGACCTACAAGTTCAAGACATAAGAATACAATGTTTATAATCTGAATTTTGTTCCCTTTTTTTCAAAGTCCAGGTTCCAGGCTTATATTATATAATCCTAATGTTTAGCCTTAAATATTAATAACAACATTTAATTCTAAATTCTGCTCCAAGACGAGGATTTTTATAATCCTAATATTTATCCTCAAATTCAAAAGTACACACCTAATATAGGCAGCTAGGAAAAAGGACCAATCAGAGAAAAAGAAAATGAACAAAAACTTTCAAATATGATTGTTGAAATTAAAAAATTAACTGGAAATCCTAAATAATAAAATGAGTGGGGATAAATATCAAGTTTGAGAGCTCAAAGATAAAGTCAAGGAAGAGCAATAAAAGAAGAAAGTTTGCATGGACACAAAGAGGGAACAATCGACACGGGGGCCTATTTAGGGTGGAGGGTGGGAGGAGGGAGAGGATCAGAAAAAATAACAATTGGTCCTTACCAAGCTTAGTGCCTGGGTGACCAAATAATTCATACAACAAACCCCCATAACATGAGTTCACCTATATAACAAACCTGCATGTGTACCCCTGAACCTAAAATAAAAGTTTAACAAAGAGACTTTGGCAGTTCTTCAAAAGGTTCAACACAGAGTTACCATTTTATCCAGCAATCTCACCACTGTAGGAGAAATAAAAACGTATATGTTCACACAAAACCCTGTGGACAAATGTTCAGAGCACCATTATTCATAATAGCCAAATATGGAAACAACCCCAAATGTCCATCAAGACCACATAAGCAAAATGTGGAATAGCCATACAAAGATTATTCAGCTAGAAAAAGAATGAAGTACTCACACATTCCACCATACGGAGGAACCTTGAAAACATTATGCTAAATGACAGAAGCTAGACACAAAAGGCCACACACTGTATGATTCCATTTATATGAAATATCAAGAATAGCAAATCAGCTGACAAGAAGTAGATTAGTTGTTGCCAGGGGTTGGAGAAGAATGGGTACTGGGTTTCACTGGGTGAGAAAACTGTTCTGAAATTAGATAGTGGCGATGGTTGAACAGTTTTCAATATACTGACACCTACTGAACTGTACACATTAAAATGGTGAATTTTATGGTATGTGAATTATATCTCAATAAACAAGAGAAAGTGAGAAAGCAAAAGAAAATTTGAAAAAAGAGTCAAGAGACACAAACTCCCACACCCATCCTGTAGGGGTTTCAGGAACAGAAAAAGGATGAAATAGAGAGGAAGAAATCTAAGAAGTAATATGAAAGCTAAAGGAGGGGTGAAGAGGATAGGCATTGTGGCTTACACCTATAATCTCAGCACTTTGGGAGGCCAATGCAAGTGGATCACTTGAGGTCAGGGGTTCGAGACCAGCCTGGCCAACATGGTGAAAACCAATCTCTACTGAAAACACAAAAATTAACTGGGCATGGTGGCACACACCTGTAATCCCAGCTACTCAGGAGGCTGAGGCAGGAGACTCACTTGAACCTGGGAGGTAGAGGTTGCAGTGAGCCAAGATTACCCCACTGCACTCCAGCCTGGGTGACAGAGCAATACTCTATCTCAAAATAAATGGAAAGAAAAGAAGGGAAGGAAGGGATGGGAGAGGGGAAGGAAGGCATGGGAGAGGGGAAGGAAGGGGAAGAAGGGGAGGGAGGAAGGGAGAGAGGGAGGGAGGGAGGGAGGGAGGAAGGCAGGAAGGCAGGCAGGCAGAAGCAAATTAGTAAAAAGAGATGGCAGGAAGGCAGGCTGAAGCAAATTAGTAAAAGAGATTCCTAGAGACAATCTAGTAAAATTTACAGGCCTGGAATAAAAAGAAATGCTAACTCAAATAAGACACACAAAAGACGGGGTAAAAATAAAAGGTAAGGTTGACCCCCAAGTCCTACAGAGCTACAGTTAGTACAGGGAAGAGAGCTCAAACACCAAAGCATGGCACAGAGGTAAGCCACTGAGAGGCCTTGTTCAAAAGAAAGCAAAACAAAAAATCTGTCAGCCAGGCATGGTGGCTCATGCCTATAATCCCAGCACTTTGGGAGGCCAAAGCAGGTGGATCACCTGAGGTCAGGAGTTGAAGACCATCTGGCCAACATGGTGAAACCCTGTCTCTACAAAAATACAAAAATTGCCAAGCATGATGGCAGGTGCCTGTAATCCCAGCTACACGGGAGGCTGACACAGAACAATCGCTTGAACCCAGGAAGCAGAGGTTGCAGTGAGCTGAGATCGCGCCACTGCACTCCAGCCTGGGCGACAGAGCGAGACTCCGTCTCAAACAACAAAAAAACCTATCCAATGATAAAATATAATCAACCAAGAGGAGAACTACACCAAAGAAACAGGAAAACTGTGTTTTTAATTAAAAAATTAATGATGGATGAGCATTTACCTTATTCAAGTATAAAACTCTTATTTAAAAAATAGAAAAATTCTTCCTAAATTCATATCTCAAAAAGGCACTTGCCACAGTAAAAAGCGACCAGTGTAATGAGAGAAGATATTTACAATCATTTATCTGACACGGGGTTAATATCTAGAATATATAAAAAATACCTACAACTCTAAACAACATAAAACTCAATACAAAAATTGGCAAATGACTTGATTAGACCTTTCTCCAAATAGCCAACAATCAAACAAAAAGATGTTCAACATCAGTAGTCACAAAATACAAATCAAAACCATGAGATACTACTTCACACCCATCAGGATAGCTGTTAGCAAAAAACAAAAACAGAAAACACTAATGTTCGTAGCAGCATTGTTCACAATAGCCAAGAGATATAAACAAGCCAGTGCCCAACAACAGATGAAAAAATAAACAAACTGTGGTATATACATACAAAGGGATATGATTCAGCCTTAAAAAGGAATGAAATGCTGACACATGGTTAGTTACAACATGGATGAACCTTGCAAATGAAACCAGCCCAATTGTCCTATAGAACTGATGCTTACAGTCTTTTAAAATAAAGATAGAAATTGACCCTCCCAGTCTTAAAACTTGAGAAAGTTACATTTGTCTTATCTGAATTCCTTTTTTGGGAAACAAACCATAAGGCCTCCCAGATAGTTATCAAGGAACTGAAACTTACCACATCACCACATCTGAACCATAAGACACCAGACCACCTCACCCATCACAATTGCCTAACCAACTACCTGCTTCCTGTTGACCAACTCCTCTTCCTCACCCTTCCCTAACTCCTGTTTTCCCATACATGGTTACATTTCTTCCCTGCTAAATAAACCCCTGGTTTTAGTCAGTGGAGGTGACAAATTTGAGATTGATCTCCCATCTCCTTAGCTGCAGTACCCAGTTGAAGCCTTCTTCCCTAGCAACACTCATCGTCTCTGTGATTGGCTTTCTGAGCTGTGAGCAACAGGACCTAGACCAAACCCCTTGATGTTTCGGTAGCAATATGAGGTGCTCACCATAAGCAAATTCACCAGGATAGAATAAGTAGAGTATAGCTCACCAGGACTGGGGAAGGGAAAGGGGAAGTTACCGTTTAATGGGTAAAGAGCTTCTGTTTAAGATGACGAAAAAGTTCTGGAAATGAATAGTGGTGATGGTTATACAACAATGGGAATGAACTAAATGCCACTGTACACATAAAAATGGCTGAAATGGAACATTTTAAATTATGCATAATATACAATTAACACATTTTTAAAATTACACTATTACAATATTACTATATATGAATTATACCTCATAAAGTTGATTGGCAAGGATAGAAGGATACACAATTTGATAAATACTCAATGTTGGAAGTTCTAACAAAAGGCATTTTAAACACATTGGGATTATATATTGATACAATTTATTTAAGAGTATTTCAGCAATTTTTTAGAAGTCACAAAGATATTTACTGCCTTCTACCCATTTGTTCTAATTTGTTCTAATTCTATGAATCTTCCCTAAAGAGAAAAAGAAAATGTGGGCACAAAGATTTAATCTCAAATATGTTCATCAAAATGTTGTTTCCAACATTATAATACTATCCAAAATTAGTAAACAAAATGATCAGATATTCACAACATATAAAAAGTTTACCTTATTATGTATTTTATTTTAAAATGTTAATAACATTTAAAATACATAATATATATGTTACAGGGGAAAACAAACTTATAAAATTATATCACGTGATTCTAATTTTTTTATATGCAAAACAAAACTAAGGAATAAATATGCCTACTTCAAAAATAGTTATCTCACAGACTACGTTAAGGACCCTTTATCATATGCTATCAAGGTAATATAACCTGAGATCAGAGAAAACCTCACTAGAAGTGGCTTTGAATGGAGAAAGAGAATAAAAGAAGATTCCTACCAGAGAACTTGTCTACCTCAGTATCATTTTATTCAAATTAAAACAGTTTTACAATCAAACTTCAATTCTTAAAAGCAGAGGAAAAATAGTATGTGTGAATTTTGGTATCCAAGGGGATACTAGAACCAATCTCCGGGCTGATACAGAGGGATGACTGTACTTGGAAATGATTTGGAATGTCTGTTTGAAAATGTCAACAGGGGGCACCCCATTCAAGGGTATAACATGTTTTAAATAAAAGTGTTTAAATAAATATTTCATTGATTCATTTTTAATGAGCATACCATAAGCCTTCTCAAAGTATTAAATGCTCAAAGTATTAAATCCTACTTTCTATTACCAGATTTTACTTTGGGAGAGTAACATTACAAGATGTATAATAAGAATTACCCTTATTATTAAGCATTTTCTAAACTCCTATTGTTTCACCCATATTTTACCAGCATCGAAGAATAATTATTATACCACTGCCACAATTCACAAAATCCTTTCACCTCCGTTTTTTCATGTGCTTTTCCTAACAGTCATGAGATAAGCAAGCTTCATGATAATAACTGCAACTTCTACAACCCCAACCCCATTGTAAGTGAAATACCCACTAAGAATCAGGCACTATACAAGGTATCACATATTTACCTCATTCACAGTGGAATAATTACAAAAATCTATGAAGTAGTTATCTCATCTCCATCGAAATTTTACAGATGAGGAAACTTCGACTCAGCAATTAAAGTAATTGGCCCAGAACACAGATCTTTGATCCACACCCAGGTCTGTCTGAATCCTAAACCTATGTCATTTCCTTGTTCCACTCACCCTCCCCAGGAAACAGAGAATGAGAAAAAGATAATCATTTGGCCAAGTCTTACAGGCAACAGGAACCCAGAGCCTTCTAACACTTGATCTACGGTGCTTTCCACCTGGTATGCTGCTCCTATAAAAAGTAAGGACACTTCCTTCCATTGGGAGTTTATAAATCATAATCTCATTAGCTTATAAATAAAATCATAGGGAAGCTACGTGCTACATGAGGGACAGATAAGGGTGGCCAAGGGAAACTTTGAGGAAGTATAACTAAATTAATACACAGGGATCAGGGTTGAAGTATTTTATAACCAATACTCAAAACAGTAACAGTTAGCCTGGCGCAGTGGCTCACTCCTGTAATCCTAACACTTTGGGAGTCAGAGATGGGAGAATCACTTGAGCCCAGGAGTTGGAAACCAGCCTGGGCAACATAGAGAGAGACCTTGTCTCTATGAAAATAAAAAAACAAGAACAGTTAATAAAGTTTCCAGGAGTAGCTTAGATAATCCCAGAATTGTATATTAGGAGAAGGGTTATTTTTAAATATTCTAAAATTTATAATTGGAATGCCCATAAAAATTGCCTATGAGTAGAGTCATCATTATGTCAGAAAAATTTATGATAATTATTTAGGACTGTGCTTTTGATAAGTATGTATGCTATAACTACTTAATAAAGTCATGAAAAATAATTTTTAAAATATAAATGTTACTTACATATCCCAGTTTGGAGCTATCCGCAAATACTGGATTAGCAATTAGAACTAGAATAAAAAATTTAAATATAAAAAAAGAAAAAATTAAAATATTTAACTCACACAACACAGAAAGTGACAGCAAAGTTAAAAACTCAGATCTTTATAAAAAGGAAATTTATGCTGTATACCAAAAATGATATTTACTAAATTACAAAGGCACTTGTATATGAATAAGATTAAAATAGAAACTAAGAACAGTACTTTTAGTTTCTCCTACCACTTTATATTCTCTAAATGACTGCCCTTACCTGATAGACACACACCAACTATCGAAAAAAGTAACCTTAATACTATCCTGGGAGCAAATGAACTTAAATTTTTTCAAGCCAATTCCCAAATGAGGGCCCACTACAGAAAACACCTCTGAACCACCGTAATTCCTTTCTGAGGATGACTCCAAAAACTCTGCCAATTGATGCTAAACATGAGCCCAAAGAAACAAAAAACAAAAAAACGCTGACAAATTCCCATAAGCTTACCAATGGACCAAGATTGTCCAAAACGTAATATTCCCAGAGGATAGGAAAAAAATGTCTTAGGGGGTTGATGTCTGCCTTCAATGTCACAGCAGAAACCTTGCAGTTTACCAGATGACCCAGTAAAGGAACCAACACCCACAACCCATTCCACATGGGCAGTTCATTCCAGTCACTGATGAGAAGGGAAAAGGTCTTATGATATCACGTTTTGTTTTGTTTTGTTTTGAGATGGAGTTTCGCTCTTTTTGCCCAGGCTGGAGTGCAATGCCGCAATCTCGGCTCACTGCAACCTCTGGCTCCCAGGTTCAAGTGATTCTCCTGCCTCAGCCTCGCCAGTAGTTAGGATTACACGAGTGCACCACCACGCCCGGCTAATTTTGTATTTTTAGTAGAGATGGGGTTTCACCACGTTGGCCAGGCTGGTTTCAAACTGCTGACCTCAGGTGATCCACCCGCCTCAGCCTCCCAAAGTGCTGGGATTACAGGCATGAGCCACTGCGCCTGGGCTAATTTCACATATTTTTTTTTTTTTTTGAGACGGAGTCTCGCTGTCGCCCAGGCTGGAGTGCAGTGGCACAATCTCAGCTCACTGCAGGCTCCGCGCCCCTGGGGTTCACGCCATTTTCCTGCCTCAGCCTATATATTTTTTTAAAATCTTACAAGTTAACATAAAATGGAAATCTAAGTATTACAAACAACAACAACAGAAAGTTCAAAATCACCATCTACTCTCATCTACTTTAAGACCTAAGGATTAAGCAGACGATAATTTGCATAAACCTAAAATCATGATAAATCAGTTTTTTCATGGTAGTTAAATCAAATTGCTATTTTAGCACTTGTTTGAGCCTCTATAAAAACATACATTTAAATGCATAAGTCATGTCACAGAGGCCTACCAGCGGGGAAAGGAGAAGCCTGGTGGCCACCTCCTGGTGACCAGCCACCATGCACAAATAGCAAAGGAGATTAAACTTGGCTCAGGAGGTCCCCGAGCTCTTCTCACTGGAGTCGATCTGCGAGCACACTTGTTACAAAAAGTCATTCCAATCTTGGTCTTTCAGAAATTATAACTTATCCACTGCCAAGGAAAGAAAATAACAGAAGTATGATGATGAGAAAAACAACTGCTGGAAACATTACATGAGAAACACAGAATTACGACAACTAAGATGAGGATAAAGAAAACATTACACTGTCAAAATCAAAAATACTCCAAAGATGACACTACTTCTATTTGTCCTTCTATATTTCCCATCTCTTTATCTACACATGGAAACTTTTTAACCACTTCAATGGAAAACTATGCTTTCAAATAAAGCAGATGTCTAAAGCAGAATTGTCCCACAACCTAGACTATAACAAAATGTAAAGTTGAATACGACTGAAGTAAAAGACAAAAGAGCCTTTGTATAAATAAATCAACTCTCAAATATTGAGAAAAGCACAAATCCCAGTTATTAAAAAGTTCCAATAAAATCACTGTAAAAAAATAACGAGGATAACATGATAGCTAAAATCACCTGAAATTTTAGCTCCAAATCCCTATACAAAAAAAGGGCAAAATCTAGGAAATGTGATACCCCCTAAAATTAACATATTTTTGGCTGATCTCAATCTTTAGACAAAAGAAATTGTAAATATAATTTCCTAAATAAACCAAAGAAGAAAAAATAAATAGTATTTCCAGGTAATAATTCTCTAGGTTTGCATAAATAGACCTACTTGGCACTGAAAGCACTATTAATATTTTGCTTCACTTTGGTCTTTCAAAAACATCCTTCACAGGTTTTTTTGGTTGTTTTTATCGGTAATTAGGTTGACTGATACAAACCCTTAGCTAGTTTATTTAAACCTAAATATATTTTAAATTTATTTCAAATCATAGATTCTAATCTAGCCACAATGAATAATTTTCCCCAAATTGAGTTTAACAGCTTAAAATATAATTTGTTAAAAAAAAAAGTTTAAGGTATGTAAAAATTTCTGACTTTCACCCTAAATAAGATTTTCATTAGCTCAACAGAAATGTAATAATTATCCCTTAAGTATCTCCACTCCCACACCATCTCCACAGTCATGAACCACCTAGTCCCGTTCTCAAATGTCCTGGTCCCGCCAATAGAATCCCAATCCTTCCTTGTTGTCCCCAACCCTGTGCACCTACACCTGCCATAAATGGTGGAAATTCAACCAGCTCTATGAACGGAAGGGAGGAGGCCCCCCACCCACTCTACAGGAAAACTTGCCCAGATCTACAGGAACCTCCCCACACACAAGAGGACAGGGCAGCCCAGACTCATGTCAACAGCTGGCACAAATGAATTACAGATTACTTACAATTCACATAACACTGACCCAAGAATATAACCAATTGTCAAGACAAAATAAATTTAGTTATTCACATACAAATATTCCATTTGTGAATAAATTTCATATTCGTATCTGTATACAAAGTCTACATGTTCGATAAGTCCTTTATGATCCTACCTGAAAATGCTGGTAGATGCAATATTTTTGGATCAAATTTAACCGATGGTGGTTGTTTCATTATCTGTGGTTAAAAAAAATAAAACCTTTTGAGACAATTTTTGAGATTGATATGTCTCCTTATATGTCCCTTATATCAGATAATAAATCAATGAGGACAAAAAAAGAATGTGTAAAATTTGTTACCAAAAACAATAAGAACGATGCCTTTTCAGATTAAAACATACAAATATAGATAATTTATTTTAAAAAATCATTTCAATTGATATCTGTAATAAAATAAAGCTTCAAAGAAAAAATTCACCCCTATCTTGGCTTACTCTTTAGATAATTTACCTCTAATTAGAAATTCAGTCATTCAACAAATATCTATTGGGTACCGTGCCAAGGTAAGGCTCTATGCCAAGTGCTAAGGGGGATACAAAAATATAAAAGACACAATCCTATTTTCAGAGAGCTGACATTCTGGTTGGGAAGATGAGACAAACATTTGATAAACAACAAAATATTTCACAATTCAAAAGAGGCAGGACATAACTACAGACAAAACCCTGGACAGAAAGAATTTTTTTTTTTTGTAAATAGTAGTTTAGAGAATACAGCAAGCACTTTACTTGATACAGTTGGCACTGGGTTTACAGAAGAGGTATAAGGTGGGTTGAGGTCTTGAAGGATGGCTGGAACTTTATGGTTATATCAGAGAAGACTCCATTCAAGGAAGCCATAATAGCATGAATTGGAAAGTGCACAATTTGAGAAATGTGAAGAAACCATGTAGTTGGATCCATGAGCTTCGGACAGCCAGATACTGCATCTTGAGACTTTTAATTAAAAATTCAACCATCATTTCTATACCTAACTTCTGCAAAACTTCTATATGTAATATTTCTTAAAACCTTTACTAATTAAGTAACCAGCATTACTGTATTTACTGCAGTATTCTTACTAAAATGCATATTCCCATTCTAATCTCATAATCCAAATTCATAATCTCATTCTAATCATGAGAAACCCTTAGACAAACCTAAATTAAGGGACATTCTTCAAAACACCCAACCAGTTACTCTTCAAAGTGTCAAGGACTTGAGTCATACGTTTTATAACATGTATTACAAAAACATACAAAGGCCAGGTGCCGTGGCTCACGCCTGTACGCCCAGCACTTTGGCAGGCCTAGGCAGGCGGATCATGAGGTCAGGAGTTCAAGACCAGCCTGGCCAACATGATAAAATCCCGTCTCTACTAAAACTACAAAACTTAGCCAGGCGCAGTGGCAGGCCCCTGTAATCCTAGCTACTCAGGAGGCTGAGGCAGGAGAATAGCTTGAACCCGGTCGGCAGAGGTTGCAGTGAGCTGAGATCACACCACTACATTCCAACCTGGGTGACAGAGTGAGACTTCATCTCAAAAAAAAAAAAAAAAGAAAACTGTCAAGGTCATGAAAGGCAAGAAAAGTCTGAGAAATTCTGACAAAACCATGAAAGACTAGGACAGATTATATGAGACTAAGGGGGCATAACAACAAACTGTAATGTGGCATCCTGGAAGAAAACAAAAAGAATATTAGAGGCAACTGGTAAAATTCAAATAAATTTGATAGTTTAGTTAACAGCACTATTCTCATGTTTTATTTTTCCTTTTACAGAAAGAATGTAAAAGGAGCAATCAGGGTACTGCACACCATCATTACACAGACATATGAATCAAGTATCATGCAACTCCAACTACCACATTCTACTGCCCTCCAATAGCAGCAATTAGATTCAAAGCCTTAATTTCTATCCCAAGCAACAACCGAAATCACTTAATTTCTGGTTAGAAACTTCAAGTGTCAAATAACCCAACTCAGCTAAGAAAAAGCATTCATTTCTTACTTTTGACTTGCCAATTAAAGGTCAGCTTAAGCATTACTTTTATATTAGAGCTTTTCTTTAAACTCTTTTAATAATACAAGGCAGGGATAGGCACCATTGCAGACTGGAAAAAGAACAAGATTTGGAGACAGGCTTGAGTTTGCTCCATCACTTACTAAATGGCTTTAGGCTCTGAAAACGGACTTCTATGATGAATATTACTGTTATCTATATAAAATATTTAGTCAGTATCTAGTACATAATACTAATTAATGGTATTATAAAAAATAAGCTATTGGCAAACAAGTTGGAATCTGAGTATTTGAGATATACCTGCTGGCCAACTGCTACCCACCTGACTCCTGAATGTAATTTGTTCAATATTTTTGGCAAGTAAACAAAAACTAATTATTCTATAACACATTCCTAATCCCTTGGCTGCTGCTGTGTTCCATGCAAATAATTACTGGTACAACAGAAGCTCAATTATTTAACACCATTTATATTATGAAATCAACTATAGTAAACAATTACAAAAGAAGTAAAATAGTTATGAACAAAGGCTCCATATACATTTATGTTTGAATCACGCCCAGGACACATTCAACAAACATGAACCCTCTCAATTCATCTGAGTTATTAATAAAGAATTCACAAAGTTTCCCAGAGACATTCACATTTTTTCAATTATGAAAACGGAAAAAAATACAACCACCTTAGAAACTTTTGGGTGCATTTAGCTAAAGAAAATTTTGGAAGCCAATATTATACATCTAAAGTGTCATAAGTAGCTTTATTCTAGGGCTGCAGTCTAGTCACTTTAAAAATGTGTCCAGCCAGGCACCGTGGCTCACGTCTGTAATCCCAGTATTTTGGGAGGCTGAGGAGGGCGGATTGCTTGAGGCCAGGAGTTCAAACGAGCCTGGCCAACATGGTGAAATCCCATCTCTACTAAAAATACAAAAATTAGCTGGGTGTGGTGGTGCATGCCTGTAATCCCAACTACTCAGGAGGCTGAGGCACAAGAATCACTTGAACATCGGAGGTGGATGTTGTAGTGAGCCAAGATCATGCCACTGTACTCCAGCCTGGGAGACAGAGCGAGACTCCGTCTCAAAAAATAAAAATAAAAAAATGCGTCAATGGTCGCAGAAGGCACAGTCAGAATATATGGAACAATGCAAATTTATCACATCTGTAAGAAAATTATGGCCAGGCATGGTGGCTCATACCTGTAATCCCAGCACTTTGGAAGACCAAGGCAGGTTGATCAGCTGATGTCAGGAGTTCAAGACCAGCCTGGCCAACGTGGTGAAACCCCGTCTCTACTAAAAATGCAAAAGAAAATTAGCCAGGTGTGGTGGTGGCCACCTATAATCCCAGCTACCTGGGAGGCTGAGGCAGGAAAATCGCTTGAACCTGAGAGGTGGTGGCTGCAGTGAGCCGAGATTGTGCCATTGCACTCTAGCCTGGGCAACAAGAGCAAAACTCTGTCTCAAAAAAAAAAAAAAGAGACAATTATGAATAGATACTCTATGGACTACAGACTAATGTTGTCTTTATATATTTTTAAAAGCATCATATTTTTTATAATCTAAACTTAGAAATCAATCTATTTTCAATTTTGCAAATGGAATTTGTTGAATTGTGGCTGAGAAAGTAGGGTCAAAGAAAAGTGGTGTAAAAATAATACGATTATTATTGTTGAACTTTTAAATTTTTTTATTAAAAAATTCATTGATTAGGCAAGCTCAAACTAAAAATAGAACAAGACTGTTTAACCTCTGTTTTGGGAGCTTGGAGGAGGAGAAGAAGGAATCAGTATGTTCATTCCTTGGGGAAAATGTAATGCTAATAAGCAAAGGCAGGTAGAACTACAACTCCCATTTGCCATTTGGAAAAAGTCCTCCAAACTGCAAAGGCTTTTAAATATTCAAAAAAAAAAAAACTGAACTATGTTACTTAAAAAAGTTTAAGTCTCCAACCTGTGAACACTGCAAAAGCTACAGACATAAGCTTCAGAGTTACTATCATCACATTTCAATGAGCCCTAGAGAACCTGTGAGGAAGTGTTTTTTCTGGAAAACCTCAAGTTGCTATTCTGTTCAACTTCTCAATAAAACAAATAAGAACCCTTTTGGACAACAGAAAAAAGAGACAGGCTTTGGGAAGGAACTCATATAACTCAGATAATGAATCAAAAATGAAACTTAACATTGTCTGAAACCAACAAAATAAAAATCTAAAATAATCAGAGATCACTCACATTTTGACTAAATGTAAGATAAATGAGATGGAGGACCCTGGGCTTAGAGTTTCATTTCATTTTTGGTTGATCGTAAGGTTAATATGAGCCAACTTGAATTCTGTATATGCTAAAAGAGCCAATTGAATCTAAGACCCAGACTAATCTCCGGATTAGCATGATCATACTCTATTACTCTCTGAAGGCTCTGGTTGGCCACATTAGAACTTGTAGTTAATATGGAAGAAAATGGCTGGGCTGGTAAGGGATCTGGAAGCCATGGCACAAGGAACAGCGTCAACAAAGTTCTAAAGCTTTTACAAAAGGTACTTGAGTCTAAAACTTTAAAAATACCCTCATTTTCAAACCATAACCTGCAATAGTAACGCTCCCACTTGGGAATCAGACATGATCAAACATCTGGCAACCTCAATTCAACAAATGACAGCAATAAAGCCACAGCTATAGACCCAGATGTAACTATAGCAGGATTCAGGATGTCTAATCACATAAAACCTAAGCATCAATGCTATCACCAGAAGCCCAAACTACTACTCTGGGTTATCACAACTTTCAATAGATGTTGTCATAACACACACACACACACACACACACACACACACACACACTCTATATTGAAACACTGTCTATTTTAAAAGGCAGGGGGTTTTATAAAAATTCATAGGTTGGATAAAACAGAATAAAGTTCTAGTTCCTAAGGGTGGTATTATTAATATGAAATTGCACTGTGCCCAGAATAGGCACTCATTTTAATCTTTACAATCCATTTATATAAATTCTATTTGCTACCTGATACTGGTATAGAACTGCTATTGAAGAGATTACTTGGCAACAGCTCAAAGTTAAAATTGTGCTTGATGGACTTCCTTTTCTTACTTGAGAAACCATGAGAAGAATCTACTGGCATGGCAATTTACACTTAGCATTTGGTGTAAGAATCACTGGTGATTCAGATAGCTGGGCTGAAAAAATATCAAAACAAAACCAACTTCTTGCTTCTACTGCAGAGTTGACAACATATAAAAGCTTTACATAATTTCTTCTTATAAAGCTATTACTTAGAGCTAAACAAAAAATGAGAATATATTTACATCATCAGTTAAGTAGATGTTGTTTAACTAAAACACTCTGCAATTACTTAAATGAAAATAAGGAAGTCGCAGAGGCAAGACTCTTAAGAGACAGCAGTTACTTAAATCTAACAGACTAAAAGATGCATATGATATACATTAAAGAATATTAATGTAAGGAAGAAATTACAATCAAGGAGTTGAAACAAAAACTAATCTAAATATTATTTTTGCTTTTCATCATAAGTGAGTATTAACCAGTTCATTTCTTCACTCTAGAAAACAGAAGATCATGTTGACTCTTACTGGCTGAATAATTTCAGCCACAAGCAAATTAGGATAAAAAATTGAAATATACAATAATGAACTTCTAGTCCTAAGATAAAAATGAGGTTGAACTATTTTCACACGTTCAATAGCATCTAAATTACAAACAGAAAAGCATGATTAAGAAGATTAAAGACATAGGAAACTAAAAAAATTTTTGCCTACAATTTTGGGTTCATTATAGCCTATGTAATTAGCAATGTCACAACATAGTGTGTATAGTACAGTATGACTATTAAAAATAATATTTGATTTGATTAAACTAAATTTGATTACTAAGTTAGGCAATTATTATTGTAATTGTATTTTATAGAATACTATACAAATTTTAATTTAAATAAATGCATATAATAAATACCTACCAATTCTTTCTTGTTGAGGTGTAATAGAAGGTGTTCTGTTAGGTTTAAATTTATTTAGTGCTCCACTAACAAAATCTGAAATGCAAGACATAAGCAATTACAACTTCACATTTACTTGTCTTTCACCAATAATTCATATTAATATTTGCGGTCTTCTTTCAACATGTAACTTTACATCGGCTTATAAATTTTAAGTTATTTAAGAGGAATTATTTCAAAATAGGAAAAATACTAAAGGATATATTTTTATTCCATTCCCCACTTATACTTCCATATCCCTAAAATAAAAAAGACATAATACAGAAAGAAATGTAATACAAATACATATAATGTACAGTAAGGGTAGGGAAAAAGAAATCATTACATGTTAAGGCAAAAGATGAAGGTCTGAACTGAGGCAAGAACCATGGAAATGGAGGCACGAATAAAAGTATTTAAAAGATCAGTAGAGATGGAAGTAAAAACATTATATCAATAAATAATGTAAGCAAATGAATAAAAGTGTCTGGAAAATAAATAACACAGTTTGACTAAAGTTGCTCAAAGACAGGAAATAGTAGACAGGTAGACAGATTGCTAGAGCAATCCTATGAAAGACCTTTAATGCCAAGCTATAAATATCCCTATTACCAATTAAAATTTCTGAAGGGTATGTGTGTGAGATACTTGAGTAGAGTTATACATTTAAAATGTAAGCCTTGGCCAGGTGCAGTGGCTCACACCTGTAATCCTAGCATTTTGGGAGGCCAAGGCAAGCAGATTACTTGATGTCCGGAGTTAGAGACCAGCCTGGCCAACACAGTGAAACCCCCTTTCTACTACATATACAAAAATTAGCCAGGCATGGTAGCGTGCACCTGTAATCCCAGCTACTTGGGAGACTGAGGCAAGAGAATCGCTTGAACCCAGGAGGTGGAGATTGCAGTGAACCAAGATAGCATCACTATACCCCAGCCTGGGTGACAAAGACAGACTCCGTCTCAAAAAAAAAAAAAAAAAAAAGTGAGCCTTAATAGCAATATGTAGGGTAGATTCAAAGAGGAGGCATAAAGACCAAGAAGATTCTTTTTTTAATTTTTATTTTTGAGACGGAGTCTCGCTATGTTGCCCAGGCTGGAGTGCAGTGGCCCGATCTCAGCCAACGACAACCTCCGCCTCCCAGGTTCACACCATTCTCCTGCCTCAGCCTCCCAAGTAGCTGGGACTACAGGCGCCCGCCACCACGCCCAGCTAATTTTTTATATTCTTAGTAGAGACGGGGTTTCACTGTGTTAGCCAGGATGGTCTCGATCTCCTGACCTCATGATCCGCCCACCTTGGTCTCCCAGAGTGCTGGAATTACAGGCGTAAGCCATCGCACCCGGCCAAGAAGATTCTTACAGTAACAATGCAATAAACACTATGGAGATAGAATCTTATATGACACAAAAACTGTCTGATTATAGATGGTAGAGGAAGAGGTAGAACCCATGGTTAAAGCCTGAGTTATCTAGGGAATAGTGGTGCTGTTAGAAGAAAATGGAATTCACACAGAACCAGGATAAAGAGGATAAAGATGGTCATTTCAAAACGTTAAGCTTAAAGCACCAATGAAAAGCAGATGTGATGAGGTCTCCCTAGCAAGCCATTAGTAAAGTGGAACTGACATTTTCAAGATAACGGTGGTACAGATGTGGTGGTTATCTATTTAGATGTGATAACTGAAACTACAGGACTGGTGATAACTGAAACTACAGGACTGGGAAAGAGGGCAATAAAGATGATCTGCATCTGAGAAATATCTCCATTTGGGATAGGAAGTTTTATGGGTTGCATTGTGTTCTCCAAAAAACCTATGTTTAAGTCCTAACCCCCAGTTCCTATGAAGGTGACCATACTTGGAATTCGTGTCTTTACAGATGTACTCGAGTTAAAATGAGGTCATTTGGGTGGGCCCTAATCCAATGTGCCCTGTAAGAGGGAAGTTCTGACACAGAGCAACACCATGGGATGACATAGGCAGGGATTGGAGTGACGCGGCTGCAAGCCAAGGAATGCTAAGGACTGACAGCCACTACCAGGAGCCAGGAAGAGGCAAGAAAGGATTCTCCCCTGCAGGTTTCAGGCATTCTGCCAACACCTTGATTTCAGACTTCTGGCCTCCAGAACGGTGAGACAAATTTCTGTTGGTTTAAGCCACCTAGTTTGTAGTACTTTGCTACAGTAGCCCTAGGAAAATCATACATAAGTCATCAGTATTATCCTATCTACAAAGGAGGTAAAGAAGAAACACAAGTATGCAATAACAAATAAACCAAAAGATGAAAAAGGGATTGGGATAGTTAGTAACATTTGGTTCTGATATTCAAAAGATAATAAATTTCCTAAAGTAATTGGAAGAATAATGGCCTCTGATTTCTTGATCAAGGAGATTGCAAGTTTTATTACCAACTCTACCATCTTATGATGGTCTTTTGGTCTTTCTGATTCTTCCTTGATAATATTTCCTTCATTATTTAGTTCGTACTCCTAACTAACTAATCCATGTCACTAACAAGTTCAAACAATAATCTCATGCCTGGACTACTGACACACATTGCTGACCATTCTCCCTACTTCCAAGTCTCAATTCTTCAAATCAGGTAATTTTCTAAAATTTTTAAATCATATCATGCCTCACATCATAAATCTTCAATGATTCACCAACACCCAGGTTAATATTCTAATTCTTTAGCCTGGCATTAAGTTTACCATAATACCATCCTTTATCCTTATGCTGAACACTTCACTCAAGTCATACTGCGCTATCTACATTAGACATAGGTTACTTCTTCCCTACACAAACCTTTCTTCATAGCATCCTTCTCATCTAGAATAGGATACAAGTATTCTGATCCTCCACCCAATCCCACTAAATTCTATCCATTATTCAAGAAGGTTCAGTTTGGCTCCTCTTTGACAAGTCCCTGATAATTACAATCCAGGGAACTTTTCTCCTTTTAACACATTTTATGTTTGTGCTAAAGATGTAGCACTTAACATTAGATTGTACTATCGCTTTAACTTTTTACACGCATACGTCCTATCTTTCCAGCTGTGCTTTAAGCACCAAAAAGGCACATACCACAGTTCATGCTTCTTTATGTGAAATGTACTTTCGATTAAAGCAAATCACCGTACCTCCATAAAATGGGACCACCACTTACCTCCTACACGTTGTCTTCTCTTTCTCTTATATTCACCAGGAGTTTCATATTCACCTTCTTCAAAGCCTTCCAGTGATGGAGTAGCACAGAGACCATCAATACCCAACATGGCTGGTATCTTTTCCAGGATAAAGTCTGGTACACGCCCTAAATGAAAATGTTCACAAGTAAGACAATTATTATCCTTCCTCCACTCTTCCCCAAAAATGTTTAGATACTAATATACCAATTTCTTTTCTTTTTTTCTTTGCAGGAGGGGCCGGTACTGTAGGGTGGGGGTGAGGTCAGTAATATACCAACTTTCTAACAGTTGCCTTCATAGTTCCTTTGAAAGAAACAGAGATTTTCCTCATTTAAACAAATTCTGTTAATAATGCAACTACATCTTACCAATATCTGATGCATAATCGATAAGAGTCTGTACTACTGCAGCCTGTAATCGTACCTTCTTTTCTGCGTTAGAAGACATCTTTTCATGTCCTTCACTTGTCTGAAGAAGATTTGGTGCAAATATTACTGCAAGATTGCTGCTATCCATCTTATTCTCACTGGATCTTAAGTGAATAAACGCTTTATTAGATGGAGCCAAACGTGAAAATACAGAAGAGTTAAAATAACGTATGTAGTACATTTTGAAGACTTTATTATCAGTCATACACAAGTCAAAATAGTTACCCTTCATCTACATGATTGGCTTGAACACAAGAAAGAACCAGAAATATATAGCCTCTCTATATTTAAATATGTATTCTAAAAACCATGCTAATCTTAGAGTTCATACTTTGCTTTTCCACACAAATTGAACATCTTTATCTGATTTTCAGACCTACACATAAAAAGTTGGAAGTATCAGAAGGCAGCAAGTATGTCTAGAATAAGCAGGCTCACTGACAGCAGGGAGAGGGAAATTTTGAAAAGCAAAACAGAAATATTTTAAAAACCCAGTAAACAAAGGCTTTCAGTGGACAATGAATCTTATAAACACCAATGATGAACCATTAAGGCATTCATGATGATGACTTTAAGATAAGGAAATATTAAATCATTTGGTATGCTGTTTCTTAAATTAGAGTATACTCCTCATAGTAATGAAATATGGAATTTTTAAAGAAAAATTTCCATTCCAAATGAAATTGTACATATCTACAAGCATAAAACGTTAGTTGAAAAATTCAACTATTATTTGCCAAGAGTTTTAATTACCACTTACCTAAGAGAAACATTCCTGAGAAAGTTAAAGAAGTATCTTAATACATGAACTGTGTGGTCAGCCAGAAGACAGGAGAGCAACAGTATAGCTTTATTCTTTTCCTCTGTGCCTAACTGTTGAGCTTTCAAAAGTGCTTCATGCAAATCAGCTGGGAGAATGGGCTCTGGCAGTTCCCTAAAAAACTGCTTAAGAAGTCCCGCAATATCACAAGGAGGTGCAGAAGATAGGCAACCTTCACCATGATCCACTTTATTCTGAAATAAATATAATAATCTTGAGTATTTTGGCAACTTAAGAGTTTATTGCAAATAAAGAATCTTTTGTTATACTCTAATTACACTTTTCTTTAATAAATTTCTCTTAACTCTTATTTTAATATATGTCACTACTTTATTTTTAATGATTTTTGAATTTATTTTTATTTTTATAGAAATGTGGCACAGACTATGTGGCCTGGGCTGGCTTCAAACTCCCAGGCTCAAGCAATCTTCCTGCCTTAGCCTCCCAAGTAGCTGGGACTACAAGCATGTGCCACCACACTCAGCTATATCACTCCTTCTAGAAGGCTAACAACAATATAACTTAACACATTTTTTCATTTTACATAATACTTGATAGAAATAAGGACCATGAATTTAAAAGTACCCTATTAAATTTTTAAAGCACGATAGAAATAATATACCATTTCTTTTGGAAAAAAAAAAAATCTTCTGCCATGAAAAAAATGCAAATTCAATTTCTGTCAACTATTCATATTAATAGTTCTAAATATTTCAGTTTTAAAAACCAAATCAGAAAATGGCTCAAATGAAAAATTATAGTTCAACAATATGCTCACCTTTAGTGCTTTTAGGCGAATCACAGATCCTGATTTCCGAAAAAGCCCTTCGGTATGAATATGTTCTTCTAAAGATGTGCAAGCATCGACAAGAAAGCTGAAAGAGAGATTTTTTCAGGTGGCTAGACATACATATCACATCCTATTCCTCTGCTAACATACATGAGCAGGCCAAGCACTACAGACCTTTCAGAGGCTCTAAAGCCACAAATCTCTGTAGTCTTTGAGATGAAATGTTACTTTTAGTTGTCTACTTGCTTTCCAAATTCTTCTCCAAGGCCCATCTTTTTACTTATAACAACTCCAATATGCACACTAAATTTTATCTTTCTCAATCCTACTTCATTTCTGCTTCCCTTCAGAGCGTAAGACTTGTCTTTTTTTTCTGCCTCTACTTCTTCATATCTCAGTCTCTACTCACCCCTATCCAATCATTCTCATACCTCATTACTCCAAAGAAATAGCTCTCTTCAAGCTCACTAACAGCCTCTGCCTTGCCAAATCCATGGTCAGTGTGTTGTCCTCGTATTGCTCGATCTATCACCATTTGACACACCTGATCCCTTCCCTGTTCATCTCAAAAATACTTTTTCACTACTCTTTTAGTTTTCCTGCTATCTCCCTGCCTGCTCCTTCTCAAATTCCTTTTCTCACTCCTCTTATGTGAAACCTCTACATGCTGGAACAACCCAGGGCTCCGTCCAAGGCCACCTTCTTTTATCTACTATCTCTTCATGGGTGATTTTCTCATCTCCTACATCACCCAAAAACAGGGCGAGGTTTTTTTTCCTCACCCCAACATTATCCCTCAGAAAAGTAGGATATATCCCAGTCCTTACAAGCCTTTTCATATTAAGGGGAATGTGCTCAATTTCTTTATTTTGAACAATGTTCAAATAAATCTCAATGTTGGCTTTAGATACCTAGATATTGAACAGCTGGGACCCACAAATTAGAATGAATATCGGCTACCAACAATTGATACAGCTGTATTGGTGCACAGTGGCTGAATGTCAGCCTTATTTACAGAAGGTAACTGACAAAACAGTCTTTTTAATTAAATAAAAAGTAGGTCATGAAATTGCAATGAAGATTTAGTCATGATTCCTGGGAATATGACTTTGCAATTCCAGACGCCGAAAATCTGCTTTTTTTTTTTCTTTTAGTTTTTGAGACAGTGTCTCGCTCTGTCACCCAGGCTGGAGTGGTGCGATCACTGCTCACTGCAACCTTTGCCTCCTGGGCGCAAGTGATCCTCCCACCTCAGCCTCCCGACTAGCTGGGACTATAGGCACACATCACTACGCCCAGCTAATTTTTCTATTTTTTGTAGAGACAAGGTTTCACCATGTTGCCCAGGCTTGTCTTGAACTCCTGGGCTCAAGCAATCCACCACCTGGGCCTCCCTAAGTGCTGGGATAACAGGCATGAGCTCCTGTGCCCGGCCTGTTGAAAATCATTATAGGTGTTCATTATAAGAAAATCAAGCCTTTCATAGGTCATTTAAAGAGCAAAATGGTTAAGCGGTTACCTAAGAAGACAGTGAATCTACACCTATAGGATGAATGGGGGGAAACTGTCCTAAGGCAACCAGGTGTTCGATAATTGCTTTTGGATGACATGTCAATTAAAACCTAGATTATTGGTCTATAGTAGCCCAAATGAACCCTACTTTAGATGGAGGGGAAATGAATTAAGGATAAGTTTCATCATATGCATTTTTAGATTACATTCTTTTTTTTTTCTTTTTTTTTTTTTTTGAGACGGAGTCTCACTCTGTCGCCCAGGCTGGAGTGCAGTGGTACAATTTTGGCTCACTGCAAGCTCCGCCTCCTGGGTTCATGCCATTCCCCTGCCTCAGCCTCCCGAGTAGCTGGAACTACAGGTGCGTGCTACCACGCTCAGCTAATGTTTTGTATTTTTAGTAGAGACGGGGTTTCACCGTGTTAGCCAGGATGGTCTGGATCTCCTGACCTCGTAATCTGCCCGCCTCGGCCTCCCAAAGTGCTGGGATTACAGGCGTGAGCCCCCGCGCCCGGCTAAATTATATTCTTAAAACATAAACTTTCCTAGTAATTTCTGATGCAGTTAGAATAGGCCAGCACAGTGGCTCACGCCTGTAATCCTAGCACTTTGGGAGGCTGAAGCAGGTAGATCACCTGAGGTCAGGAGTTTGAGACCAGCCTGGCCAACATGGTGAAACCCCATCTCTACTAAAATACAAAAATTAGCTAAGTGTGGTGGTGGACACCTGTAATCCCAGCTACTCGGGAGGCTGAGGCAGGAGAATCACTTGAACCCAGGAGGTGAAGGTTGCGGTGAGCCGAGATCACGCCATTGCACTCCAGCCTGGGCGACAAGAGCGAAACTCTGTCTCAAAAAAAAAAAAAAAAGAATAAAAGGTTATTTATAAATAGTAAGTGGCATAGAAAAGCTAAGTGATACATAATACATTTTCACAAACACTCTAATATCTTAGCTTAAATATTCTTTTATCCAATATTTGTTTTCAAGAGACAGGGTCTCACTCTGTTGCCAATGCTGGAGTGCAGTGGCAATGAGCATAGCTCACTGCAGCCTCAAACTCCTAGGGTCAAACAATCATCTGCCTCAGCTTCAGGAGTAGCTGGGACTACAGGGGTGCACACCACCTTGCCCAGCTGATTTTTCTTTAAAATTTTTTTTATACATGGAGTCTTGCTTTGTTGCCCAGACTGGTCTCAAAATCCTGAGCTCAAGCGATCCTCCTGCCTCGGCCCTCAAAATGCTGGGATTATAGGCATGAGCTACTGTGCCTGGCCAATATTTTTTTAACAAACAAAAAAAAGGCAAAATTATTACTGAATTGGTAATTCAGTATATTACTTAATCTGAGTTGTGGCAAAAGAATTCACATAGAACTGAAAACTGACTTAACAGAACAAAAATTTTTTGTGATTTCTAACATTTACTCATTACTGGACTTTAAAATTCAATCCTGGGAATGAGTACAAATTATAAATTTAAAATATGTAAAAGTTAAAAAAATATTTTTAACATTATGAGAGATTAAATCATTTGCTGGTTTGAAACAATTATGTTTTAATCAACTATTTCTTTTAAACTCTCTAAAACCAGTTTGAAATGCTTACTCTCTTCTTCTTCATTTCCCTGGCTAGAAGGCTCACTGCAGCCTCCACCTCCTGGGCTCAAGCAATCCTCCCACCCCAGCCCCCTGAGTAGCTGGGACTACAAGTGTGCTCCGCCAAGCTAATTTTTCTATCTTTTGCGACAAGGTCTCACCATGTTGCCCAGGCTGGTCTTAAGCTCCCGGACTCAAGTGATCTGCCCACCTCGGCCTCTCAAAATGCTGGGGTTACAGGCATATGCCACTGCACCCGGCCTTCTTCATTTCAAACTCTGCTTACCTTGGAATGTGTCCATATTCTGGTACAGCAGAATGGGGCAGTGCATTAAAAGGTACTCCAAATATTTTACCCTAAAATGACAAATTCAGTTACTCTAACACAAATATTAGGCATAATATCAGTTTTCTTAAACTTTAGGCAAATTAAAGAACTCAGGAAATTAAAAAAAATCAGAAATAAATGATAAACTATCAATCAAGACAAAAATAATCATTTCAAGTGCATTTGATAACAAATAATTACTATATTAGATAGTATGCTGAGTGCTGGGAGTACAAAGATGGCCAAGATAATGTCATTCCCCTCAAATAATCTAGTAAACTCAAGTTTCCAATCTGATCATAAAGTCAATTTGGTTAGTGGTTAGTCAGTAAATTCTTAAAACAGAATTTGGTCCAAAACACTAACATTTACCCCAAAACACTATAGGTTGCTTTAATGATCTTATAAATACTTACTAGATACTTTCTTTTGGTCACCTTATAAATACTTACACAAAAGACTAAGTCAATTGAAAAGCAAAACACTAATTCCTGTCATTCATTGAGTCTTCCTAAAATTACATCAGAAGAGGTTATTTTTATACCTAATACATTTTCCACCTTCTATAGAAGAGTGCTTTTCAAACCATGCCCTGCGGTAAGCAAGGCAGGAGTGTGCAAATATTTAAGTCAAACTTCATTTAACTAGCTGGAAACCCATTTTTAAAACCTCACATTCAAATTTTAATACACTGAAGATCCCAAGAGTAAAGTTGTTTGTTGGTTAACTTGAATGTTTTTGCACACTGAAGAATAAAGAATCTGCCACTATCTTTGTGCGTGCATTCGAACCTCTTAAAAATGTGTCGCTTTCCACAGCACTGAAAGGCAAATTCAAGCCTGTAAATGTCTGGTTATTCAAACTTAAGTGGGTATGCATAATCTCACATGTTAATTTAGTTTACATGCATCTGCTCTGTGAATGCTGAAGTACTTTTTTTGATGTCACAAGTTATCAACCAAGAAGCATTTATGTTTTATGAGCATTATATTTAACTTTACAATAAAAATCACTCAGCATTGTCAATGACGCAACACAGTAACAAAATTTTACTAATTCCCTTTCAAGCACCTGGCTCCAATTAATTTACAAATATTGTAAGCTGAAAAGACAGTATAGTATGGTAAGGGCTTAAGAGAGTAGGCTCCTGAAGGCAAAAATGACAGGTGTATTTTTTTTGAGACGGAGTCTCACTTTGTGGCCCAGGCTGGAGTGCAGTGGCACAATCTCGGCTCACTGCAAGCTCCGCCTCCCGGGTTCACCCATTCTCCTGCCTCAGCTTCCCGAGTAGCTGGGACTACAGGCGCCCGCCACCACGCCCAGCTAATTTTTTTGTATTTTTAATAGAGACGTGGGGCGGGGGGGTTCACCGTGTTAGCTAGGATGGTCTCGATCTCCTGACCTCGTGATCCACCCTCCTCGGCCTCCCAAAATGCTGGGATTACAGGCGTGAGCCATCGCACCCACAAAAATGCCAGGTTTTACATCTTAACTCTTGTACTTAACAGCTGAGTGACCTGGATCAAATTAACATTCTGTTCCTCGGTATCCTCACACAGATCCTAAGTCATAGAGGTGTAGGAAGAATTAAATAAATTAAAACATACAAAACACTTGTATCAGTGTCTGACACACAGTAAGCATTCAAAAAATATTTGTTAATCTTATGATCATCATTTTAAGCTGAACTATTTAAAAAAATGTTAGTATGGGCAACCCCTTTATTGGGTAAATCAGAATTTTCTTGATACTGTGCAGCCAAACCAAATGTAAAAATAAACCAGATACTTAGGCTGGTAAGTCTACTTCTGTTATATATAACTAGAATTCAGCGTGTTTTTTTCCTTAAGTCTTATTATTTAGAATAACTGGCTTCACAAGTAACCACTAAAATTTAATCTCATAAAATGTTTTTAAAACTTAAAACTACAGTTAGCTAACAAACACCAGTCGGCTAAAGAAATTGTTTTCAAACAAACTATCCCATTAGATCTCATAACACAATGATCTTCTATATTTCTTCATTAGAATATTCTTATAAGTGTTTCTAGCTGAATTTATATGGCGTGATTACCAATTAGGAGGCAGACCAATGATATGACAACTATCATTAGATGAAGTGGCATGTGACACGCACTGTGCTAGGCCTACATAAAGAGCTTCACTTTTTAAAAATCCCTAAATAATCCAAGGAGAAATACGTTCCCACTTTATAGATATAAAACTGAAGCTTAGGGAAATCAAACAAGCAGCCCAAGTTTACAGATGTAGTAGGGGTGGAACAGCACTCAAACTCAGGTCTATCCGACTCTGAAAACAGGCAACAGTTTTTCTTGTTAAGGGGTGAAAAGGACAGGTGCAGTGGCTCACGCCTGCAATCCCACCACTTTGGGAGGCCGAGGCGGGCGGATCACGAGGGCAGGAGATCGAGACCATCCTGGCTAACACAGTGAAACCCCGTCTCTACTAAAAAATACAAAAAATTAGCCAGGTGTGGTGGCGGACGCCTGTAGTTCCAGCTACTCGGGAAGCTGAGGCAGGAGAATGGCGTGAACCCGGGAGGCGGAGCTTGCAGTGAGCCAAGATCGCGCCACTGCACTCCAGCCTGGGCGACAGAGGGAGACTCCATCTCAAAAACAAAAAAAAAAAAAAGGAAAAGAAAAGAAAAGGGGTGAAAAAAAGTCCATATACAAACTCTTCCATATACTTACAAAATCAGCTACATTTGAGATCTTGGAAAGCCAGTTTTACAATCAGAAAAAAATCACTGTAGCTTTTTAAATGTAAGTACATGTATTGCCATTAATTTGCTACCAACAAAAATAACTTCTCCAAAGTTTATCAGCGATTAAGAGACACACATATTACTTTTGTTAGTGGTTTTCTTCTCCAAGCACTTTTTTTTAGAAACCATAAACTATTAAAAGCAACGTATATTAACTTTATTAGCTTGTCTCCAAGTACTAGGAAGTACCATATAAATTAGGCACATAAATTTAAAATAAAATGCTTTACATTCAGCTTATTTTTCACAATGCAATTCCTGATTATGTGGCAGAGCTATTAAAATCTCATTCAAAATCCCTTTATTTCAACCACCAAAACATCAACAACTTCTCAATTATTCCACTCTGGCTTCTCAATTTACTCATACAAAAAAAAAAATTGCTGTCCCAAAAGTATGATATGGCCAAGCAGCAAATCTGTTTCCCAAATTAGTGAATATGCAGTCATCATTTGAAGCCTATTTCTAATGTTCTGTCATACTTCATCTACAGATTCATGTAGAAAATGCACTGGTCTCCCTTGTCCCTCTACAACCTTACTCTAAAACAAGGGTGGAGGGGTAGAGTTTTTGTCCCTCCCAACGTACTACCTGTTCCAAATACAGTAAGCTGGCAATATCCGGAGACATTTTTAATCGTCACAACTGAGAGATGCTACCAGCATCTAGTGGGTAAAAGACAGACATCCCGCTAAACATCCCACAATTCACAGAACAGCATTTCGTCTTCCCCTAACAAAAATTATCTAATCCAAAATGTCAATAGTGCTGAAGTTGGAAAATCCTGCAACTTTCTCTCAATGATCAAAAATCCTTGGGGAAAAAAAAAACAAGAATGTCACTTTTTAAATATCAGCAATCGATCATCTGAACTGAATTACACACCTAACCATTCTTTTTGATACACAGAGTGAACATTTTAGCACGATCTGCTAATAAGTGATGATAAAGGGTGTGCCCTTTCTTTTAAACCTAAATCCCTTTTCACAGAACTTACCCCTATTTCCGTGGCTGCTGTTTCATGTCTCCTGCGATCGCACTGCCCACGGACACCCTTCACCTTAATACCATAGAAGGCCCGCAGATGCTGCAACAGGGCCAACTTCACCAGCCTCTGATCCCACATTCCGGATACGTCGATAACTCTGAGGCAGGATGCAGGTCCTGACCCTCGTTCGCCACCAAGTCTTCCAATTTCCAAACGCTCTCAAATTTGAACTCCGCTCGGCTGCTTTCCGGCCCCGTCTGGCACTTCTGCGGCCCCGACCCCCGGCCACTTCCACGGCTTTTCCTTGATCCTCACTCACATCCACTTACACAGACCCGCTTCTCTTAGCCCTTTGATCCAGCCACACCTCACTCTTCCTTCACTTACAGCGACCTTCTTTCTGGTCACCCAATGCTTTCAGCTACTCACATAGACTTCTTTCTGATTCTTTCGGTTTCTCGCCTATTGCCAGATTCTCTCCACTTCCTGCTACTTCCAACGATCCCCCTTCCTCCAAACCTTACTGTCCGTCTGGTTCGCTCTGAAATGTGAAGAGAACCCTTCTCGCTCCTCCAGCCCCAGCAGGCTCAACTGGGCGCTCGCCCCCGCCCTAGCCTGGCCGCCGGACCAGCCGGCTGCTCAGGCAACTCTTCCAGTCCCGGTGCCCGCCCGGGCTGGTAGCCGCCGTCACCCCGTCTCACAGGCTGCTCGTTCCCTCCCCCATCAGCCTGCCTCTACCTCCCGGCCTGCACATCCCGGTGCGTTCACTGAAGCCAAGCCGTTAGCCTCATGCTTCCGCCCCCAGCTCCACTGCAGACACCCGGAGCCACCACGGGGGGGTCACACCCGCAGTTTCAGCCCAGGCTCAAATGGCAGCGCCAAACAGCGCTCCACATCTGATTGGTCCACTCCTCTTTTCAAAATCAGGACCCCGGAGGGTGGCCGAGAGCTGCCTGTCTAGATAGGTGCGGGCGAAGGGGTGTAACGGGCAAACCCAGCAAACATGAAAAGCAGGATGAGTTTCACTTGTTCCTTCAAGGCCAGTTTTTGGGGCGGGGGAATACTGTTTAAAGGTTTTTAAATACACCTGACCTGCGCCTCAGACCATTCACAGTATTTGAGGAAATGTAAGAGACAACTTATTCCCGTTCTTTTCCGAGCTCGGCTGTCGCTGAAGGCCCTCTTACGAAGAAACCGTTCTACGGAAGCCCAGTTGAGACAACTTGAGACAGGATTCAGAAACGCTGATTTTAGTAACCTTAACCCTCGGCCCTTGGTGGGAACTTCGGCTCTGTGGGAATTAGTCTTTGGGGGACTGATGGTGATGCTGAAATCTTATTGCGTAGGAAATTAAGTACAACAAAGAAGACCCGTCGTGAGAGGAGAGTGCGGAAGAAATGCGAAGTCTACGGGAGGTGGCAGCTGCAGAAGCTTGGTGTTGGATTTGGAGTTAGGAGACCGGGAGGAGCCCAGCTTCCGGTCCAGACGGTTATCTTGTTGACTTGCACGACTGCAAACGCCCTGAGCTGCTTTTGCAGTCTGAAACATCAGCGATCCCATCAAAATATTCTGTTTCTTGGGATATAAGAAACATCCCAAGGCGGGCTGTAGAGCGAGAGATTTGGACTCGATTTAAATACAGACAAAATAGTATGCATTTACTAACACCACATCTCACCCCCACGAAACTTGGTAAGGGCAGCAACAGAACTTTATCTGCCATATGCACTCCTGTATTCCTATTACCAAATAGTGCCAGGGACTAAGTGAATATTTGCCCAATGAATGAGTTTTAAGTAGGAAACGTTTGCATAGAATCATTTTGTTTCTTTTGGAGTTCAAATCTTCGGATATTTTACCCTTCCCAATCCAAAGAAAAGTCTCTGAGTGAAGAGATGGGAACAAAATGTAAGTTAAATATGTTGCTTTAACAACTGTTTATTGAACTCGTGCTATATACTGTAGAATGATGAGCAAAACCAGGCACAGTTTCGGCCCTGGAAGAGGAAAGGCAGGCATATATTTATCAAGTAAGTACATTAATGGCGGCACTTATCAGTTGAGAGAAGTGCGCTAAGGAAAGGAATATGATTCTATGATAGCGTATAATAAAAGATCCTTGACCGGGGAGGGGAAACGTACCAGTGATTAACTGATCTGAAGAATCAGTATAAATTGACTTTGTAGAAAGTATAGGTGGATGGCTGAGTGGGACCATCATTCAGGAAGCAAATGCCTGCAGAAAAAAACATCAATTTTAACAAGAAACAGTGTATCAGAGATGAAACTGAACCTATTCCTTGTCTTTTCTTCTTGCTTCAGACATAACTTTAAAAAATTGCTTACGCTGTCTTTAGCCACATCTCTTCCCCAAACTCCACACTGTTCTGCGTTTTAGCCGTCTCAAATTTCCTTTTCTTAAAGACCCATGACAATCTTCAGTGTTGTGTCTTTTTCTACGTCATAATCCTTTTTTAAAGCTGAGCTCTTTTTGTTTTTCGTCTCCTTTCTCTTTTTTTTTTTTTTTTTTTTTTTTTTTTTTTGTGACGGAGTCTCGCTCTGTCGCCCAGGCTGGAGTGCAGTTGCACAATTTCGGCTCACTGCAAACTCCACCTCCCACGTTCAAGCAATTCTCTGCCTCAGCCTCCCAAGCAGCTGGGATTACAGGCGTCTGCCAGCAGGCCCGGCTAATTTTTGTATGTTTAGTAGAGACGGTGTTTCACCATTTTGGCCAGGCTGGTCCTGAACTCCTGACCTCGTGATCCACCCGCCTCGGCCTCCCAAAGTGCTGGGATTACAGGTGTGAGCCACCACATCCGGCCCTTCCTTTCTCTTAAGATGAAAATATTGGTTCTTTTTTCCTACACACAAGGAGGCAATGAAAATATTGGTTCTTTTCATTGCCTTAATTATTATTAATGTTACTATTAATAAATATTAATAGTAACATAATGGTTATTTGCTTCATCTACCTATATTCACAGGTATGTAAAAACAACAATAGCAATAACAGGATAAAGAATAAAAACAGAATAACAATAGAGATATTGCTAACAGATAAATGAAGTTTAACTTTGCATGTACTTCCTTTTTTCTAAAATTGTATCCAACTAAGGATGTAAAATCAAGATACTGTGTTTTAAATGAACTGGGCATAATTATTCTTTTTGGTTATATATGGATGTACTGTAGTTTATTTAGCCAGGCCCTTACTAGTGGATATGTGGACTATTCCCAGTCTTTTGCTATACAAAAGTTTCCTTGTGCATATATAATATGCTTTTGCCAGTGGGTCTTTAGCATAGATTTCTATAAATGGGATTGTTAGGTCAAAGGGTAAAAGAACATGTTATTTTGTTTAATTCTGCCAAATTCCCCTTCATAGGGGTTGTGCAGTTTTGTATTCACACCAGCAGCATTTCCTGTTTCTCTGCAGCCTCTCCAATAGAATGAATTGTCAAACTCCTAGATGTTTGCTAAATCGATATGTGGGAAATGTTATCAAAGTGTAGTTTTTTTTTTTTTTGAGACGGAGTCTCACTCTGTTGCCCAGGCTGGAGTTCAGTGGCTCTATCTTGGCTCACTGCAACTTCTGCCTCCCAGGTTCAAGTGATTCTCCTGCCTCAACCTCCTGAGTAGCTGGGACCACAGGCAATCACCACCACGCCTGGCTAATTTTTGTAATTTTAGTAGAGACAGGGTTTCGCCATGTTGGCCAGGCTGGTCTCGAACTCCTGACCTCAACCTATCCACTCACCTCGGCCTCGCAAAGTGCTGAGTTTACAGGCATGAGCGACTGCGCCCAGCCTTCAGTATAGTTTTGTATTTATCTTTTTGTCAATGAAGTGGAACATTTTTTCAAATGATGCATGCATACGACAAAGTATTATGAAGCTGTTAAGGAATGTGGAAGATATATGACTATGATGTGAAGTGAAGTGAAAAAGCAATGCATAAAAGAGTGTATATAGTATGCTGCCTTTGGTATACGGGGTGGTAGAGATACATATACAAATGGATACTTACTTATATTTTCAAAAATAAACAATAGAAAGGTAAACCAAAATCTAATAAAAATGGTAAACAATAGGAGAAGATCAAGAACAGGTGAAGTAGAAAATAGGAATGGAAGCTAGACCTCTCTGAATATATCTTGTTTTATATATAAACTTGGAACCCTGTAAATGTGTAACATGTTTAAAATACAAAATAAGGCCAAAATAAGGTGGTGGCTCACGCCTGTAATCCCAGCACATTGGGAGGCCGAGGTGAGCGGATCACCTGAGGTCAGGAGTTCGAGACCAGCCTGGCCAACGTGGTGAAACCCCGTCTCTACTAAAAATACAAAGATTAGCCATGCGTGGTGATGCATGCCTGTAATCCCAGCTACTTGGGAGGCTGAGACAGGAGAATCGCTTGAACCTGGGAGGCGGAGGTTGCAGTGAGCCAAGATCCGGCCACTGCACTTCAGCCTGGGTGACACAGTGAGACTCCATCTAAACAAAATAATAATAAATAAAATAAAATAAAATGTAAAAGCAACTCCTAAAATGGAAAACAAAGTGCAATAAATCAATCTTTTCACCTGTTTAAGGGCTATTTGTACTTCTTTTTATTTAAATTGTCCATCTTTTACTTTCAGGATGGTCTTTAAAAATATTTTAGAAGCTTTTTATATATTAGTCCCTCATGATATAAGCTGCATATATTTTTTAGACTTTTTGCCTTGCTTTTTTGTTTGTTTAAATTATAGTTAATCTCTTCCCTTAATGCTTCTGGATTCTGATTATAGATAGGAGTATTTTCCCCACTTCTGAGTTATAAAGGTATTCACTCTTGTGAATTCTAGTACTTAATTTTCTAGTACTGCTATGTTTTCATTTGTTAATGTTAGATCTCTGAGGCTGGAGTGCAGTGATGCGACCTCTGCTCACTGCAACCTTCACCTCCCGGGTTCAGATGATTCTCCTGTCTCAGCCTCCTGAGTAGCTGAGACTACAGGTGCATGCCACCACACCTGGCTAATTTTTGTGTTTTTAGTAGAGACGAGGTTTCACCATATTGGCCAGGCTGGTCTTGAACTCCTGACCTTAGGTGATCTGCCTGCCTCTGCCTCCCAAAGTGCTGGAATTACAGGCGTGAGGCACCGCGCCCGGTCCTTAAATTTGGAATTTATCCAGTGTAGAAAGAATGGATCCAATTTTATGTGTTACCCCACACAGCTATCCAGCTGTAGATATTGTAATTTTATTTCATTTAGTGAACTCCCACACCTACTTCTAAAAGTAGGAAAACACTACTGAAAACCTCACTGAGTTCCCTGACGATGAAAAGGGAAATCTTTCGTTAAGCATTAGGCTTTGCTTTTAGTGCCACTAGATGGCACACATCCTTTTCCTTAGATGTTAGATCACCTAACCCTCATTTCTGTGAAATCAGTCCATAAAGTGTCTGCCAAAGGGCCTTCCTGAACCTTTTACCTGCATCCCTGCTTGAAATAAGATGATTTGTGCAACTTTCAAATTAGGTCCGAGTTTTTTTCTGTAAAACCAAAATGATTGTTCCTAGAATCACTGCCTCTAGGGCCTGGCACATTCCACAGACACATTGTTCCATTTATTTATTTATTTATTTGAGACGGAGTCTCGCTCTGTCCCCCAGGCTGGAGTGCAGTGGTGTGATCTCGGCTCACTGCAAGCTCTGCCTCCCGGGTTCACACCATTCTCCTGCCTCAGCCTCCCGAGTAGCTGGGACTATAGGCGCATGCCGCCACGCCCGGCTAATTTTTGTATTTTTAGTAGAGACGGGGTTTCACCGTGTTAGCCAGGATGGTCTTGATCTCCTGACCTCGTGATCCGCCCGCCTCAGCCTCCCAAAGTGTTGGGATTACAGGCGTGAGCCACCGCGCCCGGCCACATTGTTCCATTTATTAATAAAACAGAAATGTCTATCATATTCTGTCCTAAATGTGGACTAAGATGGAAAATAGTACAGTGATTTCCTGAGGTCACTGGGCTATCACCAGAATAGTAGACACTGTGGTGCTTCACCTAGATCCCCCTCCAGGCTGAGGTGCTCACTCGCCCCACTTGCAGAAGTGTTGGTTCCTCATGGCTCACAACAAAGTCCCCCTCTGAGAGCTGCTCCATGAAAAGGACCTGCCTCACCCCAAGTGATGCCTTCCCCTGGGCAGTCTACGTTCCGTGCCTGGTTAATATGGGGTTTCATAGGCCTGGCCCCCATATCTCAAGACAACGGAAGGACTTCCCAGCTCTAGAGCTTCCTGAAGGAGCAGCTGAGATGGTGGCAACTGTTTCACAGGCTGCCCAATCCTGTTTCTTTTACTCCTTTACTTGTGTTGTTCCAAGAGCCTTCCCAAGTAAGCCTCCTGTGGGGAAATCTCCATCTCAGTACCTGTTTTTCAGGCAACCCAACTTAAGATACAGGGCCAATGGATTTCCCTAAACAGTGCTCTAAACTAGAGCCTTGCTATTCAAATACGGCATAGGTATCGCCTGGAAACTATAGCCATGTGTCTCTTAATGACAGAGATACCTTCTGAGAAATGCATTGTTAGGCAATTTTGTCATTCTGCAAACATCATAGAGTGTACTTACATCAACCTAGATGGTGTAGCTGACTACACACACACCTAGTTATGTGATATAATCTATTGCTCCTAGGCCACAAACCTGTACAGCAGATTACTGTACTGAATACTGTAGGCAATTGTAACACAATACCAAGTATTTTATATATCTTAACAGATTTAAAATTTGTGATATAACATTTAAATTTTTTTCTTTTTTTTTTTTTTCTTTTTTGAGATGGAGTCTTGCACTGTCACCAGGCTGGAGTGCAGTGGCACAATCTCAGCTCACTGCAACCTCTGTCTCCCGGGTTCAAGCGATTCTCCGACCTCAGCCTCCCGAGTAGCTAGGACTATAGGCGTGCACCACCACGCCCAGCTAATTTTTGTATTTTTAGTAGAGATGGCGTTTCGCCATGTTGGCCAGGGTGGTCTTGATCTCTTGACCTTGTGATCCACCCACCTCGGCCTCCCAAAGTGCTGGAATTACAGGTGTGAGCCGCTGCGACCGGCCACAGATTTAAAATTTTACCTGCGTAGGGTACTTATGAGTGGAGCTTGCAGGACTGGAAGTTGCTCTGGGTGAGTCAGTGAGTGGTGAGTGAATGTGAAGGCCTAGGACCTTACTGTACATTGTTATAGACTTTATAAACAGCATATACTTAGGCTACATTAAGTTTATTAAAATTTTTTCCTTCAGTAATAAATTAAGGTTAGCTTACTATAACTTTTTAATTTCATCAGCTTTTAAATTTTCTTAACTTTTGACTCTTTTGTAGTAATAGCTCAAAACACAAACACATTGTACAGCTGTACAAAAATATTTTCTTTCTATCCATATTCGGTAAGATTTTTTTCTATTTTTTTTTAATTTTAAACTTTTTTGTTAAAAACCAAGACATGGCTGGGCGTGGTGGCTCACACCTATAATCCCAGCACATTGGGAGGCCGAGGCAGGTGGATTGCTGGAGTCCAGGTGTTTGAGACCAGCCTGGACAACATGACGAAACCCCGCCTTTACAAAAAAATATGAAAAATAGCCAGGCATAGTGGCACACATCTATAGTCTCAGCTACTTGGGAGGCTGAGGTGGAAGGATTGCTTGAACCTGGGGAGCAGAGGTTGCAATGAGCTGAGATCGCACCACTGCACTCCAGCCTGGGCGATAGAGCGAGACCCTGTCTCAAAACCAAACAAAACCAAAATGAAGATACAAACTCACACATTAGCCTAGGCCTAGGCAGGGTCAGGATCATCTATATCCACTGGTCCCATAAGATTATAATGGAGTTGGGGCCTGGCGCAGTGGCTCATGCCTGTAATGCCAGCACTTTGGGAGGCCAAGGCAGGCAGCTCACGAAGTCAGGAGATTGAGACCATCCTGGCTAACACGGTGAAACCCCGTCTCTACTAAAAAATAGAAAAAAATTAGCCAGGTGTGGTGGTGGGCGCGTGTAGTCCCAACTACTCGGGAAGCTGAGGCAGGAGAATGGCGTGAACCCGGGAGGCGGAGCTTGCAGTGAGCCCAGATCGTGCCACTGCACTCCAACCTGGGCGACAGAGCAAGAGTCTGTTTCAATAAAAAAAAAAAAAAAAAAAAAAAAAAAAAAAGATTATAATGGAGTTGGAATGTTCCTATTGCCTAGTGATGTTGTTGACGTATAGCATCACTGTAGCACAGTGCATTACTCACATCACATATTTGTGGTGGTCTGTGGGGAGCTATTCCAGAAAAAAGCCTTGTTATCATAGGAGATGATAGCTCCTTGTGTGTTATTGCACCTGAAGACCTTCCAGTAGGACAGAATGTGGAGGTGGAAGACAGTGATAGATATATATGTAGTCCACTGTTGACCGAAACATTGCTATGTGGTGCATGAAAGGAAGTAACTCAGGGCCGGGCGCAGTGGCTCACGCCTGTAATCCCCGCACTTTGGGAAGCCGAGGAGGGTGGATCACGAGGTCAGGAGATCGAGACCATCCTGGCTAACACAGTGAAACCCTGTCTCTACTAAAAAATACAAAAAAATTAGCCGGGCGTGGCGGCATGCGCCTATAGTCCCAGCTACTCCTGGGAGGCTGAGGCAGGAGAATGGCGTGAACCCGGGAGGCGGAGCTTGCGTGAGCGGAGATCACGCCACTGCACTCCAGCCTGGGCCACAGAGCAAGACTCTGTCTAAAACAAAAAAAAGAAGTAACTCAGGCCCCACCCTAGACCTACTGAATCAGAATCTGCATTTTTATGATTCTCAATGATTCTCTTATGATTCTCATTTTATTTTTATTCCATGACTTTTTAAAAAAAAATCCCGTAACTTCTTTTTCATAACTTTTTTTGTAACTTTTCATAATACTGTTTTCTACTTTTTTCCCAGAAGTTTTTTTGCCACAACGTTTTTACATTTTTTATCCCATAACGTTTTCACCCCATAACTTTTTTTAATCCCATAACTTATTAAATCTTGTGTTCTTTTAAGAAACACTTGCATAGTTATATTACAGCTTTGTAAAAATGAAACACATTATCTCGTGCCAAGCATGCCCAGCATTTGCACAGTATCAATACCTTTAAAACTATAGTTTTGAAGAAACGCAAAATAAAATTTTAAGGCAAAAACAACACTTAGAAACAATTTAATAATTTATTACATTACAGTGGCATCACACCAGCAGTCAATAAGGCCACTCTAGGGAAAAATCTTTCAGTATTTCCATGACACATTCTGTTTACAATAATTCATAAACTGGTAAAATTCATTCTAAGAAAACTTGGCAAATAAAACTTTGGACTGGAATTGGCATTTCTTTCTCTGCTTTTCGTTCCCACCATTTCTTTCTTTTATACTACAGTATTCATATTTTAAAATGTTTTAAATTATTTCAGAACATTAAGATAGCAGTTACATTTTTTAATAGTTATATTATTTTAAAATGACTCTTTAAAATAAAGTTTTAGAGAAACTATATTATGGATAGGGCTGATTTACATTTTCAAATTTTCTAAAATCAGCTTTGGTTTTAGAGCTGATTTTTTTTTTCATTTCTGGAAAATTATCAGGTTTAATCAAATACTTTTAAAATGATTATTATATATTGCCATCTTTAAATAGGTGTTTTGATTCTTCCTACAGAAATCAAAATGTATTCAGTGGAACTCACAGTTTAAAATTCTATGTTTCTGATGAACTCTAACATTCCAATGTTGCCTTCTAAGCAAACTGAAAGCTGCCTTATACTGAATGAGGAAGAGCACAAATACTCGGCTGAATGAGGTATCGCAAAAGACTGCATGCACTTTGGAGAAAGACTTGAGTTATTGTCATACAATTTCCATTCTTTTTAGCTTTTTCTTAAATATATGACAAATACCTACACAAAGAGTGGTATTTCAGTCAATATAGTAAATTTATTTTCCAGACTGACCTTCAGCTTAAATATGCCAGTGTGTGATTTAATCCATAGGCACCTCATGAACACATTATTGTCAGATTGGTTACAGATGCTAAACACTATCCGAAGGTCATTCTAGTTACTGATATTTATCAGGGTAAAAGTGAAGTGATTTCAACGATAAAAGTACCTTTGCAATAATTTATCAATGTATTAGATAAACCCAGTTTCAGAATGATAAAAGAAAAAACGTTAGACCAAATAATGTGGCTGATTAACAGTGGTCCGATTTCTAGCCCGAGGGTTTAAAATGCTCTTAAAGTAACTGTCTTTAAACTGAACTCAAAGAATGCAAAAGCGGCAAGTTCAGAAAATAAAAGGCGAGAACAGGACTTTAAGTGCATTTTAAACCCACGGGCTACAATTCGTACCACTGTTAATTAGCCGCATTATTTGGTCTAAGATTTTTTCTTTATCATTCTGAAACTGGGTTTATCTAATACATTGATACATTCATAAAATTTGGAAGAGTCAGTGGAAGTCACAAGGACCGAATATTTGCACTCTTTCAGTGAATGCCAGCAAATCTGTTATTCCATCGGTAAAATCGTATTGTTGCTCTCCTGTTAATGTCATATTTATAGAAGTATCATGAGGATGCCAAATGCTAAAAATGGAGATGATCTAGTAACTAGAAATCCCCACCGCAGGGAGCACACACACCTATCTCCCTGCATCCTAACAATGTGATGTGTTTTGGAACACAGACATTAGAACTTCATGAAGTTTGAACTGTTGAGTCTTTCCCAAGCATCATCAAGTTACGATTTAGGCAATATACAACTGAAATGCATTCATTCATCATGCATAGGCACAATCACATAAATATCGCACAAAATATGTCCCGAACAGAAACCCAGAGGTACAAAAACATATTTCACTTTGTAAAGAAGTCTGTGAGAAAATATAGCTCTGTGATTGTATAGACACGTTTCCTGATAATACATTGACATTCACGAACAGTAGATTGCACTGCAGTTTGTACACATTTTAAGTTTCATAAACTTCTCCTTGATTTTCAAAGAGAGTACAATACCGTCTACTAAAACTCCTTTTTGTTTCAACTAAGTATCTCACATATATTAGTTTATAATAATGTTTCTATTATTTTTTAAAGTGTTTTCCATTCAAGGAAAAAGAAGTAAATTCCTATGTCAGAGTAACCAAGGTGGTTGAAGAATAGGTATTAGCCAAAGAGGTCTAGATGGTAAAATCAATCTTCAAGCCTCAAAGAATCTCCGTGAACAGAGAGGAATGCCAGGTGTCACACAGCTTTCCTTCACTCTAATTCATTCTTGACTAGAGCCTGTATGCCTGTTCCAGGGACGTTTGAACTCATAAAGGATTTCTTATGATCTTCACTAAATACATTAAGAAGAATGCCAACCAGTGCCCTTTTGTGTACTGGGACATGTAGTCATGTGATTAAAACAGGTAACATGAACTCTGACTTTAAAATGTATTGTAGATACAAATGCTCTAAGCTAGGAAAGGATTTCCACATCCACAGTCAATGATGGGAACCTTTCATTCCTCAGAAATAAGCCCTTTTTAGGTCATCGAAAAAGAGTGCAACTGCTGCAGCTCATGATGCAGTATCTTCATGAGCCCAGAGCACATACAAATCCTAAGGGAACCACCATAATACACTGCTAATTCCTGGCACCGGAACAGATGAAACACACTCTATCCTGCACGTACCTGCCAGAGGAGGCCACTTTCCTCTTCTGTGAGATTTAAAAAGCTCCCCCAAAAGGTTATCACTCCCATCACCAATACACAGAAAATGGAGGAAAGGCTGTTTCCAGTTCTTGGCCTTTAAACAACTCTAAATGTCAGTACTCATAGTGGCATATTACAAAGTAATAAACAGTGCACACTTGGGGGCAAACTACATATTGAGCTAATGAAGAGCTCACTGTGATTAAGATTAGATCAAACAACAGCAGAACATAGGCAAATTTTCTCTGAATTCTGTAGTGAATGTACATGCTGCAATAACATTAAAAAAGCATGGCAGCCTATTCCAAACCAAAGAGAACAGTTTTGGGCAAAGAGTGGGTCTTTGTGTGTTTGAACTCCCACCACGTAAGGGCAAACTCGATATGCACGCTAATGACCTACAATTATGAAATTAAAAAAGAAAAATGCTAAAGGATGCCAGAGTGAACATCAGTGAGAGCCACAGACACCCACTCTCTTTTAACTTTTTACAAATAAACTTAAAACTATAAATTAGAAAAACAAATAATCATGAGTGACTCTAACATTCAAAGGAAGTAAATGAATTGTGTAGGAGATTAACCCCATAACTTGGTTTCTTATTTAAAAATTTCTTGAGCAGCTCTTTGAGGATGGTGATGTTTATCTCCTTCTTCTTGGCAGCCAAGCCCAGCACAACAATGGCACACAGCAGTTGCTGCCCAAGCCTGGGTGCTCCTGGTGGTCCTGCACGATCGGCTGTGCAGTAGGCTTGTCAAGGAGAGGATCCTCCCTGGCCTCTCCTTGGGCAGAGGAGGTGAGGCTCACCTCACAAAGATCTTTGGAGAGAGGGAGGCAGGGATCTGAGCACAGTGGGAGCCCCCTCTTCCTGCCTGCCCACCCCACCTGAGGGCTCTACTCACCACCATGCTTGTCTGCAGCCCCAAGCTCCTGGGGGGCTGGGGCTCCTGGACCGGGCTCATCAGCAGAGTTGTGGGCAGCGGCCAGGAATTTTCTGTGCCCATTGTTGTAGTTGCTGTAAGCCGCAATACCATCTGCTGCAGCTCCAGCAGCTTCACCTGGAGGGAGGGGTGCTCAGCTGCCATGCCGCTGCCTGCGCCCACCCTCACACCCACCCCCACCCCCACCCCCACAGAGATGTTGCACAACCTACCTTCATCTCCTCCCTGAGCTCCAGCCTGATGGTGTCCTCCTCCCAGTGCCGCATCTTTGGCACGGCCCCCTGGTTCTGATAAAAGGTGATGGGTTTTCCTGCGGGAGGACAGGGCTCAGACGCTGGGGCCCCTCCGACGGCCCTGTAGCTCCCCCTGCCGTGCCCTGGCCTCCCACTCACTGATGGCATCTGTCTCGCCAGTGGTGGATGAAGCAGAGTTCTTTTTTCTTCACCAGCTCACTCAGGTCTGCCTTCTCCTCCAGGTGGTCCATAAAGCTGCTCTGGAGCCAAAATATTGCAGTCACATCTCGGCAGCGACCTGCCCTCAGGTGGCATTTTCAAGTCATGGAGAAGGTGGAGGTGAGTCCTGGCATGGGCCAGCTTCTCCGTGACTTCCTGCAGGGCCCAGTGGGTCTCCCCACTCACAGACTCGCCCCCAGGCCCTGGGGCTCCAGGGCCTCTGGCTGCCTCTGGCTCCTTCTGGGCCGAGGCCACCGGGTGAGCCAGGCGCTGGCAGCACACCCTCTGCTCTTTCACCTGCTCTTGTAACTGTGCCTGCTTCTCCTGGGCACTAGCTCCAGCGGACTTGAAAAATGCCACCTGAGGGCAAGATGTGAGCATTCTTCTAGGGGCATACACAGAAGAAATGGGGCAGAGAGGTGGAGCGCAGCCCCTTCCCTTGGGGCCTCAGAGAGTGCACCTGTTGGCCACAGGTGAAATGGTGTCTGACCACTGGCTCTCGGAAGGGGTGAGGGTCCAGAGAAATCAGAAGGCAGGGAAACGAAGAGCATAAAGGGGTCTTGGAGGGACCACAGAGAAAGGTGGCAAAATGGGTGCAGGGGGGAGTCAGGCTCACCATGGCCTCCCTGCTCTCCGGGTCCTCTGGGACACTCGGCATGGGCCGAGGTGCCTCCTCCCCCTCACTGTCCAGATGTTCTCCTCCGTGTCCTGTGGGGGGTGGCCAGAGGGGTCTTCAGACAACCCAACAAGGGAGGTACTGTGGGCCCACCTCTACCTCCACCCTCACTGTGTAACCCTGAGCCTGCCCCTCCCCAGAGAGGAATGAGCTGTTGTTCTTTATTTTTACTTTTAAGAATCAAGATCTTGCTATTCCGCCCAGGCACACTCCCACTACTGGTCGATGTGGGAGTTCTGACCTGCTCTCTTTCTGACCTTGGCCAGTTCAGCCACCCTTAGGCAACTTGGTGACCCCCCGCTCACAGGAGGTCACCACACTGATGCCGAACTTAGTGCAGGCACCCGGTCGGCATAATGACCAGCTGTTCTAAAGGTCTCTTCCAACTCCTCAATCCTATGCTGCTAGCAGTCCCCCCTTCCTCCTGGGGCTCTCTCCTCTTCCTCTGAGCGGTCTCCCGTACCTTCCCCAGGGAGAGCCATGAGGCTCAGCTGGGCCGTTAGCTGCTGGTTCTGCTGGCTGGCAGCTTCCAGGTGCTCCTAAGGGGCCAGGACAGAGTGAGAAGGGGTGGAGTTTGCCAGGTCGTCCCCCTCACAGCCCCATCCTCGGCAGCTCCCTCCCCTGGGTCTCCTGCAACTTTTGGCAGGCCATCTCAGCCACCGCTTTGCCCCAAGCTTCCTGCTGCTGCAGCTGGTTCATTAGCTGGGTCTGCTGCAGTCACTGCCTGTACAGCGCCTCCTTCTCACAGGTCAGCTGCTGATAGGCGGCCACCTGCTGCTGATAGGTGGCCACGTACTGCTGCAGGTGACCCAGGTAATGGTCTGGCTGCTGCTGCAGACTCTGAGCCTCTTGGCTCTTCAGCTCCACCTGCAGGAAGACCCTGGGTGTGAGGGCATGTGGTGGCTGGTTTCCAGATTCTGGGCCCATTAATAGGGTAGCGAGGGCACTGTGGGGCTCTGTCAGCTGCCCAGGCCCCTGTCCCCTTACTCCAGGCCTAAGTGACTGCCTCCCTTTCCTAGAACCCCATGCCTCCTTCCCCAGCCTCAAATCTCATACCCTCTTCTCATTTAATCCTCAGCACCTCTGTAAGGAAAATGCTAACTTCCCTTTGAAGTTAAAGAAACAGAGACTTAGAGATGCAAAGTAGTTGAATGGTGACCAGTGGAACCGAGGCTGGAATCCAGTTTCAATCTAAGGAGTCTTTTTGTTTTGTTTTCAGACAAGAGTGTCACTCTGTGGCCCAGGCTGGAGTGCAGTGGTGCAATCTCAGCTCACTGCAACCTCCACCTCCTGGGTTGAAGCAATTCTCGTGCCTCAGCCTCCCGAGTAGGTGGAATTACAGGCATGCGCCACAATGTCCTGCTAATTTTTTTTTTTTTTTTGTAATTTTAGTAGAGATGAGGTTTTACCACATTGGCCAGGCTGATCTCAAACTCCCGACCTCAAGTGATTCTCCTGCCTCAGCCTCCCAAAGTGCTGGGATTATAGGCATGAGCCACTGCACCTGGTATAAGGAGCCTGTTATAGCACTGTCTCTTCCCCTGTGATTGGGGGCTCCATGCCTCTAGCTGGGATGATGATGTCCAGACCTGAGAGGAGCCCAGGGCTACCCACCTTTAAAAGTCAGAGGCAGGAAGCAAGAAACAGTCACAGGACTGCCCTGCGGGGTGCTGTGGTCACCAGCCCCCAGGCTGGAAGCTGCCTCTGGCCTGGCACCTCCCCTCCCAAGAGGCTGCTGCCCGCCTCCCAGCCCTTCTTGGATGGGGTGGAGGTTTCCGTCTCCTTCACCTCGCCAAGCTTCTCCTGTAGCTCCTTTACTTGCTGCTCCAACTGCAGTGCGTTCTTGTTCTCATTGTTCTGGACAGAGAGAAGCAATCAGCAGCCACCCACTGCAGCTGGAGACCCCAGAACTTGGTGTCTGCCTCCCATGGCACTGGGAAGGCTGGAGGCAGGTTAGAAAAATCACCCCCTCTCTCCCACAGCCACCTGGCTCACAGGTGCCTTTAGAAGTAACATTTCATGTGAGGGCTACACTGCCCCATTTTAGAGGTGGGGAAACAAAGGCCCGGAGGGCTAGGGAGGAGGGCAAGCTCCCCAGTTTGGGCAACGCACCGGCTCCTCGAAGACGCTCTGTGGCTTGGCCAGCTGCTGAAGGCTCTTGTGCTGCTCCTGAATCCTCTCCTCCTGCTTCCGAAGCCTCTCTTCCTGCTCCTGAATCCTCTCTTCTTGTCGCTGGTTCAGGAGACTTATGCGCTGATTCTTTTTGACCTGGGCCTGGAGCTCTCCTGCCACTCTCTCTAGTTCCTTCCTCAGGTGCTGCAGCTCCACCTCAGAGGGCACTGCTGGGGGCTCCGGGGGCAAGGGTTCAGCTGAGAAAGGAAGCAGATAATAAGGGCCTCTGGATTCTCGGAAAAGAAAAACCCTCCTCTTGGCGCACAGCTCCTCTCAGGCTCCTCAAACTTGGCCTCACTGCTAATGATTCCTCGCACCCAGATGGTAGCCAGTCTTCCAAAGCACATTCAGAGAAAGAGCACTGCGGGTGGCTGGCAACGGGCCCTCTTTCCTGATGGGGACACTGAGACACTGAGACTCATTGAGATGACAAGACTCGCCGTCTCCTGGCACAGATCTCTTTCCCTCTGCCTCAAAGCCCTTCCATCCACCCACCTCCCTGGGGCACTCTAAGCCACCCTCACAGCCCTCTGATGCCAGTCCTGCTCCCAGGTCATGCCAGCCCCATCTTACCCATCTGGTTTTTGAGTTTGGACAAGCTCCTCTCCAGCTTCTCTACCCGACGCATATCTTGCTGCTTCTCTTTCTTTAATGTGCAAATCTGCCCAAAGCACAAGGGGAAAGGGCCTTGGAGAGAGGGGCTGGAGGCTGGACAGGCTGCCCTCTCCCTCTCTGCCCCCACCTCCACAAAGCCCAGACCCATGACCACCTCTGGCTCTACTATTCCCATTTTACAGATGCCCAGAAAGATCCAGTGACCTATCTAATGTGGGGGGGCTGAAGGGTGAGATCTCACCTCCTGCGACATTTTTCTCATCCTCTGCTGCCACCGGGCCCTCTCTCCTTTTAGATGTTCAGCACACTCATCTCTTTCTAATTGGACTTGTTGAAATGACTCCTTCAACTGCAAGAATGGGCACAGAACTTAGGAAGGGCTGTCACTGGTCCTCACCTGCTCCTGGCCACCTGGGGTCATCTTCCTTCCACATAACTCCCTCAGAAAACCTCACCTGTGTCAGCTGCACTTTCAGTAGTGCCTCCTCCCGCATGGACTGCTCTAACTTCCACTCCGTACGTGCTTTGCTGCGGCTGGACAACTGGATGGTGAAGAGTGAGAAGTTTCAATCTGGAGAGCCTGGGCATTTCCACACAGTGCCCCTTAAAAGGACTAGGGCTAGGCCCAATATACAACTCAGTCAGTAAAGATCAAGGCATTTCCAAGCCCGTGGTCTGGTTTTTAAAAGAACACAGTAAAGTTGGAACGGACAGGGAATGAGATTGAATTTATAGCTGGCTAACAGAGGCCCAGAGAGATCAGATAATATTGCTATTGTTATTACTGTTATTATTACCACTGTTTGAACCTTTGTGGAATACTTCACCAGGTACCGTGCTAACAATCCCATTTAATCCTCGCAACCACCATAGGAGACAGTTACTATGATTCCCTCTATTGTGGAGATGAAAAAACATGGAGTATTTGAGGTTAAGTGCTTGCCTAAGTTCACTTAGGCAGAGCTGGGATATAAACACCCAGGTCTATCCAATTCTCTAAGCCCGTTTTTCTTGCTGGGGATGGGGGCACAGATAGGAAGGGGAAAATTAATCTTTTGTTCACTTTTTGAAAGGATGATACATTTGCATAGTCCAAAACTCAGAAGGTACAGAAGGGAAGTATCTCCCGGCCATCTTGTTGCTCTCTCCTGAATTTTTTATGAACCCTTGCAGACATGTTTTATGTATATTATCACAGTATGCACACACACACACACACACACACACACGCACACACGTTTCCTCTTTCTACAGAAATGGTAACATACTAAAGGTACTCTTCTGTACCTTCACAGTACAAGTACCCAATACCCCACCTAGGACTTGCTCAAGACCACAGCCAGGTAAGGGCGGGGCAGGCACTTGGCCTCCAAGCTCTGCGTCCAGTGCTCACTCCCCACAGTACCCCCCAACTCACCCACAGCAGCTGACTCAGCCCCAGGCTGCCACTAAAAACCATACAAAAAAGTAGCAAGAAATGGCCATGCTGCCTTCTGGGCAGGACACGCCATCCTGCAGAAGGGACCTTTAGGCTCACTCCTCCATCTGCAAAGCCAGGCTCCCAGGGGATGGGGCAGGTGGTTGGACTCACCTGGTTTGCCTTCTTCTTCTGTGTGGCCATGACATTAGAGAGAACACTCTCTAACTCTCCTTTATGCTGCAATGAATGTTGCAGGCGGACAGCCAGATCCTTGGACTTTTCTGTAATGAGAAAGTTGAGATGGGGCCCAAAGGACTCCCCCTGAAGACCTGTCAAAGTGCCAGGTTGAAGGATGACAGGGTGCCCAGATTCCCACCTTCAAAGTATCTGAGAGAACGTTTCATGTGGTACAGGTCCGTATTTAGTTTCCCTTTCTGTATGTTCAATGTCTGGATTTGAACCTTTGGGAGAAAAGCCAAGCAAGTGCTGAAAGAGAAGGAAACAAACCTTCTCCGGAGGACAGGAGGAAACTGCACACCCTCCACTCACCTCTAGCACCCTTTTGGCTTTCTGTTTCTTGTTGTTTGCTTTCTTTTCCTGTAGGAAGAAGAAGACAGAGCTCTTACCAGGGGGAGGCAGAGATGGCACAGCAAGAGACATGCCCCCAGAATGCCACCAATGCCCCAGGACAGGCCCACCCATGGGACCAGGTTATCAGGGGCCCTGTGGGGATGGGGTGGAATCTGAAGGGTGAGCCTTCATCCCCAGGCTGGGAGTGGGTGAGACGAGACTGGGGCCTGTATGTCTGAGTGCCCCCCAAACCCAGCAGTCATGTTGCGAGGAAACGAAATCACGTTACTTCTTCCAGCTGATGTTCCACTTGTTTCTTCTGTTGTTTCTGTGGGGAGAGTCAAATAAGGTGATGGAGGGTGGCCCCCTCAACTCTATTCCCCAGACCAGGAAGTGGTAGGCAGGGGCCAGGAATGGATTTTAAAGGCAAAGTTCTCAGACATAATGGGAACACGAACCGGTAAACTCTCCTCAAGCTCCCAAGGACAGAGGATTTGGGTCTTTGTTGGCTTTTGCCCACAGCCACAGAACTCAAAGTCTGAATCTGGAATCTCTTGAGAGGACAGCAATATAAACCTCTAGAGATGGAGTTTCAGAAAGGCCCCTCCTTCTGGCAACTTGTGATTTAGAGAAGTGGGTTCATTCAATAAACATTTACTGAGCATGTATGGACCAGGTACGGTTCTTTACAGCAGATATAGGATGGAAAAGGACAGACAGGAGCCCTTAGCCCTGAGGTTTCCGTTCTAGGGGGCCTTTAAATCTCAGACTCGAGAGCTAACAGAGACCTTTGATACTCACTACCTCCTCTGGAAACACGAGCCCAAAAAGGAGAGGTGGCTTGTCCAGAATCAAAGAGCAAATTAGGGACTGAGTCATGGCAGAAATACGGGGCCCTTGACAACCAGTCAGGCTAGCACTTCCCCAAGAAGCAACAACCCCAGGGCGTGTGTAGCAAGGACTCGAGCAGGGGTGTCTGGAGAGGAGAGAGTCGGCAAAGAGGGCAGCAAAAGAAGAGCCATGCTGCATGCTCTGGGGTCCCTCCAGGTGAGGCCTGGGCACCCAAGCTCCCTATTTGTCCCAGGCACCAGGGACCCCCAGCCCCTTTCTTCAGGGCCCCAAGGGGAAACTGGAGCCCAGGATTGGCAGCATGGAATCAGGGGACCCCAGTGGACTCTTACCAGAGATTTGATGGTGTTCTTCAGTTGACTGATTTCTACGGACGTTGAATCCAGGACTACTGCTCGTTCTTGGCACGGGCTCTGAGGTGCATGCAGAGAGGAGGAGGTGGAGCAGGAGTGGGGGGAGAGGTAGAGAGAACAATCATTAGGGCTGGGGTGTGTGGGCTGTCTCAGCTGGCAGAGGGGCACCCAGTCCCACCTGGAGGAGGAGGTTGGAGGGTTGACCCGAAGGGTCACTGCACCTCTGCCCAGAGCCTCTTACCTCCAGATCTTTCAGGGTAGCAGATGATGTAGGGCCTTCCCTGTGGAAACCTGTTGCTGACTACAAGAGATGAGAGTGCACATGGAGATGTTCTGTCCCCCACAGTGTCTGAGCCCTCTGACTTCCTTTCTTCCCCATCAACTGGCAACATTTTCTTTTCTGCCTATCTTGGACCTTTTGTCCCATAACTCCTTTGTGCCAACTTCTCTCATGGTTCTTATCTCCCCACCATCCCATCCTGGGGCCCCTTCAGTGACTCCTGATGGCAAGTGGCTGTTCTCATTGTCCTGGTTTCCCCTTGAGACTGGGGATCAGGAAAATCAAACCATATCCTGGGTGTCCTGAGTGTTTACAGCAGGCCATGTACTAGGGATTAACATAAAAACAACAATAACAAATCTCATGAAAATTTCACAAATGGAAGTGAAACAATATCACCTCTATTATACAGATGTGAAAAGAGAGGCCCGATGAGGTCTAGCAACTTTCCCTAAATCATATCCCTAGCAGAGCAGATGGAGAGGCAGGATTCAAACCCAGAATTCCTTTTTTTTTTTTCTTTGAGACAGAGTCTTGCTCTGTCACCAGGCTGGAGTGCAGTGGCATAATCTTGGCTACGGCAAGCTCCACCTCCCAGGTTCACACCATTCTCTTGCCTCAGCCTTCTGAGTAGCTGGGACTACAGGCACACGCCACCACGCTTGGCTAATGTTTTTGTATTTTTAGTAGAGACAGGGTTTCACCGTGTTAACCAGGATGGTCTCGATCGCCTGACCTCATGATCCACCTGCCTTGGCCTCCCAAAGTGCTAGGATTACAGGCGTAGGCCACCACACCCGGCTAAAGCCAGAATTCTTAACCAGTACCCAGCAGTCCATCCACAATCTTAAGAATTACCCTCTATTGCCCCTTGGGCCCCCTGTCCCCAGAAGCCTGGTCAGCCAAGACTCACATCCCCAGGTGGCTGGCAACCACCAGAAGTGGCTTTCTCAGGGACACTGCCATTTGTTTTCCTGTTCCTGTTCGCTCCTGCTGGAACTCTAGGGCTGTTTTTCTGCCAATATTCTTTTAACTGTTGGAAAGAAGAGCAGTAATACTCATGAGAACCGTCAGCCCCTGCAGCCACATCCTCCTTTACAGTTTTTACAAAATACACTTACACACCATCTGATTTAATGACACCAACAACCGTACAAGGTGTTGTCACACTCATTTAGTGACTGAGAAGGATTGATATCATGGCTAGAAAAAAAAAAGAAAAAGGCAATACTGGAACTTTGAAACTCAGTCTTCTGACTCCAAGCTCTGAGGTTTTGCCAAGAATCAGCAGCTGCCAGGGACCAAAACCAGAGGCAGAGGTAGAAAAGTAAACATTAAGTAGGCAGGAACTGTATGCCATGTGGTTTAGAGTCATACATCCTCACACGTCTGTTAGTGTGAAGAAGTGCACCAGTACCTCTCAAACTCTTATATCAATGTGTCCTCATGGCAGAAGGCAGCCTTTCTCTTAAATCAGAATTTATCAGAAAGAGGACAACCCAAGCCTCATTTCAGAGAGAGGGCTGGTATACTCTTAGAAACCTATGTGACTGTCATCCCTAAGTACATTCATGTTTTTTCTCTTGATCTCAAGAGAATCAAGGGAAACTGATGCTTCAGAAAGATGTCCCACATTTATCCTGTGGCACTCAAAGTACCCAAGGTTGAGATAATATGAGGAAGATTCAAGGTGTCAAGTTCAGTTTCCCAAGATCTATTCCACAGAAGATGAGCAAATGTCACTTCAGAGACCACTGACTGAAGGAGAGTCTGGTCCCAGAACCATGGAGAATTAGAATATGAGGTGGAGAACTCAGAAAAAAATGTTAAAATCTCTCTGGAAAGTAGAAGCCTGGGAGAAAACCAAATCAAACCCATTCTCTCATTGCCACCCAGAGATACTGTCAACGTTTTGAGTTCATGGGGGAAGTGTAGGCTTTTCCCACCGTCAACATCTGTAAGGGAGTGAGGCAGCCTGGAACCTCTTGCTCCTAGGTCCCATAGTCTCCATTCCCCTTCCAGCTGGAAATTTGTGCTGTGACCAGAGGAACCAGAAACGGGGTGAGAACGCTTAGGGGACTGGGTCGTAAGATCAAAGGCCAGTCTTGCAGTAACAGCAGTTACTAGGTGGACTGTGACATCACAACATTCCACTCCTCCTGGTCGGGGGGAGGGACCATGTCAGCACCATGTCCAAGTCGCTGCTCCACGATGGGGGAGGGAAGCACAGGGTTGGGACCCAGCTCCTTGGAGACGCCAGCACAAAGAACCCAGGGAGGTCGACCTTGAGGCAGCAGGAGGGGAGGGCACAGTCTGCAGCAGGGAGTCCCAGGAGTCACCAGTCCAAAGTCACCCAGGGATGACTGGCGAGGGTGGGGCCTGGCTCCTTGGAGATGAGAGCCCAAAGAGCCCAGGGAGATCAAGCTTGGGGCGGCAGGAGATGAGGGCCCAGTAATGGAGCGGGAAGCCCCAGGAGTCACCCACCCAAAGTCACCCTGGGGTGATTGGCGAGGGCAAGGACTGGGCTGCTTGCTGAAGGGGTGGGGCTGACTGACAAAACTTTGATGGGGGTAGCCCAGAGGCACCGGGGTAGGGGGGACCAGTCCAGTGTGCCTCAGGAGTCGTATAGACTCTGGCAGGGGTCTTGTCATCAGAGGGGATCTGTGGCTGGGTTGAGGGGCTATGACCTAGTGCGTTTTTACCTTTTTCTTGGCTGCAGCCAATTTGTTGTGTTGAGTTTCTTCTGCCATCGCAGGGTGGGGAGGGAGGCAGGGTTGGGGTCACAGCAGCAAAATCTCAATGAGAACCAATCAAGGCCTCCAGTCACCTACCAGGCAGCTGTGTGACTGAGCCAGAGGAGGCGTAACCAGGGCCCCAGTAGAATGCGGAATAGGGGCGTGGCCTTAATGCTCCAAGCCCATTGGTCAATGAGAAAGATGAAAAGGAAAGGGGGCGTGGCCAGAAAGCAGTGTGTCCAGAGGGCCCTGTGGCTCACAAGGAAAGCTGCCCATGGCAACCGCTCTCGCCACCCACTCTAAGAGAGGGGAGAGGCCTCCCACTCTGGAAGAGAAGAGGGGCCGGCTTTTGCTTTAAAAGCTTTAAAACTTTAAAAAATATATGTGTGTATACTTTATATATATGTGTGTCTGTGTGTGTGTATCTATGTTTTTCTCCTTAGCTGTCTTCATTATCCAGCTTCTATGCAAGGTCTATGATTTTGGCCTATATTTTTCATCTTTGATTACAGTACAAAAATTACCAGTATTACCTTAACTGAGATACAGATCCTATAAAAATGGAAAATGCATAGCATGCTTGATGATTAATGAAGCAGACTATATTATCCAACATTCTAATAAGATAAAATAATCACAATGATTTCTCTTTTTTGGAAAAATGTTTCTCTTATTCTCCTGCGTTTTCGTTAAGATTTTTTTTCTTAAACAAGAAACATGTCTAATATCTGTAAAAACACAAAGCTTTTTGGGCAGGGTGCAGTGGCTCATGCCTGTAATTCCAGGACTTTGAGAGCCCCAGGTGGGTGGATCATGAGGTCAGGAGATCGAGACCATCCTGGCTAACACGGTGAAATCCCATCTCTACTAAAAATACAAAAAAGGCCGGATGGGGTGGCAGGCAACTGTAGTCTCAGCTACTTGGGAGGCTGAGGCAGGAGAATGACATGAAACCCCGAGGTGGAGCTTGCAGTGAGCCAAGATCATGCCGCTGCACTCCAGCCTGGCTACAGAGCAAGACTCCATCTCAATAAATAAATAAATAAATTAATTAATTAATAAAAATAAAAAATTAATAGTAAGAGCAATGTGAACAAAAGTTGTAATAAAATAATTTAGAAAATACAAACTATTAAAAAATAGATTTTAAAGCTTGTGCAACAAAGTCAAACAGCACCCAACGAAAATGTATACCCTTATATGTTTGTTTAAAAAGCAATTTAAATTACATTGATCCACTAAACTGGGAAAAGCAAAACAAACAAAAAGGGGGAAATAATTAAGACATAAGGAAAAAGGAAAAAGAAAAACCACTAGATTTAAAAAATAAAACTAAAGGAGGATTCTTTCAAAAGAGTGAGATAATAAAACAGTCAAGCCTCTGATAAGTAATCAAGATAAAGAAAACTTTGAAGAGAAAAGGGCATATAGCCACATGTGAATATGATGCAAAAAGTGAAAACTTTACACATCTTTACAACACCTTAGAAGTATGGATGACATGTTCATTTTTTTTTTTTTTTTTTTGAGACGGAGTCTTGCTCTGTCACCCACGCTGGAGTGCAGTGGCGTGATCTTGGCTCACTGCAAGCTCCGCCTCCCGGGTTCACAACATTCTCCTGCCTCAACCTCCCGAGTAGCTGGGACTACAGGCGCCCGCCACCACGCCTGGCTGATTTTTTGTATTTTGGCTTAGTAGAGACGGGGTTTCACCATGTTAGCCAGGATGGTCTCGATCTCCTGACCTCGTGATCCACCCGCCTCGGCCTCCCAAAGTGCTGGGATTACAGGCATGAGCCATCGCACCCGGCCAAAGTGTTCATTTTTTTTTTTTTAAGAACCTACAGTTATGAAAACTAACTGGAAAGAAATGGGTTTTGGGAAAGATTGAGTACATTTTTGTGATGTTCAACATTATTTTTTCTTACAGTTTTAAAAACACAATTGATGTTTCTATCAATTTGACTTAAAAAAATTAAGAACTATATTAAAATTTACCAGCAGAGGGGAGTGAAGGAACACAAAGCAACTTTCAGTTTAGGGTAATTTTTGGGCATAAACAGGGCAGCAATGTCCTCAACTCTATTCTTCTTTATTAGCCAGTGAATCCATGTGAGCTCATTAAATGTTATTAACAGCTCAGTCTATAATGGAGGGCAAATAAAGAGACTTGTAGGTCACAAAGGTATTGACTTTTGATCAGAAGTTCCAGGGGGCGAGAAGAATGAACTAACTCCATGCATTCTTTTTGTGTTTTTGTTTTTGTTTTTTTTGAGACGGAGTCTTCCTCTTTTGCCCAGGCTGGAGTGCGGTGGCTCAATCTCGGCTCACTGCAAGCTCCGCCTCCCAGGTTCACGCCATTCTCCTGCCTCAGCCTCCCGAGTAGCTGGGACTACAGGCGCCCACCACCACGCCCAGCTAATTTTTTGTATTTTTTAGTAGAGACGCGGTTTCCTCGTGTTAGCCAAGATGGTCTCGATCTCCTGACCTCGTGATCTGTCCGCCTCGGCCTCCCAAAGTGCTGGGATTACAGGCATGAGCCACCGCGTCCGGCTCCATGCATTCTTATGGCCACATTTTTCCAGTTTGAAGTTTTATTTTCCGAGTTTCTTGAAACAATTGTGAAATCAGTTTTATTACACTAAAATCACTGTATTTTCTTATTTTTGGATATCTATTTAAAAATATTCATTTAGAATGACATTCCAGTGAAATACATTTTTAACGGCTGTTCTATGTCACAGGGATAACAATTTGACTTTCACAAACTGTATTTCAGACGTACAAGGTCTTCATTTTGATGAAGAGGGGCTGTGGGAACATAATCTGATGCCTGTTCAAAATGTACCAGAAGTGCACGCATGTGTATGCAGGCATGAGCGCACACACACACACACACACACAAAACCCCATTGGGATTCCATTTAGCACACACACACACACACACACACACACACAAACCCCACTGGGATTCCAGTTAGCACGCACACACACACACACAGACACACACACACAGCCCATTGGGATTCCAGTTATTTACCTCGAGATGGATGCTTGCTGATGTTCCAAAACCTCTTTAGGTCTTAAGGCAAAGGGCCTTTTGAATGCAAAAACCCTTACCTAGATGGAATAGACAGCAGCAATCATTGTCAACAACCTGAAATATATATTGAGTAGTTCCCATGCTAGACATTAGAGACATAAAGATGCAGAAGAGGCCATCGCCTTAAGGGAAATAATCCCGTTCAGACAAATGAGAATACATTGTGTAATGAGCTATCTCTTATAGGAAAGATGAAGACCAATCACCAACAGACCAGAATTCCAATATTTCACCAACTTGTAATATTATTCCAACTTCTCCTTCACATTCACTTAATTCTCATAGAGCAGTAACCAGAGTTTTGTGTTCTTTTTCTTTTTCTCTTCTTCTTCTTTTTTTTAAAAAACAAAGTCTTGCTTTGTCGCCCAGGGTGAAGTGCAGTTGTGCGATCTCGACTCACTGCAGCCTCCACCTTTTGGGTTCAAGAGATTCTCATGCCTGAGCCTCTTGAGTAGCTGGGATTACAAGCATCTGCTACCATGCATGGCTAATTTTTGTCTTTTTAGTAGAGACAGGGGGTTTTATCACATTGGTCAGGCTGGTCAGTTTTGTGTTCTTACTAGAGAGTTCTACTCTGTTATGTCAGAGAAGGAAAATGTCTTTTGATTTCATTTCAATGAAATGTCTATTCATTAATTACATCTTCATTGGCATTTCATACAGGATTAAGACTATCTTCTTTGCCTTAATGGTATACTGTGTGCATTGTTCCTTACCCATCGTAGCAGCTTTGAAGGTCTTTTATCCATATTGGTATTTTCCAGTACCAGAAAACCAAGTCTTGAAAGAAGGACTTCATGTCTTATCCATGGACACGCCATGGTTCCAGAATGTGTTGTCAGTTGATAAGATAGGCTTGATTTGTTACTGGTCTTAATGAGGGCTTTAGGTCAGCACACCAGGCAATGTAGGAGTTCTGGGACTGTTAGGGAAGGCCTGATGGAGAAAATGGAATGTTAGCTGGGCTTTAAAGAGAAAGTAGAAATTAGATCACTGGGGGAGGGGGTAATGTAAAAAACATTCCAGGTAAGAGAAAGTGCTTAGCAAGTAAGAAAGCATCCAAAATATTAGAAAGTACCAGGCTGGTGCAGTGGCTCACACCTGTAATCCCAGCACTTTGGGAGGCCAAGGCAAGTGGATCACTTGAAGCCAGGAGTTCAAGACCAGCCTGGCCAATATGGTGAAACCCTGTCTCTACTAAAAATACAAAAGTTAGCGGGGCATGGTGGCATGAACCTGCAGTCCCAGCTACTTGTGGGGCTGGGGCTGAGGCTGAGAATCTCTTGAACCTGGGAAACAGAGGTTGCAGTGAGCCGAGATCACACCACTGCACTACAGCCTGGGCAACAGAGCGAGACTCTGTCTCAAAAAATAAATGAATAAATAAGTAAAATAAAAAATAAAATGCTTACAGGAACTTCAACCACAATTTTTCTTGTTCACTGATAGTAAATCTAATAGAGAATTCAGGATTTATCTTACACTTGAAATTTTGTTACTGATTACTGAAAAATTATCTACAAGCACCCAATTGTGAGTTTTACAGAAACCTGGTCTCAGGAGTTATGAACCAAAGATTCACCAGTGGACTCCGCAGAGTTTTCAGATCCCCTGAAATCATGTGCTAGGTGCTGACTGCATTTTTCTGGAGAGGCTATAATGGTTTTCATTCATCTGATTCCTCTCAAATGGTAAAAATCACCAGTGGAATGGAGCCACACATCCTGTAGCAGAAACTTCTAAAAAACCAGGAAAAAGATGAAACGTGGTACCATGTACCTGCTCAGCCTCTACAGATCCTGCTTCCGGAAGTTGAAACAAATTCTTAAAACTTGCACAACTTTTTTTCTAGTGCTTGAATGACCTCTAGTGGCTCCTTAAATTATCACAGCCAATTGCTCACAGCAGGAAATAGGTTGATGTAAAAGAAATTCACAGATTTTGCCATTAAAAGTAACAAACTAAAGAACTAAAAGGTGTGGAGAAATAATAAAATTAAGATGGCATCACAAAGGAGCACCTGGCTCAATTTCAAGTTATTATATAAGCTCCCTACTATCCAACCAAATGTAGTTCACAATACAGTGTGTGTAATTCAAAACAGTTCACCAGATAGTTCAGTACACACCATTTTTTAAATGAAATAAGTATGATTTTCCCTAAGGTCTTGCATTTCAAATTAATAAAGCATCAGCAAACACCCATGAAGAGAACAGTACCGGAATCAAAGATACAAGAACCTCGGGAATTAACACCCACCCTTTCCTCTCAGTTGAGGCAGGACCAGGAATACAACGTTGACAAAGTATAACTGGAGTAGCAGAAATACTTTGAGAATACAAACTGGCCACAGAACTCAACCTGAGTGAGCACAAGTAACAAATATGGTCCAGGAACTGCTGGGCCAAACTCTCCAAGTGGGAGTGCAGCAGCCGCAACAGCAAGTACCAGTAGAACAAGGGCAGCACATCACCCAGGGTGACAAGCAGGTCCCAGATTACTTCACATGCCCTCTGCCCAGTCCCTTGAGAATTCCTGCAGCAGCAAAACATACCATCTTCCAGGCACTGCTACAGGGAGTCCCAAGCATACTGATACACTTTCATTCACTTATTTCAAAATATTTGTCAGTATCTAGATATACACAAGACACTGTCTAGGCACGGGGGTGGAGTGTTGAACAAGACAATTCACAATCCCTGTTCCAATGGAGCTTGTAGTCTAGTATGGAAAGAGAAATAAATACATAAAATGCCAGGTGGTGATATATGCTGTGAAAAAGATCAAGTAGAACAAGGGGTTTGGAAATTACAGGGTGCCCATAGTATTCTTTTCTATAAGTTGATCATCTCAATTCAGACTAGCTGTTCTTCAAGCACTCAATAGCCACAGTGGCTGGTGGCTACTATACTGGATAGTGGAACACATCTGAAACTATCATCCATGCCTTTTTAATTCACAATCTTTATCCTCTTTCTTTCTGAATCCTAAGAGAATTCATCCAACTGATCTTCAAATTCACTAACTCAGCTTCCTAAAGTATCCATAATCTACTGCAACTACTGAATCATTTAATTCAACAGTCATATTTTACATATTCAGAGGCTCTTTCTTCACAGCTTCTGAGCAACAAATGCCTGCTCTGACGATGCATGAATATCCTCTAAAATCTTGGGACTTTGTCTTGGACTTTATGTTCTCTCCCATCTTCTACAGCTACTCCATCTCACTGGAGACCTTTTGCTCTGAGCCATCAGAAGGAACCCCCATTTTTAAGATCCTAAGCCTTCTCATCTTCCTGGTAATACTGCCCTATATGCTCAATCTTTTAGATAAAAATCTACTCGACACATCTCTGAGAACCAAGTTGGGTACCATCAGTAATCACACAGGTCACAATTCATTTATTTTAGGCCCCCCAAAAAAGGAAAAAATTAGACTTAGTGGCATTTTACTAGTAGCTCAGAGATCCAACAGTTTGCAGGAAATAGAGATGTAATTGTAAGCAAGGGAAATACAGTGAAATTATATTAATCTCCACCCAGACACTGTAAGGCCAGCTGGTATACTATCCCAGCAATTGGCTACTGCAGTGAATGGCACAGAGAGAAAAGTTTCCAATTCCTCTTGAGGCTCCAAATACCAATTGGCTACTATAGTGGACAACACAGACATAGAAAGTTTTCCAATTCCTCTTAAAGCCCCAAATACCACACAACCAGCTTCAGCTCTACAAAATCCTCTCTCCCTTACCCTTTTTAACTTCCTTCAGGACCTCTTGCTATTTCCCCTAAAAAGCCTTGGTTCTTTTCACCTACACTGACTCTTGAGCCTCTCCCAGTTCAAGGTATAACACTCTATTACCAATAAAGTGTAATATACATTAACAGAATAGGTAGAAAGTAATCTTTCATACGAAAACACTAAAAGCCAGAAGAATTTGAATTTTGAATTATAAGCTATGATTTAATTAGGAAATACATTAGCTGTAACAAAATGTTGGACAGACTACAAGAAAACGGGAAATGAACAAGCCTTATTCAAAAACAAATGAAATAATGATGAGTAGGGTTCACGAGCCTTGTTAACTCTGCTGTGCCATTTTAATGATGGACTACATTGTAAATGAGCCGCTATGTTTAAGCCTAAAGGTCTGTTGAGGTGATAAGTTTTTGAACAATTTCCACAATCCCACAAAGAAAAGTCAAGTGAAGGTCAAGGAAAGCCGCATGTTCTAAATTACAGAATCAACAACAGTATTTCTTGTCATTCATCACATTTCAGTCATAAAAGACATTACCTCAACAACAGGTGTATTTTCCTGGAGATCAGTTTTGTGCGAAGCCAGTAAACCAATCACCCGAGCAACCTTGGCCCATCTGTAAACGGAGAGAAAACAGGCTCTGAAGAGAAGAGTCAGGGACTGAGGAAACTAACCCCAGCTAGTTACATTATGCAATGATGAGCATTAGATACAAGACTGTGAAATAAAAATTGAATGTGACAGGTCAGGCCCACACTCCCCCATGTACACAGCCCAGAGAAACTCTCCCTCGTATACACAGGGAGACATGAACTGTAATGTCTGCTGTAATTCTGCAACAGCAACAAAATTTAAACAAGTTATGGTGTAATAGTAAAAGGAAAAACAAAATTTGTTAAAAGCCTTAACCAGAGAAAAGAGCAACACAGTAATTAATCATTTTATTGCTGAGTACAGAGGCATTTGGCTAAAGGTCTCTTTTCTACTTGTTAGTAGATCAGTGAGTTTCTACGTAAGTGCTAAATATCTGAACAATAACATATCTGTATGTATTCATTTTAAAAGAAATTTTTACAATCAAAAGTTTCTAAAATATTGTACTATTTCCATAATCACTAGTCTTAATGAGGTGTGCCTTTAGTATCCAGCAGAAAACTGAATTTGATAAATCACAATTAATAAATCACATTCAGTGTGATTTGAAAAGGTATTTCATGCAGAAAAATTAGTTTTGATGAGAATTTTTTCTAATTGAAACAAATGGTGAGTTGATGAGAACTGCACTCATTGGGTGATGTCTGCATGTTGTCTGGAATAATCAATATGTACCTTAGTCAGCTTTTATTTTTTACCTTCTTAAAATAAACCTATGTGGCACCCATGGAGGAAAACAAATCAGACTCAGAGAAGTACTTCAGGGAAAATGTCTGCGTTATCACAACTCTAACATACAGAAATAATTCTTAGAAATTTCAACACTTATTAAATTGCCCATTAAAATTTCTTAACATATACAAATTAAAGAAGACCTAGGCAATTGTAGAACTAGCATCCTACCTCTGAATAAAAAGATTATAGTTTAAAAGTAATCATTTTGAAAAATATCTGTAGGATAATTGGAAAAGCCATCCTCCCACCACAACCCCCCAAGTAGCTGGGACTACAGGCATGCACCACCACGCTCAGCTAATTTTTTTACTTTTTGTAGAGATGGGGTCTCGCTATGATGCCCAGGCTGGCCTTGAGCTCCTGACAAACAATCCTCCCATCTCAGCCTCCCAAACTGCTGCGATTACAGGTCTGAGCCACTGCACCTGCCTGTCTATCTCTTTTCAAAGACAAGCTCAAAATACTTTTGAAACACTGAACCATTTTTCAATCTATAAAAGTAAATAATGGCTACCAGATTTAATCAATGGAAATAAAAATGTATCAACAAGCCAATTATTTTCCCTAATATGACCAAAACAATTCCTATTAGAACAAAAGAAAACACACTACCTAAAAACCCTATACTTTTAAAATAGAAACTTTAAATAGCTTATGAATAGTCACTTTTTACCAAAATCCTAAATACAAGTACCACATGCCCCATAGACAACACCCTCACAGTACAGGTTCCTTCTCAAAATTCAGGTTTTCTCAGGTCACCACTCCAGGTGCCCCCAGTGACTTGACACTGTACCTCAGAACCAACCCATCTCCATGACGGCATCTAAGGCACCACTGTCTACCAAACCTTCGTGCACTGACAAATGTCCCACATCTGCACTGTTCAATCCAGTATCCACTAGACACATGACTATCAAGCACATAATATATGACACATGCAAGTGAGGAACAACAAATTTTATTCAAATTAATTTTTTTTTTTGGGGGGAGACAGGGTCATCCAAGCTAGAGAGCAGTGGCGCAGTCTCCGCTCACTGCAATGCCTCCCGGGCTCAAGTAATCCTCCCAATTCAGCCTCCCAAGTAGCCGGGACTGTAGGTGTGTGTCACCACACCTGGCTAATTTTTGTATTTTTAGTAAAAACAGGGTTTCACCATGTTGTCCAGGCTGGTCTTGAACTCCTGAGCTCAACTGATCTGCCCACCTCAGCCTCCCAAAGTGCTGGGATTATAGGCGTGAGCCACTGTATTTGGCCTTAATTTTTATTTTAAAAATTACCCCCACAGTTGAGGGTGAGGGAGACAGTGCCCTGGGGTAATTAGTCATCTTTCATGTGCCTAGTCCTGGTTACCTCGTAAGTAGGACCGATAACAATACGTACCGCATGTTGTTAAAAGAATCAAAGGAGATAATCCATGTGCAGAAAGTACCATTGTGTCCGACAATACATGCTGAATGAGTAAGCTACTATTAATTTAACTAATTTAAATAACCCCCATGAAGTGAATGGCTACCACATTAGAGCAGAACTAAAATTTTGCAGTTACTTATTCATTCGTTGACTGGTTTATTGTCTGTCTCCTCGACCAGCCCAGAAGATCCATGAAGGCAGGGCTGTATCCCGATCGCCACTGTGACACCTAGACAGTGCTTGGAGCGCACTCGGGCATCTAAAAATGTTGGTTGAACAAATATATCAACATCAAAAGCAAAATAAACACATTAGTAGGAAAGGAGTGCATAAAAGTATGGCTGTCCAAGGCAAACAAAATGCAAACAGGATTGCCAATGTAAATCTCAGCAGAATTCAAGGCTAAACTCTTCAGAAGAAGATTCCCTTTAAACGAAACACCATATGACCTACAGAAGATCTAAGGTGTGAATCTTTATACACCAAATAACAAAGCACGCAAAGTAAACCCATGGTAGTGGTAAACTTCAATTTTCTTCTCTTCCAAGCACAGAGAGAAGGCAATAACGAATATATTAATCAATACATTCACACATTCAAGCATCCTAAATAAAACTAATGAAGTCAAAGTAACAGACGTATCTATCAAACTCTACACCCTACAAACAGTGACCACCCTTACTCAGTGGGAGGCTGCATAGGATGGTGTCTAACACTCTAGAATTCAAAGTCTTGGACCTAGCTCTGGCCCACCATTGGAGGTGAGGGAGACAGTACCCTGGGATAATTACTCATCTTTCATGAGCCTGGTTTCATGTTGTTCTAAGAATCAGGAGATAATCCACATGCAGAAATTACCACTGTGTCCTGACAATTTGTGCTGACTGAGCAAACTACTAGTACTACATTATTATCAATACTTGACTACATTCATGGCATACATTTAAAATGATTTTATATTGGACCACAAAGATAAATTATTAGAATTCCCTAGGGCAGAAATTATAAAGGACTCATTTTGATGTAACAAAAGGAAAAAAGTAAAAATAACAAATACAAACCAAAAAACCTAAACACGTGTGGAGTTAAAAGCACTTCTCCTGGGCATGGTGGCTCACGCCTGTAATCCCAGCACTTTGGGAGGCCAGGGCAGGCTGATTACTTGAGGTCAGAAGTTCAAAACCAGCCTGGCCAACATGGTGAAATGCCATCTCTACTAAAAAATACAAAAATTAGTCAGGCGTGGTGGTGGGCGCCTGTAATCCCAGCTACTTGGGAGGCTGAGGCAGGAGAATCGCTTGAACCCAGGAGGCGGAGGTTTCAGTGAGCCGAGATCGTGCCACTGCACTCCAGCCTGGGCAACAGAGCGAGACTCCGTCTCAAAAATAAATAAATAAATAAAATAAAGCACTTCTAAACCTTATACATCATATTAAAAAATAAAAACTTTGGCCGGGTACAGTGGTTCACACCTGTAATCCCCAGCACTTTAGGAGGACAAGATGGAAGGATCACTAAGGCCAGGAGTTCAAGACCAGCCTGGCCAACAAAGTGAGACCCTGTCTCTAAAAAAAAAAAAAAAAAAAAAAAAATTTAATTTAGCCAGGCATGGTGGCATGTACCTGTAGTCCCATTCCAGTCTGGGGAACACAGTGAGACCCTATTTTTTTTAGAGTGAGTCTCTAAAAATAATAATAATAAAAAATACATAAAAGAAACAAAAGGAAAAATAAAAGGGAAAGGGAAAGAAATAAAGCATCCCTAAATCACAATCGTGTAAGTAACACAGATGCAAACTTATGAGATATTCTCTGTCTTTAATGATTGCACACTGAACACTTGACACTCACTTTTCTGAACCCTCTAGAGTCTCTAAAATACAAGCTCTTTTTATTAAATGATAATTGGAAACAAAAAGGAGGGCTAAAAGTGGACTAGAAAGTTTGAGAAAATCTCAGATGACATGCACAAATAGAATTAAGACTGACAGAGAATCAACAAAGGAATCCCCTGTCTAAGAACCACAGGTAGACAGACGTTCCCAAGGAAGCCTCAGGGACTTGGAATAAACTAAGACAAAAAGAAAGAATGAGCCACAGGACAATAATCAGATTAAACAACTGCACAAGGAAAAATTGTGTCCTTGTACAAGGAACAGCAGAGCCAATCAGGTCCTGTCTCTTTTCCATCTCCCTTCCCTGGTACACAGAATAAACCCTGCAGCCCTGGCCTCCTGGGTAAATGTGGAAAATCATTCCTACAGTGAGCAATCCACCTTGCTCACTGGATGGATGGATGTGGGAAGCAGCAACTGTGGTCCTCCAGATACCGAAGCGGGGAAGGGAATAAATGAGGAAAGCCAGTTCCACTGCAAAGAAAAACCCACCCTGGCAATTGCAGAGGCCTCCAGCCTGCCTACTGATCTTCAGCCAGCTGGAATCCCAAATTAAAGTCAACCAGTCAACAGGCCTCACCTACCCACATACCAGCCCTTTCTTTAAAGGAGAAGCTATTGGAGAAAGAGACTTAGGCAAGAATAAAGGAAACTCATATTGCCAACTTCTATACCAATCAATTTAATCATTTATTCATAATATAAATGAAGAACCAGAGATCACCAGGCATTTGAGAAATAAACAGCATTAAAAAGCAGGACCATGATGAAAAAGAAGTGACCTGCAAGTTCAAGAGATAAGAATACAATGTTCATAATCCTAATTTTGTTCCCTTTTTTTCAAAGTCCAGGTTCCAGGCTTATATTATATAATCCTAATGTTTAGCCTTAAATATTAATAACAATATTTAATTCTAAATTCTGCTCCAAGACGAGGATTTTTATAATCCTAATATTTATCCTCAAATTCAAAAGTATATTATACACCAAATATAGGCAGCTAGGAAAAAGGACCAATCAGAGAAAAAGAAAATGAACAAAAACTTTCAAATATGATTGTTGAAATTAAAAAATTAACTGGAAATCCTAAATAATAAAATGAGTGGGGATAAATATCAAGTTTGAGAGCTCAAAGATAAAGTCAAGGAAGAGCAATAAAAGAAGAAAGTTTGCATGGACACAAAGAGGGAACAATCGACACGGGGGCCTATTTAGGGTGGAGGGTGGGAGGAGGGAGAGGATCAGAAAAAATAACAATTGGTCCTTACCAAGCTTAGTGCCTGGGTGACCAAATAATTCATACAACAAACCCCCATAACATGAGTTCACCTATATAACAAACCTGCATGTGTACCCCTGAACCTAAAATAAAAGTTTAACAAAGAGACTTTGGCAGTTCTTCAAAAGGTTCAACACAGAGTTACCATTTTATCCAGCAATCTCACCACTGTAGGAGAAATAAAAACGTATATGTTCACACAAAACCCTGTGGACAAATGTTCAGAGCACCATTATTCATAATAGCCAAATGTGGAAACAACCCCAAATGTCCATCAAGACCACATAAGCAAAATGTGGAATAGCCATACAAAGATTATTCAGCTAGAAAAAGAATGAAGTACTCACACATTCCACCATACGGAGGAACCTTGAAAACATTATGCTAAATGACAGAAGCTAGACACAAAAGGCCACACACTGTATGATTCCATTTATATGAAATATCAAGAATAGCAAATCAGCTGACAAGAAGTAGATTAGTTGTTGCCAGGGGTTGGAGAAGAATGGGTACTGGGTTTCACTGGGTGAGAAAACTGTTCTGAAATTAGATAGTGGTGATGGTTGAACAGTTTTCAATATACTGACACCTACTGAACTGTACACATTAAAATGGTGAATTTTATGGTATGTGAATTATATCTCAATAAACAAGAGCAAGTGAGAAAGCAAAAGAAAATTTGAAAGAAGAGTCAAGAGACACAAACTCCCACACCCATCCTGTAGGGGTTTCAGGAACAGAAAAAGGGTGAAATAGAGAGGAAGAAATCTAGGAAGTAATATAATAGCTAAAGGAGGGGTGAGGAGGCTGGGCATTGTGGCTCACACCTGTAATCCCAGCACTTTGGGAAGCCAAGGCGGGAGGATCACATGAGGTCAGGAGTTCGAGACCAGCCTGGCCAACATGGTGAAAACCCATCTCTGAACTAAAAATACAAAAATAAGCTGGGCATGGTGGCGTACACCTGTAATCCCAGCTACTTATGAGGCTAAGGCAGGAGAACTGCTTGAACCCGGGAGGCGGAGGTTGCAGTGAGCCAAGATTGCGCCACTGCACTCCAGCCTGGGCAACAGAGCAAGACTCTATCTCAAAATAAATGGAAAGAAAAGAAGGGAAGGAAGGGACGGGAGGGGGGAAGGAAGGGACGGGAGGGAGGGAGAGAGAGAGGAAGGGAAGAAGGAAGGAAGGAATTAAGGAAGGAAGGAAGGAAAGAAGGAAGGAAGGAAGGAAGGCAGGCAGGCAGAAGCAAATTAGTAAAAAGAGATGGCAGGCAGGCAGGCTGAAGCAAATTAGTAAAATGAAATTCCTAGAGACAATCTAGTAAAATTTACAGGCCTGGAATAAAAAGAAAAGCTAACTCAAACAAGACCTACAAAATAGGGAGGAAAAAAGAAGGTAAGGTTGACTCCCAAGTCCTACAGAGCTACAGTTAGTAAAGAGAAGACAGCTCAAACTCCAAAGCATGGCACAGAGGTAAGCCACTGAGAGGCCTTCTTGAAAACAAAACAAAACAAAAAATCTACCAGCTGGGTGCGGTGGCTCACACCTATAATCCCAGCACTTTGGGGGGCCAAAGCGGGTGGATCACCTGAGGTCAGGAGTTCAAGACCATCTGGCCAACACGGTGAAACCTCGTCTCTACAAAAATACAAAAATTGCTGGGCATGATGGCAGGTGCCTGTAATCCCAGCTACTTGGGAGGCTGAGATGGAATGATCGCTTGAACCTGGGAGGCAGAGGTTGCAGTGAGCCGAGATCACGCCACTGCACTCCAGCGTGGGCGACAGAGCGAGACTCAATCTCAAAAAAAAAAAAAAAAAATTGGCAAATGACTTGACTAGACCTTTCTCCAAGGAAGATATACAAATAGCCAACAATCACAAAAAAAGATGTTCAACATCACTAGTCACAAAATACAAATCAAACCCATGAGATACTAACTTCACACCCATCAGGTGTGAAAACACTAATGTTCATAGCAGCATTGTTCACAATAGCCAAAAGATATAAACAAGCCAGTGCCCAACAACAGATGAAAAGATAAACTGTGGTATATTACATACAAAGGGATATTATTCAGCCTTAAAAAGGAATGAAATGCTGACACATGTTAGTTACAACATGGATAAACCTTGCAAATGAAACCAGCCCAATTGTCCTATAGAACTGATGTTTACAGTCTTTTAAAATAAAGATAGAAATTGACCCTCCCAGTCTTAAAACTTGAGAAAGTTACATTTGTCTTATCTGAGTTCCTTTCTTGGGAAACCAACCATCAGGCCTCCCAGATAGTTATCAAGGAACTGAAACTTACCAGATCACCACATCTGGACCATAAGACACCAGACCACCTCACCCATCACAATTGCCTAACCAACTACCTGCTTCCTGTCGACCAACTCCTCTCCCTCACCCTTCCCTAACTCCTGTTTTCCCATACGTGGTTACATTTCTTCCCTGCTAAATAAACCCGTGGTTTTAGTCAGTCGAGGAGACAAATTTGAGATTGATCTCCCATCTCCTTAGCTGCAGCACCCAATTGAAGCCTTGTTCCCTAGCAACACTCATCGTCTCCGTGATTGGCTTTCTGCGCTGTGAGCAACAGGACCTAGACCAAACCCCTCGATGTTTCAGTAGCAATATGAGGTACTCACCATAAGCAAATTTACCAACATAGAATAAGTAGAGTATAGGTTACCAGGACTGGGGAAGGGAAAGGAAAGGGGAAGTTATGTTTAACGGGTAAAGAGCTTCTGTTCAAGATGACGAAAAAGTTCTGGAAATGAATAGTGGTGATGGTTACACAACAATGGGAATGAACTAAATGTCACTGTACACATAAAAATAGCTAAAATGGAACATTTTAAATTATGTGTAATTTACAAGTAACACATTTTAAAGTTACAGTATTACACTATTACTATATATGAATTATACCTCATAAAGTTGATTGGCAAGGATAAAAGGATATACAATTTGATAAATACTCAACGTTGGAAGTTCTAACAAAAGGCATTTTAAACACATTGACTGGGATTATCTATTGATACAATGTTTTTTTAAGAGTATTTCAGCAATTTTTCAGAAGTCACAAAGATATTTACTGCCTTCTACCCATTTGTTCTAGTTCTATGAATCTTTCCTAAAGGGAAAAAGAAAAAGCGGGCACGAAGATTTAATCTCAAAAATGTTCATCAAAATGTTGTTTACAACATTATAATACTATCCAAAAATAGTAAACAAAATGATCAGATATTCACAACATATAAAACGTTTACCTTAAGTATTATGTATTTTATTTTAAAATGTTGATAACATTTAAAATACATAATATATATGTTATGGGGGAAAACAAACATAAAAAACTATATCATGTGATTCTAATTTTTTATAAGCAAAACAAAACTAAGTATCTACTTCAATAATAATTATCTCCCAGACTAAGTTAAGGACCCTTTATCATATGCTATCAAGGTAATATAACCTGAGGTCAGAGAAAACCTCGCTGGAAGTGGCTTTGGATGGAGAAAGAGAATAAAAGAAGATTCCTACCAGAGAACTTGTCTACCTCACTATCATTTTATTCAAATTAAAACTGTTTTACAATCAAACCTCAATTTTTAACAGTGGGGGAAAAAACAGTATGTGTTAATTTTAGTATCCAAGGGGATACTAGAACCATTCTCCTGGCTGATACAGAGGGATGACTGTTCTCGGAAATGATTTGGAATGTCTGTCTGAAAATGTCAGCAGGGAGCACCCCATTCAGGTATATAACACGTTTTAAATAAAAGTGTTTAAATACATATTTCATTGATTCATTTTTAATGAGCATACCATAAGCCTTCTCAAAGTATTAAATGCTCAACCATTACCTAAAAATCCTACTTTCTATTACCAGATTTTACTTTGCGAGAGTAACATTAGAAGACGTATAATAAGAATTACCCTTATTATTAAACATTTTCTAAACTCCTATTGTTTCACCCATATTTCACCAGCATAGAAGAATAATTATTATACCACTGCCACAATTCACAAAATCCTTTCACCTCCGTTTTTTCATGTGCCTGTCCTAACAATCATGAGATAAGCAAGCTTCATGATAATAACTACAACTTCTACAACCCCAACCCCACTGTCAATGAAATACCCACTAAGAATCAGGCACTATACGGCCAGGCACGGTGGCTCATGCCTGTAATCCCAGCACTTTGGGAGGCTGAGGTGGGCAGATCACGAGGTCAGGAGATCGAGACCACGGTGAAAAAAATTAGCCGGGCGGGCGCGGTGGCGGGCGCCTGTAGTCCCAGCTACTAAGGAGGCTGAGGCAGGAGAACGGCGTGAACCCGGGAGGCGGAGCTTGCAGTGAGCTGAGATCGCACCACTGCTCTCCAGCCTGGGTGACAGAGGGAGATGCCGACTCAGAAAAAAAAAAAAAGAAAGAAAGAAACAGGCACTATACCAGGTATCTCACATATTTACCACATTCAAAGTTGAATAATTACCAAAAATCTATGAAGTAGTTATCCCATCCCAATTTTACAGATGAGGAAACTGCGGCTCAGCAATTAAAGTAATTGGCCCAGAAAGCAGATCTTTGATCCACACCCAGGTCTGTCTGAATCCTAAACCTATGCCATTTCCTTGTCCCACCCACACTCCCCAGGAAACAGAGATTGAGAAAAAGATAATCATTTGGCCAAGTCTTATAGGCAACAGGAACCCAGAGCCTTCTAACACTTGATCTACGGTGCTTTCCACCTGGTATGTTGCTTCTATAAAAAGTAAGGACACTTCCTTCCATCGGGAGTTTATAAATCATAATTAATCTCATTAGATTATAAATAACATCATAGGGAAGCTATGTGCTACATAGGGACAGATAAGGGTGCCCAAGGGAAACTTTGAGGAAGTATAACTAAATTAATACACAGGGATCAGGGTTGAAGTATTTTATAACCAATACTCAAAACAGTAACAGTTAGCCTGGCGCAGTGGCTCACGTCTGTAATCCTAACACTTTGGGAGTCAGAGATGGGAGAATCACTTGAGCCCAGGAGTTGGAAACCAGCCTGGGCAACATAGTGAGAGACCTTGTCTCTACAAAAATAAAAGAACAACAACAGTTAATAAAGTTTCCAGGAGTAGCTTAGATAATCCCAGAATCGTATCTATATTAGGAGAAGGGCTATTTTTAAATATTCTAAAGTTTATAATTGGAATGCCCATAAAAATTGCCTATGAGTAGATTCATCATTACATCAGAAAAATTTATGATAATTACTTAGGACTCTGCTTTTGATAAATATGTATGCTGTAACTACTTAATAAAACCATGAGAAATAATTTTTAAAATGTAAATGTTACTTACATATCACAGTTTGCAGCTATCCACAAATGCTGGATTAGCAATTGGAACTAGAATAAAAAATGTAAATGTAAAAAAAGAAAAAATTAAAATATTTAAGTCATGAAACACAGAAAGTGACAGCAAAGTTAAAAACTCAGATCTTTATAAAAAGGAAATTTATACTGTACACCAAAAATGATATTTGCTAAATTACAAAGGCACTTGTATATGAATAAGATTAAAATAAAAACTAAGAACAGTACTTTTAGTTTCTCCTACCACTTTATATTCTCTAAATGACAGCCCTTACCTGATAGACACACGCCAACTATCAAAAAAAGCAATCTTAATACCATCCTGGAAGCAAGTGAACTTACATTTTTTTCAAGCCAATTCCCAAATGAGGGCCCACTACAGAAAACACCTCCGAACCACTGTAATTCCTTTCTGAGGATGACTCCAAACACTCTGCCAATCGATGCTAAACATGAGCCAAAAGAAACAAAAAAACTCTGACAAATTCCCATGAGCTTACCAATGGACCAAGATTGTCCAAAAAGTAATATTCCCAGAGGATAGGAAAAAAATGTCTTAGAGGGTTGATGTCTGCCTTCAATGTCACAGCAGAAACCTTGCAGTTTACCAGATGACCCAGTAAAGGAACCAACACCCACAACCCGTTCCACATGGGCAGTTAATTCCAGTCACTGATGAGAAGGGAAAAGGTCTGTCTTATGATATCACATTTTTTTTTGTTTGTTTTTTGTTTTTATTTTTTGAGATGGGGTTTCGCTCTTTTTGCCCAGGCTGGGGTGCAATGGCATGATCACGGCTCACTGCGACTTCTGGCTCCTGGGTTCAAGTGATTCTCCTGTCTCAGCCTCCCAAGTAGCTAGGATTACAGGAGTGCACCACCACGCCCTGCTAATTTTGTATTTTTAGTAGAGATGGGGTTTCGCCATGTTGGCCAGGCTGGTTTCAAACTGCTGACCTCAGGTGATCCACCTGCCTCGGCCTCCCAAAGTACTGAGATTACAGGCGTTCATTCCAGTCACTGATGAGAAGGTAAAAGGTCTGTCTTATGATATCACGCCCGGCCTGATTTCACATATTTTTTAAAAATCTTACAAGTTAACATAAAATGGAAACCTGAGTATTACAAACAACAACAACAACAAAAAGTTCAAAATCACCGTCTACTCTTATCTACTTTAAGACGTAAGGATTAAGCAGAGGATAATTTGCATAAACCTAAAATCGTGATAAATCAGTTTTTTCATGGTAGTTAAATCAAATTGCTATTTTAGCACTTGTTTGAGCCTCTATAAAAAACATAAATTTAAATGCATAAGTCATGTCACAGAGGCCTACCAGCGGGGAAAGGAGGAGCCTGGTGGCCACCTCCTGGTGACCAGCCACCACTCACAAACAGCAAAGGAGATTAAGCTTGGCTCAGGAGGTCCCCGAGCTCTTCTCACTGGAGTCGATCTGCGAGCACACTTGTTACAAAAAGTCATTCCAATCTTGGTCTTTCAGAAATTATAACTTATCCATTGCCAAGGAAAGAAAATAACAAAAGTATGATGATGAGAAAAACAACTGCTGGAAACATTACATGAGAAATAAACACAGAGTTACGACAGCTAAGATGAGGACAAAGAAAACATTACTCTGTCAACACCAAAAATACTCCAAAGATGACACTACTTCTATTTGTCCTTCTATATTCCTCATCTCTTTATCTATCCATGGAAACTTTTTAAACACTTCAATGGAAAACTATGCTTTCAAACCAAGCAGATGTCTAAAGCAGAATTGTCTCACAACCTAGATTATAACAAAATGCAAAGTTCAATACAACTGGAGTAAAAGACAAAAAAGCCTTTGTATAAATAAATCAACTCTCAGATATTGAGAAAAGCACAAACCACACAGTTATTAAAAAGTTCCAATGAAATTACTGTAAAAAAATAACGAGGATAACATGATAGCTAAAATCACCTGAAATTCCTACCTCCAAATCCCTATAAAAAAAGGGCAAAATCTAGGAAATGTGATACTCCCTAAAATTTTTTGCTAACATGTTTTTGCTGATCTCAATCTTTAGACAAAGAAATTGTAAATATAATTTCCTAAGTAACTCAAAGAAGAAAAAGGAAATAGTATTTCCCAATAATAATTCTCTAGGTTTGCATAAATAGACCTACTTGGCACTGAAAGCACTATTAATATTTTGCTTCACTTTGGTCTTTCAAAAACGTCCTTCTACACAGGTTTTTTTGGTTGTTTTTATCACTAATTAAGTTGACTGATATAAACCCTTAGCTGGTTTATTTAAACCTAAATATATTTTAAATTTACTTCAAATCATAGATTCTACTCTAGCCACAATGAATAATTTTCCCCAAATTGAGTTTAACAGCTTAAAATATAATTTGTTAAAAAAAAAAAAGTTTAAGGTATGTAAAAATTTCTGACTTTCACCGTAAATAAGATTTTCATTAGCTCAACAGAAATGTAATAATTATCCCTTAAGTATCTCCACTCCCACACCATCTCCACAGTCATGAACCACCTAGTCCCGTTCTCAAATGTCCTGGTCCCGCCAATAGAATCCCAATCCTTCCTTGTTGTCCCCAACCCTGTGCACCTACACCTGCCATAAATGGTGGAAATTCAACCAGCTCTATGAACGGAAGGGAGGAGGCCCCCCACCCACTCTACAGGAAAACTTGCCCAGATCTACAGGAACCTCCCCACTCACAAGAGGACAGGGCAGCCCAGACTCAGCTGAGAAATGTCAACAGCTGGCACAAATGAATTACAGATTATTTACAATTCACATAACACTGACCCAAGAATATAACCAATTGTCAAGACAAAATAAATTTAGTTGTTCACATACAAATATTCCATTTGTGAATAAATTTCATATTCGTATCTGTATACAGACAGTCTACATGTTCGATAAGTCCTTTATGATCCTACCTGAAAATGCTGGTAGATGCAATATTTTTGCATCAAATTTAACCGATGGTGGTTGTTTCATTATCTGTGGTTAAAAAAAAAAAAAACTTTTGAGGCAATTTTAAAGATGGATATCTGTCTCCTTATATGTCCCTTATATCAGATAATAAATCAATGAGGACAAAAAAAGAATGTGTAAAATTTGTTACCAAAAACAAAAAGAACGATGCCTTTTCAGATTAAAACATACATATATAGATAATAATTTATTTTTTAAAATCATTTCAATTGATATCTGTAATAAAATAAAGCTTCAAAGAAAAAATTCACCCCATCCTGGCTTACTTTTTAGGTAATTTACCTCTAATTAGAAATTCAGTCTTTCAACAAATATCTATTGCTTACCTGCCAAGGTAAGGCTCTATGTCAAGTGCTAAGGGGGATACAAAGATATAAAAGACACAATCCTATTTTCAGCGAGCTGACTTTCTGGTTGGGAAGATGAGACAAACATTTGATAAACAAGAAAATATTTCACAATTCAAAAGAGGCAGGACATAACTACAGACAAAACCCTGGACAGAAAGAATTTTTTTTGTAAATAGTAGTTTAGAGAATACAGCAAGCACTTTACTTGATATAGTTGACACCGGGTTTACGGAAGAGGTAGAAGGTGGGTTGCGGTCTTGAAGGATGGCTAGAACTTTATGATTATATCAGAGAAGACACCATTCAAGGAAGCCATAATAGCATGAATTGGAAAGTGCATAATTTATTTCAGAAATGTGAAGAAACCATGTAGTTGGATCCATGAGCTTAGGACAGCCAGATACTGCATCTTGAGACTTTTAATTAAAAATTCAACCATCATTTCTATACCTAACTTCTGCAAAACTTCTATATGTAATATTTTTAAAACCTTTACTAATTAAGTAACCAGCATTACTGTACTTACTGTAGTATTCTTACTAAAATGCATATTCTCATTCTAATCTCATAATCCAAATTCATAATCTCATTTGAGTCATGAGAAACCCTTAGACAAACCTAAATTAAGGGACATTCTTCAAAACACCCAACCAGTTACTCTTCAAAGTGTCAAGGACTTGAGTCATACGTTTTATAACATGTATTACAAAAACATACAAAGGCCAGGTGCCGTGGCTCACGCCTGTAATCCCAGCACTTTGGGAGGCCTAGGCAGGTGGATCATGAGGTCAGGAGTTCAAGACCAGCCTGGCCAACATGGTAAAACCCCATCTCTACTAAAACTACAAAACTTAGCCAGGTGCAGTGGCAGGTGCCTGTAATCCTAGCTACTCATGAGGCTGAGGCAGGAGAATAGCTTGAACCCGGTCGGCAGAGGTTGCAGTGAGCTGAGATCGCGCCACTACACTCCAGCCTGGGTGACAAAAAACAAAACAAAACAAAATAAAAGACAAACTGTCAAGGTCATGAAAGACAAGCAAAGTCTGAGAAATTCTGACAAAACCGTGAAAAACTAGGACAGACTATATGAGACTAAGGAGGCATAACAACTAACTGTAATGTGGGATCCTGGAACAAAAAAAAAGAGGACATTAGAGGCAACCGGTAAAATTCAAATGCATTTGGTAGTTAGCAGCACTATTCTCATGTTTTATTTTTCCCTTTTCAGGAAGAATTCGAAAGGAGCAGTCAGGGTATTGCATGCCATCATTACACAGAGATATGAATCAAGTATCATGCAACTCCAACTACCACATTCTGCTGCCCTCCAAAAGGAGGCACAGGTAAGGATTATCCCGCCTGACTAACACTATACCAATGTTAATTCCCAGGTTTTGCTAACTATACTATAGACCTATAAGATGTGAACATTAAGAGCAGCTGGGCAAAAGCTATACAGGAGTTCTCAACTATTTTTTAATCTTTTCTCTAAAAGTAGTTTAGAATTAAAAGTTAAACACAAAAATTTCCACTGATGAAGGCTTCCCATAAACTATCAAATATGGTTATAAGAGGAAAAAAGGAAACACAGAATATTGTGTAAAGCAAGCTTGTCCAACCCGCAGCCCGTGGGCTGGATGCGGCCCAAGACGGCTTTGAATATGGCCCAACACAAATTCATAAACTCTCTTAAAACATTGTAAGAATTTTTTTGCAATTTTTTTTTATTGGTTTTTTAGTTCATCAGCTATTGTTAGTGTATTTTATGTGTGGCCCAAGACAATTCTTCTTCCAGTGTGGCCCAGGGAAGCCAAAAGACTGGACACCCCTGGGAAAGATATCACAAATTGTTCTAGAAAGCCCATTTTGAAAATGCGCCAATGCACATCAAACTTAGCATAATAAAGTTACACTGCCAGACATATGAACTCACAAAAAGAATTAGCTCCATTATGAAAAACAGCTAAATCATCTATATAAAATGCTGTCTATCTAGAAAATAAACATGAATCCAAAAACCCTTACATTGTTCTAAACCACACTAATGTTCCCAATGAGACAAGAAAAAAACAGTCATGAATTAATACAGAAAAAGATATTTAAAAAAGAAAAAGAAGGCCAGGTGTGGTGGCTCATGCCTGTAATCCCAGCACTTTGAGAGGCCGAGGTGGGTGGATCACAAGGTCAGGAGATCGAGACCATCCTGGCTTACATGGTGAAACCCTGTCTCTACTAAAAATACAAAAAATTAGCAGGGCGTGGTGGCGGGCACCTGTAGTCCCAGCTACTTGGGAGGCTGAGGCAGGAGAATGACATGAACCTGGGAGGCGGAGCTTGCAGTGAGCCAAAATCGCGTCATTGCACTCCAGCCTGTGTGACAGAGCAAGACTCTGTCTCAAAAAAATAAAAAATAAAAGTAAAACTAAAAAAAAGTAAAAGAAGCAGTAAAGTTAAAATAGAGAATAAGTAGTGGAATGTGAGTATGTTGGGGAGCTGGAAGTCAAGACAAAACAGAGGGACTTAGAAATGCATCTGTTTTTTAAAGTAAATACTCATTATCCCCCAGCAATAAAGTATTATATTCCAAAAGACAAGAAGCAAAAAAACTCACAGTGGTTTAGAAGTACATTGTGAACCATGACTCCTCAAGTTCCCATAGTGTCTCCCCACCATCTCCCCTGCAGTATTAACAACCTGTGACAGGGCAGGGCTTCCGTGTGATCTGCCTGCCCAGCCCAGCCTGGTGAGCAGTGCCCTCTGACTGCTTCTGCCTTCAAAACACATCAGAGACTAGAATACTTAGAGTGATTCACATTAGTGCAGATGGAGAAACGATGGGACTGAGAGCTAAGGTCTGAGGTCAAGAGGCTGGCAACCCCTCCGTGGCATGTGGAAGAAAGCAGTAGTGAGAAGCAGAGCTGACTCATTCAAAACAGAGGGGGGAAAACTTAGAACTCCAGTGAAGTGGAAGTGAAGGCAGAGGAAAGGGTTGCAGACAGAGCGGGAGCTGGAAATGCAGACATGCAGCACAAATGAAAGAGTAGCGGACAAGAGAAACAGGAAAGATTAGACAGTAAATAATATTCTGAATGAAAATCTTATGCAGATTTCAGATCTCAGTAAAGTCTACAACTCACTTGTCAGAGTGCTTTCTGCACCTTTGGATTGTCAATAATGGGGGTGACAACAAGATCTGAGTCGTGTAGATAAGCTCTCTCATCTGGGATTCCAGGTCCTGCTGACTCAGGTGTCCACTTGTAATCTGAAATGAGAACAAAAATTTGACTTTGTTTCTGTGACTAATATAGAGCTTTAAAACACTGAACTAATATGATGCTGAGGAAGACACCACTGTAAAATATCACCTATATCAATGTACTTCCACTGCTATTCAAGACACTTGCAGTCTCACTTGATTTTCACAAAAATCCTAAACTGTAGGTACCATAATTTCCATTTTACAGATAAAAATATAAAACTCTGAGAAAGTAACTGAATTGCTCATGTTACCATTAAAACTGGCTAGGACTACAAAAAAGATCTTTACAATTCAACGTTCTAAACTCTGATGAGGCAAACTGCTTTTTTGATTACCAGCATGGTTTTTTTTGGTTTTTTTTTTTTTTTAGGGATGGAGTCTCAGTCTGTCACATAGGCTGGAGGGCAGTGGTGCAACCCTGGCTCACTGCAACCTCTGCCTCCTGGGTTCAAGTGATTCTCCTGCCTCAGCCTCCCAAGTAGTGGAATTACGGGTGTGCACCACCATGCCCAGCTAATTTTTTTTTTTTTTTTTTTTTTTGAGACAGAGTCTTGCTCTGTCACCAGGCTAGAGTGCAGTGGCGCGATCTCAGCTCACCACAACCTCTGTCTCCTGGGTTAAAGTCATTCTCCTGCCTCAGCCTCTCCAGTAGCTGGGACAAGGTTTCACCATGTTGGCCAGGCTGGTCTCAAACTCCTGGCCTCAGGTGATCCACCTGCCTCGGCCTCCCAAAGTGCTGGGATTATAGGTGTGAGCCACTGCACCCGACCCATGGCTTTATTTTTCATTCATAGAATGCTGATCAATTTATTTCTGCTTTACAGAATATTCAATGTGAAGTTGAAACTGTAACATACAAAAATTTTCAGACTTAAATACAGACCGGTTACCTAAGTGTTAAACCTCAATTATTTATTAAGCCTCATTAGAGATGATACATAATAAAATCAATCACCAGACATTCACCATCAGTTATTCCTTTGAGATGGTTCTTTGTGCTCTATTTAAACATAATTTGTATTCCTAGTGCTATGCCCCAGTATTTCCCATCAGAAAAAAAAAAAGGATTTATGCTTAAGAACCTTAAAAGAAACAATGACTAGCAAACTAAATAAAATAGAAAAGTAAATCAGTGAAGTAAGGAAGAAGGAAAATAAATTATCCAAAACTAGTGAGGAAGGGTCATAGATAAAGGAACAGAGTTAGCTAAGAAAATTCCTGGAAACCCAAGGTGCCCCTTGCAACTCAGATGAAAGATATACGAAAACACACAAAGAGGCCGAGGCCGGGCACGGTGGCTCAAGCCTGTAATCCCAGCAATTTGGGAGGCCGAGGCGGGTGGATCACGAGGTCAGGAGTTCAAGACCAGCCTGACCAACATGGTGAAACACTGTCTCTACTAAAAATACAAAAATTAGCTGGGTGTGGTGGCATGTGCCTGTAATCCCAGCTACTCAGGAGGCTGAGGCAGGAGAATCACCTGAACCTGGGAGGCGGAGGTTGCAGTGAGTTGAGATTGTGCCACTGCACCAATTAAAACAATTGTATGCAAAAATTAGTTTCCTATAGGTAAATTGAGTGTAGGCACAAATGCCAAGTTATAACAAATATCCCACTCACAATAGCAAAAATATATAAAACAAAATGTTCAGGAATAAACTAAATGATCAATAATTGCAATGAGATCATGATCATTAAATGAAAATAATCGTTATAAAATTATACTCTCTTGCTTCAAAGTGAACACATTATGTATAAAACCAGAAGTAGTAATATCAAAATGTATGAGATGTATGAGGTTACAGTGAACTATGATGGTGCCACTGCACTCCAGCCTGAGCAACAGGCTCTAAAAAAAAAAAAAAAGGTAATCAGTGTTTACTTGGGAATTACATTGTAAATAATTTTTCTATTGTCTTTGTCCTCTTTTATATTTTACAAGTTTTTTACAATTATATATGTTTTGTAATAGAATAAAAAGTATCATTTAAAAATTATAAAACATAAGGCCAACACAGTGGCTCACACCTGTAATCCCAGCTCTTTGGGAGGCCGAGGCGGGCAGATCACTTGAGTCCAGGAGTTTCAGACCAGCCTGGACAACATGGGGAAACCTCTACTAAAAATACAAAAAATTAGCCATGCATGGTGGCGCACACCTGTAGTCGCAGCTACTCAGGTGGCTGCGATGAGATGAGATAAGCACCTAAGCCCAAGAAGTTGAGGCTGCAATGAGCCATGATCGTGCCACTCCACTCCACCCTGGGTGACAGGAGTGAGGCTCTGTCTCAAAAATAAATAAATACCGAGATATATATGTAAAATAAACTACCTTAGGTATTCACATTATTGATTATATTTTCTCAATAGAATGATTATATATTCCTCTTTATAACCATCTGCCAGAAGAGCTTCAACATCTATCGCATTTCAGAATGAATTTTTTTTTTTTTTTTTTTTTTGAGACGGAGTCTAACTCTGTCGCCCAGGCTGGAGTGCAGTGGTGCGATCTCAGCTCACCGCAACCTCCGCCTCCCAGGTTCACACCATTCTCCTGCCTCAGCCTCTCAAGTAGCTGGGACTACAGGTGCCCACCACCACACCCGGCTAATTTTTTGTATTTTTAGTACAGATGGGCTTTCACTGTGTTAGCCAAGATGGTCTTGATCTCCTGACCTTGTGATCTGCCCTCCTCAGCCTCCCACAGTGCTTGGATTACAGGTGTGAGCCACTGCGCCCGGCCCAGAATAAATTTTTAAATTTACATTGATTTTCTATTTCACATAACCAAAAAATTAGCACAGTCAGATTTTATTATAACCAATTTATACTAAATTTCAAAGCAGAAATAAGCTTCACAAGGTCCAAATACAGTTCACATTACATCAAAACTACAGTTAAAAACTAAAAGCAATTATATTTGTCAACCAATAAGTAGCATAAAAATTACTTAGAATTAATTCAAAGTAGGTCTGCATTCAACACAACTACGATTGAAAGAAATTAAAGGAAGACCTAAATAAGTACAAATACATCCTGTGTTCGTGGAGGAAAACTTAATATTGTTAAAATGGCAGTACTTTCTAAGTTGATCTACATATTCAATGCGACTGTGATTAAAATCCCAGCTGGCTCCTTTGCAGAAACTGACAAGCTGATCTTAAAATTCATATGGAAATGCAAGTGACCCAGAACAGCCAAACCCACCTTAAAAAACTTTCTGGAGGATTCATACTTTCTGATTTCAAAGCTTACTAAACAGCTACAGTAATCAAGAGTGTGCTACTGGTATAAGGACAGATGAACAGAGAAAAGAATAGAATCCAGAAATAAACTTTCACATATACAGTCAATTGATCTTCAATAAGCGTTCCAAGACAATTCAATGGGGAAAGAATAAGCTTTTCAACAGATAGTTCTGAGATAACTGGATGTCTAGGTGCAAAACAATGAAGCTATACCCCCCTACTTCATGCCGCATGCAAAAATTAATTCAAATGGATAAAAGAGCTCAATATAAGAGATATTGATAAACTATAAAACTCATAGAAAAAAACATAGGCAGAAACCTTTGTGACCTTGGAGTAGCAACGTTTTTTTAGATATTACACCAAAAGCACAAGGAGCAAAAAAACACAAATGAAAAAAGATAAATTGGACTATATCAAAATTTAAAATCTTTCTGCTTCAAAGGACACCATCAAGAAAGAAAAAAGACAATCCAGAAAAAGGAAGAAAGTTGTTATAACTCCTATCTAGAATATGTAAAAAATTCTTACAGCTAAATAATAAAGAGATACATAACCCAATTAAAAATAAGTTAAATTTTGGAATAAGTATTTCCCCAAAAAAACAGACAAATGGCCAATAAACACATGAAAAGATACTCAACATCATTTGCCATCAGGTAAATGCAAATCAAAACCACTAAGACATAGAAATTCACACCTACTAGCTGGGCGCAGTGGCTCACACATGTAATCCAAATACTTTGGGAGGCGGAGACAGGTGGATCATTTCAGGTCAGGAGTTCGAGACCAGCCTGGCCAACATGGTGAAACCCCGTCTCTACTAAAAATACAAAAATTAGCCAGCTGGTAGTGGTGCATGCCTATAATCCCAGCTACTCGGAAGGCTGAGGCAGAAGAATTGCTTGAGCCTGGGAGATGGAGGTTGCAGTGAGCCAAGATCATGCCACTGCACTCCAGACTGGGCGACAGAGTCAGACCCTGTCTCAATCAATCACTCAATCAATGGAATTTCACACCTGCTAGATGTGAAATAGGATGGCGATCATGAGAAAGACAGGCAATGCAAACCTATTCACAATAGCCAATAGGTGGATGCAACCCAAGTATTCATCAACAGAGGAAAAGATAAAAAGGCATATTAAATACATACAAGGGAATATTATTCAGCCTTAAAAACAAATGAAATTCTGGCACATGCTACAACATGGATGAACGTTAAAGACATTATGCTAAGTGAAATAAGCCAGGCACAAAAGGACAACTACTATATGAGACCACTTATGCCAGCAGTCCCCAAACTTTTTGGCATCAGGAGCCAGTTTTGCAGAAGACAATTTTTCCACAGACAAGGTTGGGGGAGATGATTTTGGGATGATTCAAGGACATTACATTTATTGTGCATTTTATTTCTATTATTATTACATTGTAACATATAATGAAATAATTGTACAACTCACTATAATATAGAATCAGGGCTGGGCACGGTGGCTCACGCCTGTAATCCCAGCACTTTGGGAGGCCAAGGTGGCCAGATCATGAGGTCAGGAGATCGAGACCATCCTGGCTAACACGGTGAAACCCCGTCTCTACTAAAAAATACAAAAAATTGTTGGGGCGTGGTGGCTGGCGCCTGTAGTCCCAGCTACTCAGGAGGCTGAGGCAGGAGAATGGCGTGAACCTGGGAGGCGGAGCTTGCAGTGAGCCCAGATTGCACCACTGCACTCCAGCCTGGGTAACAGAGCGAGACTCCCTCTCAAAATAAATAAATAAATAAATAAATAAAAAATAAAAAAACTACAAATGATAAGCAACATAGAATAGATATGTAAGGAAAGGCTTTAAAAAGGAAAATAAGATCAATATAAACTAAGAAAGAATTATTACAGAACAAAGAGATTCTAGGGAGAAGACAAAAGAGTATCAAAATCACTTCGTAAAGATACTTGTGAATATATTACATGTATAAAACAAAACAGAGGCCGGGCGCGGTGGCTGACGCCTGTAATCCCAGCACTTTGGGAGGCTGAGGCGGGTGGATCATGAGGTCAGGAGATCAAGACCATGCTGGCTAACATGGTGAAACCGCGTCTCTACTAAAAAATCCGTCTCTACTAAAAACACAAAAGTTAGCCAGGCGTGGTGGCGGGCGCCTGTAATCTCAGCTACTCGGGAGGCTGACGCAGGAGAATCGCTTTAACCAGTGGACTGTCAAGAGAGGTAGGCTGCAGTAAGCCGAGATCGCGCCACTGCACTCCAGCCTGGGCGACAGAGTGAGTGAGACTCTGTCTCAACAAAAAGAAAAAAAGAAAGAAAACTTTTTTTTGAGAGAGAGAGAGAGAAGTCTCGCTCTTCTCCCCCAGGTTTGAGTGCAATGGCTCGATCTCAGCTCACTGTAACCTCCGCCTCCCGGGTTCAAACGATTCTCCTGCCTCTGCCTCCCAAATAGCTGGGATTAAGTCGCCTGCCAACACGACCGGCTAATTTTTCTATTTTTTAGTAGAGACGGGTTTCACCATGTTGGCCAGGCTGGTCTCCAACTCCTGACCTCAAGTGATCAGCCCGGTTGGCCTCCCAAAATGCTGGGATTACAGGCGTGAGCCACTACGCCCGGCCAAAAAACCGAAAATCTTAAAGGCCTTTCCCCTTCCCCGCCTGGGCTCCAACAACGCGGGAGCCGCCCTGCCCCGCCCTGTCGCGGTCCCTAGAGCAGGTGGGCTGACTGAGGGCGACCATGGGTCCCAAGAGGGCTCCCGCAGCGGCGGGCTCCCACCTCGAGGCGCAGCGACAGGGGCCGAGAGGGGCCAGCAGCCCCCAAGCCAGCCCCGCGCTAGGAGTTGGAGAGACGCGCCCTCCGCCTTCTCCCACCCAAGCCTCTGCCTTGCCGGGCGGGCCAGTTGCGGGAGAAAGGGGCGGGGAACCGCGGCCTCTCTGGGGCAGCTTCCCCTTTCTCCTGGGACTCTGGGCACCCGCTTTCCGCCCTCGCCCTGCCCCGCCAGGCCGCCACCCGGCGACTCACCTTAATGTTGCGGTGGGGCGTGAGCCGCGGCTGTGGCTCCTGGTTCTCCTGGAAGATAGAGGCCAGTAACTTCGGTTTGGCCTTGAACCCTGACATGGACATCTTCCCCTCACCTCCGGCGGGAGGGGCGCGGAAAAGGAGCCAGTCCCGAGCCGCTGTCATGGCCGCGGCCACCAGGCGGGGCCCCCGGCCGAGCTCTCGCGGCTCCACCTCTCCCCGCCGCCGTGACCCTCGTGGGAGCGCGGCTGGAAAATGGCAAGGGGCACCGAGGACTTGGCGGGAGCTATGTGGCGGCCTGCGGGGCTGCTCCCTTTATAACCGACTCCACCGACAGGAGGCGCGGCTCCCGTCAAGCCGCAGTTTAAAAGGGCAACAGCACCACTGCCCCCGCTACCGCCTGGGAAAGGGCTGCCCCTACCCCGCCCCGGTCCTCGTCGCCCCTCACCTCTTACCCCTCACCCCTCACCCCTCAACCCGGCGCGCCCCGCGCGCACCCGGCGTGCCCGCGCTACCGGCTGCCCCCTCCTCTCTTGACCCAGCACCTTTCTGCCCGACCGATCTGGTCCCTTCCTCACACTCGCGACTGGGCGGCACAACCACCAACTCTGTGTGTGTGTGTGTGTGTGTGTGTCTGTGTGTGTGTGTGTCCCTGTCCCAAGGGGGCGTGGCTCACGCCTGTAATCCCACCACTTTGGGAGGCTAAGGCGGGTGGATCAGGAGGTCAGGAGATAAGACTATCCTGGCTAACACGGTAAAACCCCGTCTCTACGGAAAAAATACAAAAAATTAGCAGGGCGTGGTGGCGGACGCCTGTAGTCCCAGCTACTTGGGAGGCTGAGGGAGGAGAATGGCGTGAAACCGGGAGGCAGAGCTTGCAGTGAGCTGAGAGCGCGCCACTGCACTCCAGCCTGGGCGACAGACCAAGACTCCATATAAAAAAAGAAAAGAAAAAAAACCTCAAAGGATCACTAGTGGTCAGCAACTGTGTGCAAATAAATAGGAAAACCTACCAAAAATGGATAAATTTCCAGACACATCTAACCTACCAAGATTGAACCATGATGAAACCCAAAACCTGAACAAACCAATAACAAATAATGGGATCAAAGTGGTAATAAAAAGTCTCCCAGCAAAGAAAAGCCTGGGACCTGATGATTCACTGCTGAATTCTAGCAAACATTTAAAGAAGAACTAATACCAACCTTACCCAAACGATTCCAAAAATAGAGAAGGAGGGAATACTTGCAAACTCATTCTACAGGGCTAGCATTACCCTGATAACAAAATCAAACACACAGACCAAAAAAGAAAACTACAGGCCAATATCACTGATGAATATTGATGCAAAAATCCTCAATAAAATATTAGCTAACTGAATTCCACAACACATTAAAGTTGGGGTGCAGTGTCCCAGGTTCACTCAACCCTTCCCGTTTTCCTCTCTGTGTGTGTCTACTTTGCCGTGTTCCCTGGTGGCGGCGGCGGTGGCAGTGTTGGTGCATGGGCCTCCCAGGACAAGGGGAAAGTGAGTATGCCCCTTTCTTGCCCCCTGCCAGGCGTCTGCAGCCTGGCACAAGCTCTGGCCAGGTCTCCAACAGGGGACCTGGAGATGTTTTTTTCCAATTTCTGGATTGGTAACTTGAGGCAGATTCTGGGCACTAGAGTCAGAACTAAGAGGAGACTGAATCAGGGGAGTCTGGGGTCCTGAGAGGCAGATACCTGAAACCGTCTAGAGCGTGTGGGGAGCTCGGTGCATGTTCACGCCAGTTGTTTTTCTCTGTGCCTCAATGTTCCAGGTACCCTTGGAGGTGCTGAGATCCTAGGGATTCCTGGAGCCTGGCTGCATGGCCTGGCCACCCTGATGCCACTGTGTTCTCCATGACAGGACAGCAAGGCTGAGGAGAATGGCTCCGACAGCTTCATGCACTCCATGGACCCATAGCTGGAGCGGCAAATGGAAACCACCCAGAACCTTGTGGACTCCTACATGGCCATTGTCAACAAGACCGTGTGGGACCTCATGGTTGGTGTCATGCCCAAGACCATCATGCACGTCATGATCAACAACGTGCATGCACCGCCTCATAGGGGCAGGGGGCTCCTGTAGCACTGGGGATGCAGGTGGCCATGTTGGCCTGGGGGAGATGCTGACCAGCCCTATGGGACCAAGGTCCAGGGAGGGAGGCACAGTCCAGACCAGAGCTGTCTCATAGAAATATAACGTGGGACTGGGGACAGTGGCCCATGTCTGTAATCCCAGCACTTTGGGAGGCCAAGGCAAGAGGATAGCTTGAGCCCAGGAGTTCGAGACCAGCTTGGGCAACATAGTGAGACCTGATCTCTACACTAAAATTTTAAAAATAGCTGGGCTTGGTGGTGGCACGTACCTATAGTCCTAGCTACTCTACAGGCTGACATTGGAGGATCACTTTGAGCCCAAGAAGTTGAGGCTACAGTGAGTGGTGATCTCGCCCACTGTCCTCCAGCCTAGCGACAGAGCAAGATCCTATCTCCAAAAAACATTTTTAAGAAACTGAGTAGACCGGTGTCCTGGTGGCATGATAGGTCCTGGGTCCCCTCCCAGATGTGTGACCTTGGACAGGTGACTTTTCCTTTGGACCTCAGTGTCCCTATCTGAGTGAGAAAAGGGCGGTGGGGAGGCAGATCTTTGAGTCTAAGCGGTGTAGAAGCCGCGTCTGAAAAGCCATACTCAGGGCTCCAAGTCCAGCACACAGTCCCAGCAGGGCCCGGCAGGAGGCCAGGGCAGCAAAGGCATCAGGTCCCAACCTCCTTCCCTCTTTGCCCGCTCTCAGACCAAGGAGTTCATCTTCTCGGAGCTGCTGTCCAACCTGTACTCACGTGGGGACCAGAAAACGCTGATGGAAGAGTCGGCAGAGCAGGCACAGTGGCGCGACGAGATGCTGCGCATGTACCACGTGCTGAAGGAGGCACTCGGCATCATCGGCGACATCAACACGACCACCATCAGCACGCACATGGGGGCCCGTGGACAACTCCTGCCTGCAGGTGCAGAGCGTCCTTGCCGGATGCAGGTACCAAGGCTGGCTCCCACGGCCCCAAAGCCCCCCAGCCCCCATGGCTGAGCCTGGGGACTCTTGGAACAGGCTCCGTGCCCACGCTGGTAGACATGGGTGCTCCCTGGAGCCGTCACAGAGCTCATGGTTTATGGTGTAAGGGCTGAGAGCTTAGAGGGGGTGGTGTGTGGGGCTGTACTCTGAGGCGGCCAGAGTCCTAGGATAGTCCTCCTGTGCACACCGCACCTGTTGGGCAGTCTGAGTCATGCTGCCAGGGCAGGGCATCCAGCTCCCAGCCTGGGAGTGCTGAGAGCCAAATCCACTGCAGAGCAGGGGTGATAGTCAGAGTCCCACCTCCTCTATCTGTCGGCAATGCAGTGGTGAGATAGGATAAAACCTTGAGAGTCCCATACACACGGTCAACCCACAACACACCTCACAGGCCAGGCAGGAAACACAGGCCCCTTCCCTCCCTCCCAGGTACCATCATAGCTGCTAGCGTGTGACTGAAGGCAGAGTCCCTGGCCCCCGCTGAAGCACTATTGCTGGCCAGCAGGCTCACGCACCTTGGAGTGTTGCTCCTAGAGGTCACCTCTGCTATTCAGCCAAGGGGACCACAGTGCCTGCTGGCCCAGCTGACCTCCGCCCCACAAGCCCACCCACCTCCCCTGCCATAGACTCTCCCTCTTCTGCTTTTCCCAGCAGGAAGGGCCCAGCCTCACCTATCCGACCTGCAACCCCCAACAAGCTGAGGCTCCCCTCTTAGACTTATAAGTCTATAGCCAGTGGCATCCAGCTGCATGCCCTCCTTTCCTCCCCCAGGGACCCTTCAAGGGTTCCTGGGCTTTCTGACCCCCCAGAGGGGGCTCCGGCGATCACTCCACCCATCCATCCCTTTTAGCTTCATCATCCTGGTTCAAGCAGTGTTTCTTCTCTATCAGGCCTGGTGGCTGTTGTTTTGGGCTCCCCAAGGCGAGAGGTGGCCCTGGACAAGTGGGTTGGAAGACACGGTGACCAGAGAAGAGGGAAGCCCAAAGGGGCTGAGCATCAGTCTTAACAGTGGGTGCACTGGGTGCCGTGGAAGAGGCCAGCACGTGTGGGGTGGGGAGGGCTGCCACAGCCCCCAGGCACTACCTGTGAAACTCCGGCTCCTCCCTCTGTCTTCCTCCCCTTTCCCTTCCAGCCCCTCTTTTCCAGGAACCTTGCCACACCCGCACGTGCACCCTTTACTCCTTGGCCCTCCCACAGCTGCTGTGGCACACCTGTGCTCTGCACTTGCCTCACCAGCTCTCTGCTCGCTTTTTTTTTTTTTTATTATTATTGTACTTTAAGTTTTAGGGTACATGTGACAATGTGCAGGTTAGTTACATATGTATACATGTGCCATGCTGGTGCGCTGCACCCACTAACTCGTCATCTAGCATTGGGTATATCTCCCAATGCTATCCCTCCCCCCTCCCCCCACCCCACAACAGTCCCCAGAGTGTGATGTTCCCCTTCCTGTGTCCATGTGTTCTCATTGTTCAATTCCCACCTATGAGTGAGAATATGCGGTGTTTGGTTTTTTGTTCTTGCGATAGTTAACTGAGAATGATGATTTCCAATTTCATCCATGTCCCTGCAAAGGACATGAACTCATCATTTTTTATGGCTGCATAGTATTCCATGGTGTATATGTGCCACATTTTCTTAATCCAGTCTATCATTGTTGGACATTTGGGTTGGTTCCAAGTCTTTGCTATTGTGAATAATGCCGCAATAAACATACGTGTGCATGTGTCTTTATAGCAGCATGATTTATAGTCCTTTGGGTACATACCCAGTAATGGGATGGCTGGCTCAAATGGTATTTCTAGTTCTAGATCCCTGAGGAATCGCCACACTGACTTCCACAATGGTTGAACTAGTTTACAGTCCCACCAACAGTGTAAAAGTGTTCCTATTTCTCCACATCCTCTCCAGCACCTGTTGTTTCCTGACTTTTTAATGATTGCCATTCTAACTGGTGTGAGATGATATGCTCGCTTTTCTCTCTCCTGTCTTCTCTCTGCTTTCTCTCCAACTGCCAGCCAATCGGCTCAGGCAAGTCCATCCCATCCTGAGAGCCCCAGGCCCCCCTTTGAACTCTAAACAGATTCCTCCTCTTCTCAGAGACTTCCCTTTCCAAGCCTGCCTGGGCGGCTGTTCTGTGACTTGGCAGTGGCTCCCCCAGCCCCAAAGCCAGCCCCCCTTCATCTGTGACTTAGTCTATTGTTGCGGTGAGCTGACACATCCAGGTGTGACCGTTGCTGAAAACTTGTGCCCCCCTCTGTGGTATGCCCCTGCCCTGTTCTAGAAATATCTACAAATACCCATATACATATACACACACACACACACACACACACACACACACACACACATACACCTACATGTGGCCAACCGCCTCGCCTCTAGCGCTGGGAATCAGTCACCGTGCTGTCCTTTTGGAGTCTTGTGGCCAAACAAGAGAAAGCTAACCCCTGACATTGCCCCTCCAAAGTGCGCTACCTTCAGTGAGCCTCCCTGTCACGCCCAGCCTATGGAGAGACACACCCCGCCATCCCTCCCGCCCCCCCCCGCCTCCACCAAGCATGGGAGTGCTGTGCAGGCAGCTGAGTGGCCTGACAGTCTCTACCAGTCCTGCTGTCCCTTGGCTGAGAATCAAACCCGCTTCTGGATGGCGGGGAAGTGTGTCGTCTGCTGGCTGTGTTCTCTGTGGAGCTCAGGGGAGGGGAAAGGCCAAGCCATTTCTAGGGTGCTGTTGGGAGCAGTGAAAAGGCCATGCCCTTTCCAAGGGACACTTTTCCTGGAAAGCCCCTGGAGCTTAGCGGGCTCTTATCCTGTGAAGCCGGCTCTGGCCACCAGGGGGCAGGGCCATGAACTCAGCCCAGAGGGAGCCTGCAGGGCAGCCGGCACTCTGGAGGCACAGACAGAACAGGCCACCAGGTGCAGACAGGAGAGGGAGACAAGGGGATAGAACGGAAGATGCCGGGGCTGGGTGGAAGTCAGTGCCCTTAGGTGCTGGTACCTGTCTTCCCGGCCACCGCTAGATCAGGCTTCTGAGCCTGTTGGCTGTCAGGGCCAGACTGCGCCCCATAGACTACATGGCAGTCCCCTTGGAATCCCCCAGGCGCCACCAAGCAGCATACAGGTAACACGCCTGGAAGGTCCCCAACAGCCTAGCTGGACATGCTCAAGACACTCTGGGGCTCCTCGTTTGGTGGCACAAACTCCAGGACCCAGTGAGGGAAACGGAAACACACCAGGCCGAGCAGTATGGCTAAATCCATTTATTCCAAAATAAAAAGCAAAATAAACAGGAGTCACATCACCAGGGAGCCATGACCCCATCCCCGCCTCCTTCCTCTGTCCTATGCTAGCAATAAATAAGTTTCCCAGCCACAAATAATTATTACAACCTCCTCCCCATGTGCCGGCTCCAACCTCAGCTAGGTATGACACAGGGGTGGCCCTACCCTCTGGAATATACAAAACCTTACACAGACACAATATGTACACCGGGGAACGGGGGCCACCCCAGCAGCCCGTGCCCTCGCCTGGTCCACAGTTAGCCCCACTGTCCTGCCTCTCTGAATAAGAAGGGAGCCCCCCGAGGGAAAAGTTGCTATGGTGAGAGTAAGGGGGACATCAGGCCTCCTCCAAACAAACCAACTCCACCAGCCTCTGGCTCTTAAATAACAATCATCATCATCCAGAAATTTAGGGACTCAGCCCTGGTCAGGGTGGCAAAGGGTCTGTTTGTCTTTCCCCATTAGACAGAGGTCTTGTCCTGCTACCCTCATTGTAAAGGGGTGCCTGGGAAGGGGTGGTAGGGACATGGTGGCGGTGGAGACCCCAGCCCCACTTTTCCAGGCTTTGCTGACAGGGGCCTGCTTTTAATTTTTATTTTTATTCCATGACTTTTTAAAAAAGAATCCCGTAACTTCTTTTTCATAACTTTTTTTGGTAACTTTTCATAATACTGTTTTCTACTTTGTTCCCACAAGTTTTTTTGCCACAACGTTTTTACATTTTTTATCCCATAACTTTTTCACCCCATAACTTTTTTAATCCCATAACTTTTAAAATCTTGTGTTCTTTTAAGAAACACTTGCATAGTTATATTACAACTTTGTAAAAATGAAACACATTATCTCATGCCAAGCATGCCCAGCATTTGCACAGTATCAATACCTTTAATACTATAGTTTTCAAGAAACGCAAAATAAAATTTTAAGACAAAAACAACACTTAGAAACAATTTAATAATTTATTACATTACAGTGGCATCACACCAGCAGTCAATAAGGCCACTCTAGGGAAAAATCTTTCAGTATTTCCACGACACATTCTGTTTACAATAATTCATAAACTGGTAAAATTCATTCTAAGAAAACTTGGCAAATAAAACTTTGGACTGGAATTGGCATTTCTTTCTCTGCTTTTCGTTCCCACCATTTCTTTCTTTTATACTACAGTATTCATATTTTAAAATGTTTTAAATTATTTCAGAACATTAAGATAGCAGTTACATTTTTTAATAGTTATATTATTTTAAAATGACTCTTTAAAATAAAGTTTTAGAGAAACTATATTATGGATAGGGCTGATTTACATTTTCAAATTTTCTAAAATCAGCTTTGGTTTTAGAGCTGATTTTTTTTTTCATTTCTGGAAAATTATCAGGTTTAATCAAATACTTTTAAAATGATTATTATACATTGCCATCTTTAAATAGGTGTTTTGATTCTTCCTACAGACATTAAAATGTATTCAGTGGAACTCACAGTTTAAAATTCTATGTTTCTGATGAACTCTAACATTCCAATGTTGCCTTCTAAGCAAACTGAAAGCTGCCTTATACTGAATGAGGAAGAGCACAAATACTCGGCTGAATGAGGTATCGCAAAAGACTGCATGCACTTTGGAGAAAGACTTGAGTTATTGTCATACAATTTCCATTCTTTTTAGCTTTTTCTTAAATATATGACAAATACCTACACAAAGAGTGGTATTTCAGTCAATATAGTAAATTTATTTTCCAGACTGACCTTCAGCTTAAATATGCCAGTGTGTGATTTAATCCATAGGCACCTCATGAACACATTATTGTCAGATTGGTTACAGATGCTAAACGCTATCCGAAGGTCATTCCTAGTCACTGATATTTATCAGGGTAAAAGTGAAGTGATTTCAACGATAAAAGTACCTTTGCAATAATTTATCAATGTATTAGATAAACCCAGTTTCAGAATGATAAAAGAAAAAACGTTAGACCAAATAATGTGGCTGATTAACAGTGGTCCGATTTCTAGCCCGAGGGTTTAAAATGCTCTTAAAGTAACTGTCTTTAAACTGAACTCAAAGAATGCAAAAGCGGCAAGTTCAGAAAATAAAAGGCGAGAACAGGACTTTAAGTGCATTTTAAACCCACGGGCTACAAATCGTACCACTGTTAATTAGCCGCATTATTTGGTCTAAGATTTTTTCTTTATCATTCTGAAACTGGGTTTATCTAATACATTGATACATTCATAAAATTTGGAAGAGTCAGTGGAAGTCACAAGGACCGAATATTTGCTCTCTTTCAGTGAATGCCAGCAAATCTGTTATTCCATCGGTAAAATCGTATTGTTGCTCTCCTGTTAATGTTATATTTATAGAAGTATCATGAGGATGCCAAATGCTAAAAATGGAGATGATCTAGTAACTAGAAATCCCCACCGCAGGGAGCACACACACCTATCTCCCTGCATCCTAACAATGTGATGTGTTTTGGAACACAGACATTAGAACTTCATGAAGTTTTAACTGTTGAGTCTTTCCCAAGCATCATCAAGTTACGATTTAGGCAATACATAACTGAAATGCATTCATTCATCATGCATAGGCACAATCACATAAATATTGCACAAAATATGTCCCGAACAGAAACCCAGAGGTACAAAAACATATTTCACTTTGTAAAGAAGTTTGTGAGAAAATATAACTCTGTGGTTGTATAGACACGTTTCCTGATAATACATTGACATTCACGAACAACAGTAGATTGCACTGCAGTTTGTACACATTTTAAGTTTCATAAACTTCTCCTTGATTTTCAAAGACAGTATAATACCATCTACTAAAACTCCTTTTTGTTTCAACTATCTCACATATATTAGTTTATAAGAATGTTTCTATTTTTTTTAAAGTGTTTTCCATTCAAAGAAAAAGAAGTAAATTCCTATGTCAGAGTAACCAAGGTGGTTGAAGAATAGGTATTAGCCAAAGAGGTCTAGATGGTAAAATCAATCTTCAAGCCTCAAAGAATCTCCGTGAACAGAGAGGAATGCCAGGAGTCACACAGCTTTCCTTCACTCTAATTCATTCTTGACTAGAGCCTGTATGCCTGTTCCAGGGACATTTGAACTCGTAAAGGATTTCTTATGATCTTCACTAAATACATTAAGAAGAATGCCAACCAGTGCCCTTTTGTGTACTGGGGCATGTAGTCATGTGATTAAAACAGGTAACATGAACTCTGACTTTAAAATGTATTGTAGATACAAATGCTCTAAGCTAGGAAAGGTTTTCCACATCCACAGTCAACGATGGGAACCTTTCATTCCTCAGAAATAAGCCCTTTTTAGGTCATCGAAAAAGAGTGCAACTGCTGCAGCTCATGATGCAGTATCTTCATGAGCCCAGAGCACATACAAATCCTAAGGGAACCACCATAATACACTGCTAATTCCTGGCACCGGAACAGATGAAACACACTCTATCCTGCACGTACCTGCCAGAGGAGGCCACTTTCCTCTTCTGTGAGATTTAAAAAGCTCCCCCAAAAGGTTATCACTCCCATCACCAATACACAGAAAATGGAGGAAAGGCTGTTTCCAGTTCTTGGCCTTTAAACAACTCTAAATGTCAGTACTCATAGTGGCGTATTACAAAGTAATAAACAGTGCACACTTGGGGGCAAACTACATATTGAGCTAAGGAAGAGCTCACTGTGATTAAGATTAGATCAAACAACAGCAGAACATAGGCAAATTTTGTCTGAATGCTGTAGTGAATATACATGCTGCAATAACATTAAAAAAGCATGGCAGCCTATTCCAAACCAAAGAGAACAGTTTTGGGCAAAGAGTGGGTCTTTGTGTGTTTGAACTCCCACCACGTAAGGGCAAACTCGATATGCATGCTAATGACCTACAATTATGAAATTAAAAAAGAAAAATGCTAAAGGATGCCAGAGTGAACATCAGTGAGAGCCACAGACACCCACTCTCTTTTAACTTTTTACAAATAAACTTAAACTATAAATTAGAAACACAAATAATCATGAGTGAGTCTAACATTCAAAGGAAGTAAATGAATTGTGTAGGAGATTAACCCCATAACTTGGTTTCTTATTTAAAAATTTCTTGAGCAGCTGTTTGATGATGGTGATGTTTATCTCCTTCTTCTTGGCAGCCAAGCCCAACAAAATAATGGCACACAGCAGTTGCTGCCCAAGCCTGGGTGCTCCTGGTGGTCCTGCACGATCGGCTGTGCAGTAGGCTTGTCAAGGAGAGGATCCTCCCTGGCCTCTCCTTGGGCAGAGGAGGTGAGGGTCACCTCACGAAGATCTTTGGAGAGAGGGAGGCGGGGATCTGAGCACAGTGGGAGCCCCCCTCTTCCTGCCTACCCACCCCACCTGAGGGCTCTACTCACCACCATGCTTGTCTGCAGCCCCAAGCACCTGGGGGGCTGGGGCTCCTGGACCGGGCTCATCAGCAGAGTTGTGGGCAGCGGCCAGGAATTTTCTGTGCCCATTGTTGTAGTTGCTGTAAGCCGCAATACCATCTGCTGCAGCTCCAGCAGCTTCACCTGGAGGGAGGGGTGCTCAGCTGCCATGCCGCTGCCTGCGCCCACCCTCACACCCACCCCCACCCCCACCCCCACAGAGATGTTGCACACCCTACCTTCATCTCCTCCCTGAGCTCCAGCCTGATGGTGTCCTCCTCCCAGTGCTGCATCTTTGGCACGGCCCCCTGGTTCTGATAAAAGGTGATGGATTTTCCTGCGGGAGGACAGGGCTCAGATTCTGGGGCCCCTCTGATGGCCCTGTAGCTCCCCCTGCCGTGCCCTGGCCTCCCACTCACTGATGGCATCTCTCTTGCCAGTATTGAATGAAGCGAAGTTCTTGTTTTTTCACCAGCTCACTCAGGTCTGCCTTCTCCTTCAGGTGGTCCATAAAGCTGCTCTGGAGCCAAAATATTGCAGTCACATCTCGGCAGCGACCTGCCCTCAGGTGGCATTTTCAAGTCATGGAGAAGGCGGAGGTGAGTCCTGGCATGGGCCAGCTTCTCCGTGACTTCCTGCAGGGCCCAGTGGGTCTCCCCACTCACAGACTCGCCCCCAGGCCCTGGGGCTCCAGGGCCTCTGGCTGCCTCTGGCTCCTTCTGGGCCGAGGCCACCGGGTGAGCCAGGCGCTGGCAGCACACCCTCTGCTCTTTCACCTGCTCTTGTAACTGTGCCTGCTTCTCCTGGGCACTAGCTCCAGCGGACTTGAAAAATGCCACCTGAGGGCAAGATGTGAGCATTCTTCTAGGGGCATACACAGAAGAAATGGGGCAGAGAGGTGGAGCGCAGCCCCTTCCCTTGGGGCCTCAGAGAGTGCACCTGTTGGCCACAGGTGAAATGGTGTCTGACCACTGGCTCTCGGAAGGGGTGAGGGTCCAGAGAAATCAGAAGGCAGGGAAACGAAGAGCATAAAGGGGTCTTGGAGGGACCACAGAGAAAGGTGGCAAAATGGGTGCAGGGGGAGTCAGGCTCACCATGGCCTCCCTGCTCTCCAGGTCCTCTGGGACACTCGGCATGGGCTGAGGTGCCTCCTCCCCCTCACTGTCCAGATGTTCTCCTCCGTGTCCTGTGGGGGGTGGCCAGAGGGGTCTTCAGACAACCCAACAAGGGAGGTACTGTGGGCCCACCTCTACCTCCACCCTCACTGTGTAACCCTGAGCCAGCCCCTCCCCAGAGAGGAATGAGCTGTTGTTCTTTATTTTTACTTTTAAGAATCAAGATCTTGCTATTCCGCCCAGGCACACTCCCACTACTGGTCGATGTGGGAGTTCTGACCTGCTCCCTTTCTGACCTTGGCCAGTTCAGCCACCCTTAGGCAACTTGGTGACCGCCCGCTCACAGGAGGTCACCACACTGATGCCGAACTTAGTGCAGGCACCCGGTCGGCATAATGACCAGCTGTTCTAAAGGTCTCTTCCAACTCCTCAATCCTATGCTGCTAGCAGTCCCCCCTTCCTCCTGGGGCTCTCTCCTCTTCCTCTGAGCGGTCTCCCGTACCTTCCCCAGGGAGAGCCATGAGGCTCAGCTGGGCCGTTAGCTGCTGGTTCTGCTGGCTGGCCGCTTCCAGGTGCTCCTAAGGGGCCAGGAAAGAGTGAGAAGGGATGGAGTTTGCCAGGTCGTCCCCCTCACAGCCCCATCCTCGGCAGCTCCCTCCCCTGGGTCTCCTGCAACTTTTGGCAGGCCATCTCGGCCACTGCTTTGCCCCAAGCTTCCTACTGCTGCAGCTGGTTCATTAGCTGGGTCTGTTGCAGTCACTGCCTGTACAGCGCCTCCTTCTCACAGGTCAGCTGCTGATAGGCGGCCACCTGCTGCTGATAGGTGGCCACGTACTGCTGCAGGTGACCCAGGTAATGGTCTGGCTGCTGCTGCAGACTCTGAGCCTCTTGGCTCTTCAGCTCCACCTGCAGGAAGACCCTGGGTGTGAGGGCACGTGGTGGCTGGTTTCCAGATTCTGGGCCCATTAATAGGGTAGCGAGGGCACTGTGGGGCTCTGTCAGCTACCCAGGCCCCTGTCCCCTTACTCCAGGCCTAAGTGACTGCCTCCCTTTCCTAGAACCCCATGCCTCCTTCCCCAGCCTCAAATCTCATACCCTCTTCTCATTTAATCCTCAGCACCTCTGTAAGGAAAATGCTAACTTCCCTTTGAAGTTAAAGAAACAGAGACTTAGAGATGCAAAGTACTTGAACGGTGACCAGTGGAACCGAGGCTGGAATCCAGTTTCAATCTAAGGAGTCTTTTTGTTTTGTTTTCAGACAAGAGTGTCACTCTGTGGCCCAGGCTGGAGTGCAGTGGTGCAATCTCAGCTCACTGCAACCTCCACCTCCTGGGTTGAAGCAATTCTCGTGCCTCAGCCTCCCGAGTAGGTGGAATTACAGGCATGCGCCACAATGCCCTGCTAATTTTTTTTTTTTAAATTTTAGTAGAGATGAGGTTTTACCACATTGGCCAGGTTGATCTCAAACTCCCGACCTCAAGTGATTCTTCTGCCTCAGCCTCCCAAAGTGCTGGGATTATAGGCATGAGCCACTGCACCTGGTATAAGGAGCCTGTTATAGCACTGTCTCTTCCCCTGTGATTGGGGGCTCCATGCCTCTAGCTGGGATGATGATGTCCAGACCTGAGAGGAGCCCAGGGCTACCCACCTTTAAAAGTCAGAGGCAGGAAGTGAGAAACAGTCGCAGGACTGCCCTGGGGGGTGCTGTGGTCACCAGCCCCCAGGCTGGAAGCTGCCTCTGACCTGGCACCTCCCCTCCCAAGAGGCTGCTGCCCGCCTCCCAGCCCTTCTTGGATGGGGTGGAGGTTTCCGTCTCCTTCACCTCGCCAAGCTTCTCCTGTAGCTCCTTTACTTGCTGCTCCAACTGCAGTGTGCTCTTGTTCTCATTGTTCTGGACAGAGAGAAGCAATCAGCAGCCACCCACTGCAGCTGGAGACCCCAGAACTTGGTGTCTGCCTCCCATGGCACTGGGAAGGCTGGAGGCAGGTTAGAAAAATCACCCCCTCTCTCCCACAGCCACCTGGCTCACAGGTGCCTTTAGAAGTAACCTTTCACGCGAGGGCTACACTGCCCCATTTTAGAGGTGGGGAAACAAAGGCCCGGAGGGCTAGGGAGGAGGGCAGGCTCCCCAGTTGGGGCAACGCACCAGCTCCTCGAAGACGCTCTGTGGCTTGGCCAGCTGCCGAAGCTTCTCGTGCTGCTCCTGAAGCCTCTCCTCCTGCTTCCGAAGCCTCTCTTCCTGTTCCCGAATCCTCTCTTCTTGTCGCCGGTTCAGGAGACTTATGTGCTGATTGTTTTTGACCTGGGCCTGGAGCTCTCCTGCCACTCTCTCTAGTTCCTTCCTCAGGTGCTGCAGCTCCACCTCAGAGGGCACTGCTGGGGGCTCCGGGGGCAAGGGTTCAGCTGAGAAAGGAAGCAGATAATAAGGGCCTCTGGATTCTCGGAAAAGAAAAACCCTCCTCTTGGCGCACAGCTCCTCTCAGGCTCCTCAAACTTGGCCTCACTGCTAATGATTCCTCGCACCCAGATGGTAGCCAGTCTTCCAAAGCACTTTCAGAGAAAGAGCACTGCGGGTGGCTGACAACGGGCCCTCTTTGCTGATGGGGACACTGAGACACTGAGACTCACTGAGATGACAAGACTTGCGGTCTCCTGGCACAGATCTCTTTCCCTCTGCCTCAAAGCCCTTCCATCCACCCACCTCCCTGGGGCACTCTAAGCCACCCTCACAGCCCTCTGATGCCAGTCCTGCTCCCAGGTCATGCCAGCCCCATCTTACCCGTCTGGTTTTTGAGTTTGGACAAGCTCCACTCCAGCTGCTCTACCCAACGCATATCCTGCTTCTCTTTCTTTAATGTGCAAATCTGCCCAAAGCACAGGGGGAAAGGGCCCTGGAGAGAGGGGCTGGTGGCTGGACAGGCTGCCCTCTCCCTCTCTGCCCCCACCTCCACAAAGCCCAGACCCATGACCACCTCTGGCTCTACTATTCCCATTTTACAGATGCCCAGAAAGATCCAGTGACCTATCTAATGTGGGGGGGCTGAAGGGTCAGATCTCACCTCCTGCGACATTTTACTCATCCTCTGATGCCACCGGGCCCTCTCTCCTTCTATATGTTCAGCACACTCATCTCTTTCTAATTGGAGTTGTTGAAATGACTCCTTCAACTGCAAGAATGGGCACAGAAGTTAGGAAGGGCTGTCACTGGTCCTCACCTGCTCCTGGCCACCTGGGGTCATCGTCCTTCCACATCCCTCCCTCGGAAAACCTCACCTGTGTCAGCTGCGCTTTCAGCAGTGCCTGGTCCTGTAGGGACTGCTCTAACTCCCACTCTGTATGTGCTTTGCTGCAGCTGGACAACTGGATGGTGAAGAGTTAGAAGTTTCAATCTGGAGAGCCTGGGCATTTCCACACAGTGCCCCTTAACAGGGCTAGGGCTAGGCCCAATATACAACTCGGTCAGTAAAGATCAAGGCATTTCCCAGCCCGTGGTCTGGTTTTTAAAAGAACACAGTAAAGTTGGAACGGACAGGGAATGAGACTGAGTTTATAGCTGGCTAACAGAGGCCCAGAGAGATCAGATAATATTGCTATTGTTATTATTGTCATTATTACCACTGTTTGAACCTTTGTGGAATGCTTCACCAGGTACCGTGCTAACAATCCCATTTAATCCTCGCAACCACCATAGGAGACAGTTACTATGATTCCCTCTATTGTGGAGATGAAAAAACATGGAGTATTTGAGGTTAAGTGCTTGCCTAAGTTCACTTAGGCAGAGCTGGGATATAAACACCCAGGTCTATCCAATTCTCTAAGCCCATTTTTCTTGCTGGGGATGGGGGCACAGATAGGAAGGGGAAAATTAATCTTTTCTTCACTTTTTGAAAGGATGATACATTCACATAGTCCAAAACTCAGAAGGTACAGAAGGGAAGTATCTCCCAGCCATCTTGTTCTCTCTCCTGAATTTTTTATGAACCCTTGCAGACATGTTTTATGTATATTATCACAGTATGTACACACACACACACACACACACACACACACACACGCACGCGTTTCCTCTTTCTACAGAAATGGTAACATACTAAAGGTACTCTTCTGTACCTTCACAGTACAAGTACCCAATACCCCACCTAGGACTTGCCCAAGACCACAGCCAGGTAAGGGCGGGGCAGGCACTTGGCCTCCAAGCTCTGCGTCCAGTGCTCACTCCCCACAGTACCCCCCAACTCACCCACAGCAGCTGACTCGGCCCCAGGCTGCCACTAAAAACCATACAAAAAAGTAGCAAGAAATGGCCATGCTGCCTTCTGGGCAGGACACGCCATCCTGCAGAAGGGACCTTTAGGCTCACTCCTCCATCTGCAAAACCAGGCTCCCAGGGGATGGGGCAGGTGGCTGGACTCACCTGGTTTGCCTTCTTCTTCTCTGTGGCGATGACAGCAGACAGAGCCCTCTCTAACTCTCCTTTACACTGCAATGAATGTTGCAGGCGGACAGCCAGGTCCTTGGACTCTTCTGTAATGAGAGAGTTGAGATGGGGCCCAAAGGACTCCCCCTGAAGACCTGTCAAAGTGCCAGGTTGAAGGATGACAGGGTGCCCAGATTCCCACCTTCAAAGTATCTGAGAGAACGTTCCATGTGGTACAGGTCCGTATTTAGTTCCTCTTTCTGTATGATCAATGTCTGGATTTGAACCTTTGGGAGAAAAGCCAAGCAAGTGCTGAAAGAGAAGGAAAGAAACATTCTCCGGAGGACAGGAGGAAACTGCACACCCTCCACTCACCTCTAGCTCCCTTTCGGCTTTCTGTCTCTCGTTGTTTGCTTTCTTTTCCTGTAGGAAGAGGAAGACAGAGCTCTTACCAGGGGGAGGCAGAGATGGCACAGCAAGAGACATGCCCCCAGAATGCCACCAATGCCCCAGGACAGGCCCACCCATGGGACCAGGTTATCAGGGGCCCTGTGGGGATGGGGTGGAATCTGAGGGGTGAGCCTTCTTCCCCAGGCTGGGAGTGGGTGAGACGAGACTGGGGCCTGTATGTCTGAGTGCCCCCCAAACCCAGCAGTCATGTCGCGAGGAAACGAAATCACGTTACTTCTTCCAGCTGATGTTCCACTTGTTTCTTCTGTTGTTTCTGTGGGGAGAGTCAAATAAGGTGATGGAGGGTGGCCCCCTCAACTCTATTCCCCAGATCAGGAAGCGGTAGGCAGGGGCCAGGAATGGATTTTAAAGGCAAAGTTCTCAGACATAATGGGAACACGAACCGGTAAACTCTCCTCAAGCTCCCAAGGACAGAGGATTTGGGTCTTTGTTGGCTTTTGCCCACAGCCACAGAACTCAGTCTGAATCTGGAATCTCTTGAGAGGACAGCAACATAAACCTCTAGAGATGGAGTTTCAGAAAGGCCCCTCCTTCTGGCAGCTTGTGATTTAGAAAAGTGGGTTCATTCAATAAACACTTACTGAGCACGTATGGGCCAGGTACGGTTCTTCACAGCAGATATAGGATGGAAAAGGACAGACAGGAGCCCTTAGCCCTGAGGTTTCCATTCCCGGGGGCCTTTAAATCTCAGACTCGAGAGCTAACAGAGACCTTTGATACTCACTACCTCCTCTGGAAACACGAGCCCAAAAAGGAGAGGTGGCTTGTCCAGAATCAAAGAGCAAATTAGGGACTGAGTCATGGCAGAAATACGGGGCCCTTGACAACCAGTCAGGCTAGCACTTCCCCAAGAGGCAACAACCCCAGGGCGTGTGTAGCAAGGACTCGAGCAGGGGTGTCTGGAGAGGAGAGAGTCGGCAAAGAGGGCAGCAAAAGAAGAGCCATGCTGCATGCTCTGGGGTCCCTCCAGGTGAGGCCTGGGCACCCAAGCTCCCTATTTGTCCCGGGCACCAGGGACCCCCAGCCCCTTTCTTCAGGGCCCCAAGGGGAAACTGGAGCCCAGGATTGGCAGCGTGGAATCAGGGGACCCCACCGGACTCTTACCAAAGATTTGATGGTGTTCTTCAGTCGACTGATTTTTACGGACGTTGAATCCAGGACTACTGCTCGTTCTTGGCACGGGCTCTGAGGTGCATGCAGAGAGGAGGAGGTGGAGCAGGAGTGGGGAGAGAGGTAGAGAGAACGATCGTTAGGGCTGGGGTGTGTGGGCTGTCTCAGCTGGCAGAGGGGCACCCAGTCCCACCTGGAGGAGGAGGTTGGAGGGTTGACCCGAAGGGTCACTGCACCTCCACCCAGAGCCTCTTACCTCCAGATCTTTCAGGGTAGCAGATGATGTAGGGCCTTCCCTGTGGAAACCTGTTGCTGACTACAAGAGATGAGAGTGCACATGGAGATGTTCTGTCCCCCACAGTGTCTGAGCCCTCTGACTTCCTTTCTTCCCCATCAACTGCAACATTTTCTTTTCTGCCTATCTTGGACCTTTTGTCCCATAACTCCTTTGTGCCAACTTCTCTCATGGTTCTTATCTCCCCACCATCCCATCCTGGGGCCCCTTCAGTGACTCCTGATGGCAAGTGGCTGTTCTCTTTGTCCTGGTTTCCCCTTGAGACTGGGGATGAGGAAAATCAAACCATATCCTGGGTGTCCTGAGTGTTTACAGCAGGCCATGTACTAGGGATTAACATAAAAACAACAATAACAAATCTCATTTAAACTTCACAAATGGAAGTGAAACAATATCACCTCTATTATACAGATGTGAAAAGAGAGGCCCAATGAGGTCTAGCAACTTGCCCTAAATCATATCCCTAGCAGAGCAGATGGAGAGGCAGGATTCAAACCCAGAATTCCTTTTTTTTTTTTTGAGACAGAGTCTTGCTCTTTCACCAGGCTGGAGTGCGGTGGCATAATCTTGGCCACTGCAAGCTCCACCTCCCAGGTTCACACCATTCTCTTGCCTCAGCCTTCTGAGTAGCTGGGACTACAGGCACACGCCACCACGCGTGGCTAATGTTTTTGTATTTTTGGTAGAGACAGGGTTTCACCGTGTTAACCAGGATGGTCTCGATCTCCTGACCTCATGATCCGCCTGTCTTGGCCTCCCAATGTGCTAGGATTACAGGCGTGGGCCACCACACCCGGCTAAAGCCAGAATTCTTAACCAGTACCCAGCAGTCCATCCACAATCTTAAGAATTACCCTCTATTGCCCCTTGGGCCCCCTGTCCCCAGAAGCCTGGTCAGCCAAGACTCACATCCCCAGGTGGCTGGCAACCACCGGAAGTGGCTGTCTCAGGGATACTGCCATTTGTTTTCCTGTTCCTGTTCACTCCTGCTGGAACTCTAGGTCTGTTTTTCTGCCAATATTCTTTTAACTGTTGGAAAGAAGAGCAGTAATATTCATGAGAACCGTCAGCCCCTACAGCCACAACCTCCTTTACAGTTTTTACAAAATACACTTACACACCATCTGATTTAATGACACCAACAACTGTACAAGGTGTTGTCACACTCATTTAGTGACTGAGAAGGATTGATATCATGGCTAGAAAAAAAAAAGAAAAAGGCAATACTGGAACTTTGAGACTCAGTCTTCTGACTCCAAGCTCTGAGGTTTTGCCAAGAATCAGCAGCTGCCAGGGACCAAAACCAGAGGCAGAGGTAGAAAAGTAAACATTAAGTAGGCAGGAAATGTATGCCATGTGGTTTAGTCATACATCCTCACACGTCTGTTAGTGTGAAGAAGTGCACCAGTACCTCTCAAACTTTTATATCAATGTGTCCTCATGGCAGAAGGCAGCCTTTCTCTTAAATCAGAATTTATCAGAAAGAGGACAACCCAAGCCTCATTTCAGAGAGAGGTCTGGTATACTCTTAGAAACCTATGTGACTGTCCTCCCTAAGTACATTCATGTTTTTTCTCTTGATCTCAAGAGAATCAAGGGAAACTGATGCTTCAGAAAGATGTCCCACATTTATCCTGTGGCACTCAAAGTACCCAAGGTTGAGATAATATGAGGAAGATTCAAGGTGTCAAGTTCAGTTTCCCAAGATCTATTCCACAGAAGATGAGCAAATGTCACTTCAGAGACCACTGACTGAAGGAGAGTCTGGTCCCAGAACCATGGAGAATTAGAATATGAGGTGGAGAACTCAGAAAAAAATGTTAAAATCTCTCTGGAAAGTAGAAGCCTGGGAGAAAACCAAATCAAACCCATTCTCTCATTGCCACCCAGAGATACTGTCAATGTTTTGAGTTCATGGGGGAAGTGTAGGCTTTTCCCACCGTCAACATCTGTAAGGGAGTGAGGCAGCCTGGAACCTCTTGCTCCTAGGTCCCATAGTCTCCATTCCCCTTCCAGCTGGAAATTTGTGCTGTGACCAGAGGAACCAGAAACGGGGTGAGAACGCTTAGGGGACTGGGTCGTAAGGTCAAAGGCCAGTCTTGCAGTAACGGCAGTTACTAGGTGGACTGTGACATCACAACATTCCACTCCTCCTGGTCGGGGGGAGGGACCATGTCAGCACCATGTCCAAGTCGCTGCTCCACGATGGGGGAGGGAAGCACAGGGTTGGGACCCAGCTCCTTGGAGACGCCAGCACAAAGAACCCAGGGAGGTCGACCTTGAGGCAGCAGGAGGGGAGGGCACAGTCTGCAGCAGGGAGTCCCAGGAGTCACCAGCCCAAAGTCACCCAAGGATGACTGGCGAGGGTGGGGCCTGGCTCCTTGGAGATGAGAGCCCAAAGAGCCCACGGAGATCAAGCTTGGGGCGGCAGGAGATGACGGCCCAGTAATGGAGCGGGAAGCCCCAGGAGTCACCCACCCAAAGTCACCCTGGGGTGATTGGCGAGGGCAAGGACTGGGCTGCTTGCTGAAGGGGTGGGGCTGACTGACAAAACTTTGGTGGGGGTAGCCCAAGGCACCGGGGTTGGGGGGACCAGTCCACTGTGCCTCAGGAGTCATATAGACTCTGGCAGGGGTCTTGTCATCAGAGGGGATCTGTGGCTGGGTTGAGGGGCTATGACCTAGTGCGTTTTTACCTTTTTCTTGGCTGCAGCCAATTTGTTGTGTTGAGTTTCTTCTGCCATTGCAGGGTGGGGAGGGAGGAAGGGTTGGGGCCACAGCAGCAAAATCCCAATAAGAACCGTTCAAGGCCTCCAGTCACCTACCAGGCAGCTGTGTGACTGAGCCAGAGGAGGCGTAACCAGGGCCCCAGTAGAATGCGGAATAGGGGCGTGGCCTTAATGCTCCAAGCCCATTGGTCAATGAGAAAGATGAAAGGGAAAGGGGGCGTGGCCAGACAGCAGCGTGTCCAGAGGGCCCTGCGGCTCACAAGGAAAGCTGCCCATGGCAACCGCTCTCCCCACCCACTCTAAGAGAGGGGAGAGGCCTCCCACTCTGGAAGAGAAGAGGGGCTGGCTTTTGCTTTAAAAGCTTTAAAACTTTAAAAAATATATGTGTGTATACTTTATATATATGTGTGTCCATGTGTGTGTATCTATGTTTTTCTCCATAGCTGTCTTCATTATCCAGCTTCTATGCAAGGTCTATGATTTTGGCCTATATTTTTCATCTTTGATTACAGTACAAAAATTACCAGTATTACCTTAACTGAGATACAGATCCTATAAAAATGGAAAATGCATAGCATGCTTGATGATTAATGAAGCAGACTATATTATCCAACATTCTAATAAGATAAAATAATCACAATGATTTCTCTTTTTTGGAAAAATGTTTCTCTTATTCTCCTACGTTTTCGTTAAGATTTTTTTTCTTAAACAAGAAACATGTCTAATATCTGTAAAAGCACAAAGCTTTTGGGCTGGGTGCAGTGGCTCATGCCTGTAATTCCAGGACTTTGAGAGCCCAAGGTGGGTGGATCATGAGGTCAGGAGATCGAGACCATCCTGGCTAACACGGTGAAACCCCATCTCTACTAAAAATACAAAAAAGGCCGGATGTGGTGGCAGGCAGCTGTAGTCTCAGCTACTTGGGAGGCTGAGGCAGGAGAATGACATGAACCCCCGAGGTGGAGCTTGCAGTGAGCCAAGATCATGCCACTGCACTCCAGCCTGGGCTACAGAGCAAGACTCCATCTCAATTAATTAATTAATTAATTAATTAATTAATTAAAATAAAAAATTAATAGTAAGAGCAATGTGAACAAAAGATGCAATAAAATAATTTAGAAAATACAAACTATTAAAAAATAGATTTTAAAACTTGTGCAACGAAGTCAAACAGCAGCCAACGAAAATGTATACCCTTACACGTTTGTTTAAAAAGCAATTTAAATTACATTGATCCACTAAACTAGGAAAAGCAAAACAAACAAAAGGGGGAAATAATTAAGACCTAAGGAAAAAGAAAAACCACTAGATTTAAAAAATAAAACTAAAGGAGGATTCTTTCAAAAGACTGAGATAATAAAACAGTCAAGCCTCTGATAAGTAATCAAGATAAAGAAAACTTTGAAGAGAAAAGGGCATATAGCCACATGTGAATATGATGCAAAAAGTGAAAACTTTACACATCTTTACAACACCTTAGAAGTATGGATGACATGTTCATTTTTTTTTTTTTTTTTTGAGACGGAGTCTCGCTCTGTCACCCACGCTGGAGTGCAGTGGGGTGATCTTGGCTCACTGCAAGCTCCGCCTCCCGGGTTCACAACATTCTCCTGCCTCAACCTCCCGAGTAGCTGGGACTACAGGCGCCCGCCACCACGCCTGGCTAATTTTTTGTATTTTGGCTTAGTAGAGACAGGGTTTCACCATGTTAGCCAGGATGGTCTCTATCTCCTGACCTCGTGATCCACCCGCCTCGGCCTCCCAAAGTGCTGGGATTACAGGCATGAGCCATCGCACCCATCCAAAGTGTTCATTTTTTTTTAAGAACCTACAGTTACGAAAAGTAACTGAAGAAGTGGGAAATCTGGAGACCAATATGCAGAAGAAGGAAAAAGACAAAGACTCATCCTCCAAATTGGATATTTAAACCAGAATTTGTCATCCTCAGCAATATTGATATATTGGGCCAGATAATTCTTTGTGGAGGGTTCTCTTGGTGTGTTGTCGGGCATTTAGTAAACATTCCCTCTACCCACAGAATGCCAATGAGACCTCCCGACCATGACCAGTTGTGACCACAAAAATGTCTCCAGATATTTCCAAACGTCCCATAGGAGGCAAAATACTCCTGCAGTTGAAAATTACTGTGTAAACCAGATCTACATCCTAGATCTTAGAAAAAAGATGTAAAGCTTCCCAACTCAGCCCTGCATACCCTTGATACTGAAATAACAGCCTTAAAGGAAACAAACAAAACTATAATCTTATTTAATACAGAAGTAAAAATGCAAAAATAAAATATTACCATAGCCATTCCAACAGTGTTTATTATAGGAATGCAAAGATAATTCAAAATTAGGAAAATTTCATCAGGCAATTCACAAATTATATTTCTACATATAATTGAAGGCACAATCATGAAAAACAAAGTAGCTCTATATGCATTAAGTCCATGATCTATTCAGTGAAAAACACAAGTTGCACATGTCTTACAGAAGGAAAACTTAACACTGAACACAGATTCTCACCATCTGCTCTTTGTCCTGAGGCTCCAATAGAAATACAGTGAAGAATAAACATTGTATAAGCACACCATTACAAAAAAGGAATGGGGTTACCAACAGAAGAGAATTCATCTTCATTAGACAATGACAGTACATGGAAAATGGTTAATTCATGGAGCAAAGCAACAAAGGTGGAGGTCAGGGGGATACTGAGAACAAGGAGGCTAATCTGTCCCACAGCAACCTGGAAAGGTTCTAGACTCAGACACGAGGTACCCCCGACAGTGGGACTGATAGGCAAGACTGAAAACAGAGATTAAGCAAAAGCCCGGATAGAGAACACATTTCACAGGCCCTGAAACACACTGCTGGCCCCATCTCCTTAAACAGAACCCAAGCAAACGTATCCACCTCAGGCAAGAGAATGTAGATTTTACATCCAGAGGAATGGAGTAGTCATCCAGCCATCATTTATGATTGCAACAGGAGATAAGATAGAGGGATGGAGGATAACAATTAGGAATCAGCATACATTCCCCTTAAAGCTATCAGTTGACAAGTCTTGGCCACAAAGAACTCCCAATCAATTTTTATTTATTTTTATTTTTATTTATTTATTTATTTATTTTGAGACAGGGTCTTGCTCTTTCGCCCAGGTTGGAATGCAGGAATGCAGTGGCATGATCAGAGCTCACTGCAGCCTCAACCTCCTGGGCTCAAGCAATCCTCCTGCCTCAGCCTCCCAAGTAGCTGGGACTGCAGATGGGTGTCACCACACCTAGCTATTTTTTTTTTTTTGTAAAGATGGGGTCTCACTATGTTGCCCAAACTAGTCTTGAGCTCCTGGGCTCAAGTGATCCTCCCACTTCGGTCTCCCAAAGCACTGAGATTATAGGTGTGAGCCACCACACCTCGGCTCCCAGTCTTTTAGTACCTCTCTCAAATATGAATGAACAAATAAAGGAATGGAAAAAAGACTACAGGTCAGGCACGGTGGCTCATGTCTGTAATCCCGCACTTTGGGAGGCCGAGGTGGGTGGATCACCTGAGGTTGGGAGTTCCAGACCAGACTGACCAACATGGAGAAATCCCATCTCTACTAAAAATACACAAATTAGCTGGGCGTGGTAGCACATGCCTGTAATCCCAGCTACTTGGGAGGCTGAGGCAGGAGAACTGCTTGAACCTTGGAGGCAGAGGTTGTGGTGAGCCAAGATCACATCATTGTACTCCAGCCTAGGCAACAAGAGCGAAACTGGGTCTCAAAAAAAAAAAAAAAAAAGACTACAAATGATAAGCAACATAGAATAGATATTTAAGGAAAGGCTTTAAAAAGAAAAATAAGACCAAAATAAACTAAGAAAAAAATTATTAAAGAACAAGGAGATGCCAGGGAGAAGACAAAGAGTATCAAAATCACTTCATAAAGACACTTGTGAATATATTACATGTATAAAACAAAACAATATGAATAAGAAATAATCAGAGAAGAAAAAGTTCTTAGAACTCATGCTCCATCTTGGGAGTTGGTCTCCAATGAGCCATACCTCCTGTCATCATGTCCTCAGACAGGCCCATCCCATAGTCAATCTGGGTTGGCCCCAACACTCACTTTAACCTATAGCATGTGGTAGAAATGACACTGGACCTGTTCCAGGTCTAAGCCTTAAGAACTCCTGGCAGCTCCATTTCTGTGCTTCTGGAAGCCAAAAATAAGAATTGGCTACCTTCTTGGAGAAAGAAAAGCCACATGAAGAGATCCGAGAGGATGAGATGCTATGCAGAGAGAAAGGCCACATCAAGAATCACCAAGGCAGCAGACCTGTGGGTAAAGAAGCCGTCTCAGACATTCCACTGCAGCTGAGCATCCAGATGACCAGTCCCTGACACTGTTTAACCACACAGTGAGAGCTGCCAAATGAGACCAGCAGAAAAACTGTCCAGCTAGCCCCAGGTAATCCATACAGTCGTGACAGATAGACAGATGTGTAGTTTTAGGCCATTAGGTTTTGGGATAATTGGTTAAGCAACAATAAATAACCAAAACAAAACTTAAAGTTATGACAGTCCAAATAAAATTTCCTGAAAGTCGAAAGATAAGAAAATATTCCAGAACTGAAAATTTAAAAAACATTTAGAAATAACGTGAGATATAAGACTCAAGACAAGAGGTCTAAAATCCAATTAACAGACACTTCCAAATGAACAAATAAAATGGAAAAGAGAAAGTTAACAACAAAAATATGACAAGATTCAAGACTCCAACTTTGAAAGAGCCTATCCATAGGCCTGTTCATTTGGTGTACCCAGCATAATGAATGAAAAAAGACCCACACTAAGTACACTGTTGTGCTATTTCAGCTCACCAAGGAAAAGACAAACTCCTAAAAGCTTCCAGGGAGAAAGTCATGCATAAACAAGTGAAACTCAGGATGGCATGAGGCTTCGCCACCACGACTGGTTAGAAGACAACAGCACAGACTTTGAAATTCTAAGGTAAAATTATCCTCAACCTAGAAATACGTAATCAAGCAAACTATCAATCAAGTGTGAGGGTAGAATATGAGAGACGTGAATACTGATGGGGATGTGATATGCAGCAGGCACTGTTCTAAATGGTTTACATGTACCAACCCAATTAAGAAACTTAAAATACACACGCGCACACACACACACACACACACACACACACACACACAGTTTTTCCTGCTAATCATTTTACGATGAAACAGCCAAGTAGCTAACCCAGAGCCCACAAAGGCAGAGTAAAAATTCTAACACTTGGTAAAATAAAAATGCACATATACCCTGTGATCTAAAAAAAAAAATGCTTAAATATTCAAAGACAGACAGCAATTACAGCTACTGAGAACATCACTGTAAGCAAACTGAGGCAGAGAAAACAAAGGTGCTAATGAGGATTTGAACCACCTAACATGCAGAAACCCACTGGATGCTTTCCTAGGTTCCGAGCTGGCATTGTCTTTCAGAATGATCTAGAAGAGGTCACATGACACTGTTACAAAGGATCTGGAGAAAGGGACCCTTGCTTTATCACTCCGGCTCTCCAGTCATGCTTCACATTTTCACTTCTTACACTCTTTCACATGAAGTCAATTTACAGACCTCCATCATGCCCTTAGAGACCTTTTTGTAATATTCTGACAAGTTCTGGATGTCATCTCTGCACTTTTGACAAATTCTTAGCAGTTAACGTACAAGGCAGTTAACATTTTTGTTCACGGTATAGCTAGAAAAGGGTCATATACTCAATAAAACAAATATTTACCAAGCATTCATTGAGTGGAAGATAAAACGCACAAAGCATAATTATAAAATATTCTCCCCTGCCATGATACAACAAAATTTTTAAAGGCTTACAGAATATAGCATAACATGACCAAAGCAAAAATAGTAAGGACTAAAGAGGGGAGGAAGGGAAAATATCAGCATGAACTGAATATGACCCAGAAGAGTCTTGATGGTCAGACATGTAAAGATGTATTGGGCAGGGTTAAGGGGTGGAAGTCAGGGGCACAGGTCAGGGGCACATTCTACAAGGGAAAAACAGCTGATACAGAAGCCTGAAAGGTAAAGTGGGCAGAGCACCTGTACAGGACTCTTACCTGCCACAGCGAGGGCACAATGCGCCTTTCCAGAACACAGCAGCGCGCAGCCAGGCCTGGGGCAGAGGGATCACTCAAACAGCACCAGAGGCTGCATTCCTACTTTTCTTCCGTCAACAAGTCCATTTTCGTTGTTAGTTTCTCCTTCAACACAAACTTAAAAACAAATGGCTGAACACGCAGGAACAAGGAAAACCTGACTGAAGAATGAGACGTTAAAACTTAAGGGCCTTGGGTCCTGGCACGGTGGCTCACGCCTGGAATCCCAGCACTTTGGGAGGCAGAGGTGGGTCATTTGAGGTCAGGAGTTCAAGACCAGCCTGGCCAACACGGTGAAACCCCGTCTCTACTAAAAACACAAAAGCTAGCCAGGCGTGGTGGCCGGCGCCTGTAATTTCAGCTACTCGGGAGGCTGAGGCAGGAGAATGACTTTAAGCAGCGGACTGTCAAGAGAGGTAGGCTGCAGTGAACCGAGATCGCGCCACTGCACTCCAGCCTGGGCTACACAGTGAGACTCTGTCTCAAAAAAAAAAAAAAGAAGTCATGGTCATGGTAAAAAACCTATGGCTTTGGAAGGCTTTCTCGGTAACGTCCTAGAATTAAGGTTAAGCCTGCGTTTCATGTTAACTGAACAGGAAACCAGCCTGACCAACATCCTTCTGCCCGGTGGCTTGCTCTCAGCTCCTCTTCGTTGGGCCTTGGGCAGCCAGACTGTCTAGTTTTAATCCTTGCTCTGCCACCTGTGACCTTGGACAAGTTACCTACCTTCAGTTACCTCATCTACAAAATGCAGATATTAATAATACCCTCTTTTTAATTTATCCAGAGGATTAAAAGAGTTAATAAAAAGTAAAAAATAAAAAGACTTGGTAAGCATAGGCACAGAGGAAAAAAAAGTAAAAATAAATAATTAAATAAAAAGACCAGTGCCTAGCACATAAAAGTTCATCAGGAATTAATTCTATAATATGAACTCAATTTTGCAAAACTTCAAAGTACGTACAACTTTTAACTTACTAGGGTATACATACCAGTAATAAATTCACAACGGTAGACATGTTTGCCTACTGTAAATATAACAAAGACTAAACAAGCAGATACTAAATCATTAAGCAATTATCAGTTAGTATCTTTAATTTTCTTATACTTCTATATTTTCTATAGATCATCTTTGTAACAAGAAGAAAACCAACCAAATGAAAATGAAATGAATTCTCTCAAAAAGAATTAAGTCAAGACAGGAAGAAGGCTCGCAAAGTAATATAAAATATATCTTATGGTTTATGTAAAATTCTTAATAAAATACCTTCTTTGCTCCAAGCTGCACTCTGGCTTTGCCTTTGAGTCAGGTGGCATTTCTTTGCACGATGACTGGTTCTATTGAGTAGGCACTGCTTCAGCCCTACAGGAAGAACAAAACCTCTCTGGAACACAGCAGCATTCCTGACTCCCACTTGAGGAGGCCTAACAAAACGGCATATGCCTCAACAGCAGCAGATCAGTGTTAAAAAGTCTGGAGTCAAGGGGAAAAAGTAAAATTGGACCATTTCCAAAATCTCACAAAAAGCAACAAACTGACGTTCTAAGTGCCCAACATGAGCAAATTAGAACCTTAAATAAAGGTCACTCTTAATGCCTATCCCAGCATAGATGCAGCACCAAGTACAGTGTCATTTTACTGGTTTACCTTTTTCATTCTTGAAAGTAGGAGCTATGAAAAAAAAACACTAAAATTTCTCTAAGAGAACCTTCTACTTTCTGTCTAACTTACATAATCAAAACACTCTATTGAGGGTGAAAATTGAATATTATAAGAAAATAATCACGTGTTTTGCGAGAAGTTGCAAATATAATGCTCCTCCACCCAATACCTACCTTAAAAAGAAAAAAGGAAACATACAAAATTATCTCGAGAATTATTCCTGCTTAAACAATGTCTACGTGCCATTACTAAGAAAGTATGCACACAGTAAAGATGAGAAGAGAACATGCAAGCGTGAACATACTTGTTAGGGATATAGGACTATGGGTAATTTAAACATTTTAATGGTATTACTCTCATGTAATTGCTCTGAAATTCTAGTCAGTTGTTTGAAATGGCTCTTAGAACAGAATACTTTGACATTTTTATGATGTCAAAAACTAAGAACTTAGCCCTAAATATTCCAAAGAATAGGTGCAGAAGAACCCGTTTCCCTAAACGGCATTTGAGTATTCTTCACAACTCAAACTTTCTCTCCCATCCTGTGATGGCCGAGAGTTTTTCCTCTGACGACCGCACTGACCTTACCCTATCCAAAATATGAACATCTGCATGGTTTCCTGGTTCAAATTGTTTTTATCCATTCTGTCGTGAGAATCAAATGGTTCAGACCATGCAGCACCTCTCTGGGACTTCTCAAGTCCTTTCTAGATCTGAACACTATTCTCTGAACCAAAGACAACTTCTGGGGGTGTACCAAATCTCCCATTAGAAAATTATTAAGATCAAGATGTTTTAACCTTTTAACTCTTTCTCAAACAAAATAAATTCGTTTCTCCTTTACTGTTATTTTAAATTTCAAAATACACAGATAGTATGTCTAAAATAAAATCAAGAGAATGACAGTTTTAGAACACAAACTGTGGTAATTTTGAAAACACAAAAGCTAAGACCACTAATTAGGTCTATGTGGACACCAAGTCCACCACAACCTGTTCTGTCCTCCGGGGCTCTGCCCACGCCTTTCCCTTGCCTGAGATTCCTTCTGCTTCCTACCCTTCAAATGCTGTATTTCCCCCTGGAAGACTTGCCAAGACCACTCTAACCTGCACATCTCCCATTCCAGCTAACCAAAGGCATCCTTGGGTTGACTAAACCAAGTTATTTTGCAGACAAGGCATCTAAACACTTCCACTGTAGACTATTCACCTTAATAATTGTTATTGTGACATTATTCAATAATAAAATGAGGGAAAGAAGTCCTCTTCAATCCCTTATCCTGGAGAACCCAAGCAAGTGTCTTTCCCACTTGCTTTGCCCAAACCCTGGGACCTTTCTAAGTAAAAGTTTAATGGAAGGGAAAGAAAATCTAAAAGAAAAACTCTCCAAGAAATTAAACTCGGGCAAAGATTCATGGGATTAAAAATTTTTATTCTTTGTGTATTTGATTTCCGAAACATAGAAATCTCTCTCCCACTCCTTAAACCTGCCACTGGGCTAAGAGAGTATTGTACAGAATATGCACTCACTGACTTAACAGAATTAGAACATCCAGGCACTCACTGAGATTTTGCTTCCACAACCGCTCAAAGTCTAGTCATTAGTTCATGAGTTAACACCACACTTGACCTTCAAGTTTTGGAAATGCTGACGGTAGACAGGGACTTGTTTTGGGAAAGGAAGTACACAGTAGACATTGTTACCCATGACCCAACCACCACCACCTTTCCTTTAAAGAACCCCACTCTTCCTTTAAGGTTGCAGAGTCTCAGAAAGTGGGAAGAAAGGAAGTTTTTGCATTTTCAGGTCAAAACGAAGTACATTTGTGCAACCACATAATGCCCATGCAAAGGTTTCTTGAAATCTAAACACAAGACAGAAATAGTTCTAGCACCTCCACAAAAAGTAAGGTAAGTAAGTTTTTCCTTAATATACACTTTCAGCAGCATCAACACCTAAAAGTGGTTGACTTTACTACTGTACTAAATTAAATTACATTCATTTTGTCAATAGGTGTTCCAAATTCGTACTGATCTTTGTCTCCAAGGGGTTCCTGCTGAATATTGAGACAGTTGAAGATTACTAGGGGAAAAAATTCTTAATAATCGAAGTAAGGATCATCTAAGGATAATATGCCACATATACAGACACAGTCACATTTTCAGCTTTACAAAAGTTCAGTTATCAAAGTTGTACAGCAAACACTATCCTAAGCTTAGCGTCTTCAGGCATTTGATTTATAATCACTGTAAAGAAAAATCAGTCACAAAATGCCACTGTTGTATGATTCTATTTATATGAAATGCCCAGGATAGGCAAATCTACAGAGATAGAAGTTAGATCAGAGGTTGCCAGGATCAATGGTGGGGGAGAGAGCTACAGGGAGTGACTGCTAGTGGGTACGGGGTTCTTTTTGGGGAGATGAAAATGTTCTGAAATTAGGGAGCGGTAATGGCTGCATAACTCTGAATATACTAAAAACCACTGAACTGTACACTTGAAGGGTGAGGCTTATCATACAAAAACTGTATCACAATAAAGCTCTTAGTTTAAAAAATGTTTGTCTATGTCAAGAAACAAAGAAATAGGGTCATAGCTAGAAGATATGGGATATAAAATACTGGAACAAAACTGCTTAATAATATATCTAGAATCACACAATGCTTAGTCTTTACGCTGACTAAAATCACGAGATTTGTGTTTTATCGGTATTTCACGTTTTTTACTTCTTCTAAGTCAGCCAGTAATTCCTCCTTCTCACTTAATCGTTGACTACAAAGACCAAGCCATTTTGACTCTGCCACCGATGAGCTTTCACATTTCTTTCCTCCTTCCATTCCCATGACTACCAAACCAGTGCAGGTTCTCCTCACTTCACTCTAAGACAACAGCGTGGCCCTCAAATACTGTCACACTCTTCAAGGCTCTGTGAGCACAATCTGTCTCATATTCTCTTCTGCTGTCACCAGATTTATTCTAAGACCGTTTCTTCACTGTTACTCCCCTGTTTCTCAACCAGTTACACAGAAAGACGAATATCCAGGCATGGTGTCATGTGCCTGTAGTCCCAGCTACTCAGGAGGCTGAGGCGGCAGGATCGCTTGAGAATGTGAGATTCAGACTGCAGTGAGCCATGATCATGCCACCGCACTCCAGCCTGGGCAACAGAGTGAGATTGTCTCAATAAATAAATAAGTAAATAAATAAATAAATAAATGAATAAATAAATGTGGTCTATCCATGCAACGGAATACTATAAAATTATCAGCCTTAAAAAAGAAAGAAGCCCTGTCACATGCTGCAATATAGATGAACCTTGAAAACATTACACTAATTGAAATCAGCCCATCACACAAAGACAAATGCTGTACAATTTCTCTTACATTAGGTTCGAAATTAGTCAAACTCATAGAAACAGAAAATAGAGCGGTTGTTTCCATAAGCCAGGGGATAGAGAAATGGGGAGTTGTTGTATAGTGGCTATAGTTTCAGTTCTCCAAGAGAAGCAAGTTCTAGAAACTCGTTACTCAACATGTATATTTTTAACACTACTGCACTGTATACTTACAAGTGGCTAATATGGTAAATTTTATGTTGTGCCTTATCACCATAATGTTTTTAAAAGAAGGGGTTTGTGTTTCCCTTCGTTGTGATCACCCATTTTTCACTTCAGCATTTTGAACTTGAGATTTCCTGTAGCGGTTTTACTGAGCCCTGCAGTTACCGGCTCAGAATGTCTCCACCGCCTTGTAACCTTGTAGGCAGACACTTTTCAGCATCTTATTGGGCTCCGTGTGCTTGATGCTTAAAGTGACATGGAGACATGCCACTTGCTGAGAAGCAAAGAAAGGCAAAAGGTGACTGCTTTCCTGGCATCGATGAAGGCAGAGAGAAGGGATCTTGGAGGCACAGATATTAAGCCATAAGCAATAACATGGGTTGCCAAAAAGAGAACTAACCCCTCTCCTGGTAACATTTCCAGGTGTTTTTCACAGGGCCAGTGGATTTCACAATGTGAGTGCTGTCCAGCACCAAAGGGAATGGCCAACAGGCATGGAGCAGCCTACAGCGTCCAGCACCCAGTAGGATGGCCAGGAGGCACGGAGCAGCCTGCCTGTCCCAGGAAAGCAGGAGTCACAGGACACAACTGGACCCAGGTAGGCATGTATGTTACTTTCCTGTGGCTGTTAGAGCAAATTACCAAAAATGTGGTGACTTAAAACAACAGAAATTTATTTTCTCACAGTTTTGGATATCAGAAGTCCAAAATCAGTATCACTGGGCTGAAATCTAGGTCTCAGCAGAGCCAGTGCTCTCAGAGGCTGAGGGGAAAATCCATCCTTTGACTTGCGCAGCTTCTGATGGCTGCTGGCATTCATTGGCTTGCAGCTCCACCACTCCAGGCTCTGCCTTCTTGGTCACAGGGCCTCCTTCTCTTCTGTCTGAAGTTAAATCTCCTTTATCTCCCTCTTATAAGGATATATGTGCCAGGATTTAATGCCCACGGAGACAATCCAGGATAATCTCTCCTCAAGATCCTTAACTTAATCATACCTGAAAATATGCTTTTTCCAAATGAGGTAACATCTACAGGTTCTAGGAGTTCCAGACCAGCCTGGACGACATGGTGAAACACGGTCTTTTTTTTTTTTTTTTTTTTTTTTTTTTTTGAGCGGAGTTTCGCTCTTGTTTTCCAGGCTAGAGTGTTTTCCGGTCTCGACTCACCGCGGCCTCCACCTCCCGGTTAGGTGGTTCTCCTGCCTAAGCCTCCTGAGTGGCTGGGATTGCAGGCATGAGCCACCATGCCAGCTAATTTTGGTGTTTTTTTTTTTTGTACAGACGGGGTTTCTCCGTGTTGGCCGGGCTGATCTCAAGCTCCTGACCTCGGGTGATCCACCCGCCTCCGCCTCCCTGGGTGCTGGGATTGCAGGCGTGAGCCACCGCGCCTCCGGTCCAATTTAGTAACCAGAAAGGAATAGATCGGCCTGGCGTGGTAGCTCATGCTTGTGATCCCAGTACTGTGGACGGCCGAGCGCGGCGATCGATTGAGCCTAGGACTTCCAGACCGGCCTGGGCAACGTGGTGAAACACTGTCTTTTTTTTTTTTTTTTTTTTGAGTGGAGTTTCGCTCGTTTTGCAGGCTGGAGTGCAGTGGCGTGGTCTCGACTCACCGCGGCCTCCACCTCCCGGGTTTAGGTGGTTCTCCTGCCTCAGCCTCCTGAGTGTCTGGGATTGCAGGCATGAGCCACCATGCCAGCTAATTTTGGTTTTATTTTTTTGGTACAGACGGGGTTTCTCCGTGTTGGTCAGGCTGATCTCGAGCTCCTGACCTCGAGTGATACGCCCGCCTCCGCCTCCCTGGGTGCTGGGATTGCAGGCGTGAGCCACCGCGCCCCCGGTCCAATTTAGTAACCAGAAAGGAATAGATCTGCCTGGCGTGGTGCCTCCCCCTTGTGATCCCAGGACTTTGGAAGGCCGAGTGTGGCAGATCGCTTGAGCCTAGGAGTTCCAGACCGCCTGGGCAACATGGTGAAACCCGGTCTCTGTTTTGAGACGGAGTTTCACCCTTGTTGTCCAGGCTGGAGTGCAATGGTGTGATCTTTGCCCACCGCAACCTCGGCCTCCCGGATTTAGGTGATTCTCCTGCCTGGGCCTCCCTAGTAGCTGGGATTACAGGCATGAGCCACCATATCCGGCTAATTTTGTAGTTTTTTTCTTTTTTTTAGTAGAGACGGGATTTCTTCATGTTGGTCAGGCCGGTCTCCGACCTCGGGTGATCCGCCCACCTCTGCCTTCCAAAGTGCTGGGATTGCAGGCCTGAGCCACTGCGCCCGACGGAAACCCAGAACGGAAAACAAAACAAAAACCACAAAGATTAGCCGGGTGTGGTGGGCCGCGCAGGTAGTCCCAGCTACTCTGAAGGCTGATGGAGGAGGATTGCTTCACCCCGGCTTCTAGGTGGCAGTGAGCTATGATGGCGCTGCTGCACTCCAGACTGGGCGACAGAGCGGGACTCTGTGGCAGGAAAAGGGAAAGGAAAAAAAAAAGAAAAAGAATGTAAATAAAATTGCTAACTCAAGGAACAGCTTGACAGTATATTATTGCGACAAATAGAGGCAAAGGTTAGCAGACACCAGTGTTCACTTAGTGGGACCTGCGGGTGTTCCCCCCATAGGAGGCTGCTACTTTCCCACAAGAAATCCATTACTGACTACCGATAAAAGAACACATCGTAGGTTTCTTACAATATATAAATAGCTAAACTTTATATAGCCACGACCATATTCTAGCACTGCTCTAAGCCATTTCCTACTCTGAAATAGCTACTATTGTTACCTCCATTGTAGAGAAAACAGGTGCCGGAGGCTGTTGTGGAAGGCCCAGGGAAACTGACTATGAAATTGACTTGTTGTAAGTTTCAGACTTAAAAGTTCTTCCTGCTCTGCGCCTTACATTGCTACATTTTAGTTAAGGTACCTCTTACAATACTGGTCCTTTCTGTATTTGGAGGGACTTCTCTTGCAAATTGAAGTTTTTTCTTGTGCTAAGCATTTGGTCATGAGATTATCTGCGTTTTACATCAGTTTAAATACCTCTCTAGACATTGTTCAGTTAGGAATGTAAATAGGAGCTAACATTGTGTGTAAAAGGAAAGAACATCTGATTACAACCACTTTTGTTTCATAATACAAATATAAATCAATATGTTATTGGAAATGCAGGCTGGGAGGGGAGGGAAAATATGCATAGAGAAAAGCCCCATCTCTGCTTGGAGTTCAGCACTGGGTCTCTTTTTCCTTTCCACCTTCCTTGTCAAGGCTGCCACAGTGACAAGCACACAGGGGTGCCTTTAGTGACACCTGCTGCGACAGACCTGGCAGAACGGATTGCAGATTTGCATGTTTCCTGGCTGCCTCTGCTAGCCTGAGTCAGCAGCCCACTCCAATTCATGCTGAGCTTAGACAGCTCAGGTTTGCAAAATTATCCCTTCCCTTGGAGCAACCGCTTTCCAGTCTCCTCATCATTCCTAAAGGAGAATGACACACATGCCAGCATGACAGAGGTCCAGAAATTTATAGAAGCTTCATTGTGAGCCTATATCCTTAACAGGGGTTCAAACTACCAACACCGAATGAAGAGAGAGGTTTTGCAGTAAAGCAGGAAGTCATTAAAATAATGAATCACCCAGCTAGGTTTTGAGCTCCTTTCCCACCAATTTAATGGAAAGTTTTATTGTCTTTACAATGTACACTTTCATAAATTTTGCATAAATTTATTATTCACATCTTAACATAGGTAACTCCTTAGTGTTTGATCACTGAGCAAATTATATACAGCAAAACAATCCTATATTTTGGTGAACTCATAGCTTAGAAAATACTAAAGACTCATTGTAAACTGAGGGCAGCATTAAGCAAATTATATTTACCTTTGTGACTGCAAAACTTAATGATTCAATGCTTTTCCCATGAAATTTATCTTCCAATACTGATAGTTTTTTAAACAAAAAATATGAATTAAATATCAATTAAAATTTTATCATTGTTTTCAGAAACTGTGACTTCACTAGTTATGAACAGACTTGAAATGTATAGTTTTTAAGTTTGGAAATTCTTTGTAGTCTCATTTACTTTTCCAGGAAGGAAGTGAGATATTTTTTGCCACTGTTGCCTGGTTTTTGTTTGTTTTTTGATCATAAACAAAACTTAATGGAGCCTCAAATCTACTAACTCGGTCCTCCTCTGGCAATATGCCTTTTTCTGATTTCTAGATATCACTTGATATTTTTTAACACACTAATTTTATTATTTAAAAATTTATAAAAGTACTCAGAAGTAAGAGGCAAATTAAATTTGAAACCTTAGTGGTAATACCATCATCCAAAGTCATCATCAATAATATTTTGGCATATTTTATTTTAAAATACATTTCAGCACAGTTTAGTTATATTTGTTATATCTGTATCAATAAACTGTTTTCATATGTCATTACTTTTATGGATATAATTTTTGACGTGCGACTAATACGAAATCTTATATACTTGCTATAGTTGACCTTGTGAGACATTTAGATTTTCAACTGTTTAGTACTTTAATAACCAGTTTTTATTCTAATATCATTATTAGAATAATATTACTATAGTATTATTATTATTGTAGCAATAACTTGTTTTTAGAATAAATATCCTATTTCTCATTTAACTTGATTGGATCCGTGCATGGACAATTATGTTGGGAACATAGAATGTAGCTGGCCCTGTTTCAACCCCTTAGATGTGGCCCTCAGTTCAGGGAAGGGAGGAGTTCTCTACTGGGCTGATAAAGCAGAATTCAGAAACATTGTTTTCTTCTCTACCTGGTGTCTTACAAAACCAGAAGATGTGAGTGTGACTCTTAAAGGCAAGAGCATGTATATTATGCAAAAGCAGCCTGAAATATTTTATTCACAGACAGACAGACAATGCTTGACTCCCTGCTAATCTGAAATACTTCGTGGGGAGGGCCAGGGAAATCAAAACAAAATTTCAGAAGTAGAATGAGCTATTTGGTGTATGTCTCCAAGGCCAATAAATAACAAGAAGGAAAAATAAATTTCTTTGCTAACAACAAGAAGGAGAAATAAACTTTTTTGCTCTAAAATATTTTCCAATTATCTCCACGACACTGGAGGGAAGGACTAACAAAAAAAAAAAAAAAAAAGAAAGAAAGAAAGAAAGAAAGAAAAAAAAAAAGAAAAGAAAAAAAAGGTGGGGCATGGTGGCTCATGCCTGTAATCCCAGCACTTTGGGAGGCCAAGGCGGGTGGATCACAAGGTCAGGAGATCGAGACCATCCTGGCCAACATGGTGAAACCTGGCTCTACTAAAAATACACAAAATTAGCCGCAGGCACCTGTACTCCCAGCTACTTGGGAGGCTGAGGCAGGAGAATGGCATGAACCCGGGAGGCAGAGCTTGCAGTGAGCCGAGATGGCGCCACTGCACTCCAGCCTGGGGGACAGAGCGAGACTCCATCTCAAAAAAAAAAAAAAAAAAAAAAAAATTAACCATCACAGAGGAGCAGAGAAAAACCTTCTCAAAGACAGAAGTCATTGATTTATTTCCATCCCGGCACAAGCCCCTTAATTCTGTAACTTGTCCAGAATGGTTTCCTGTCACTGTAGATTCTGCATCAGAACATCCTCTTATGCAAAGCTAAAAAACTCCAAACCACCTCTGTTAACTGTGCGGTGCTCCATGGTTTCACACAGTCCAGAGCTGCTTGTGTTTATCAAAAATGAAGCAGAAAACAAAATTCTTCCTTCACACAACCACTGCATTCCATTGCACGTTTACCAAAGACATTTACCACGTTGGCATTATTTGTGCATCCATCAAGAAGTGCTGAAAAGCATTCCCCTCACACACTGCATGTGTCCTGTGAGTGGATCTTCCATTTTACTTGCCAGTTCTGGAAAACTTTGAATTTGTGTGTCGATGGAAAATTAAAGTTTAGTGGCATCTTTGCCCCACATTCACCCAACTTTTCTAAGGAACTATTTCAATGCTACTTTTCACTAGTGTCACTTTTCAGTCTTAGCCTCCTGGAGTACAACTTTATTAGAAGCCCGCAAAGCACTAGTGTTAAAATGAGAAATAGTAAACATCTGATTCTGTTGTGTTTTAACTCCATGCTTTTCTCTAATGTTTCATTGTTTTGAATTTAATTCTTTGTGCTTCCCACGTGAATGCAACTTACAGTTTGAATGTCTTCTTTCTTCACTAGCCGATGCATCTGTGCCAGTAACACACGGTGATTCTGTCCTTTCACCTTCAGTTATGCCTGTAAAACCAAATTCAAGACAGATGATCCTCAACTCACAAAGGAGTTATAGCTCATCATCAGTTGAAAATATAAGCCGAAAATGCATTTAAGGCCGGGTGCAGTGGCTCAGCCTGTAATCCCAACTCTTTGGGAGGCTGAGGCGGGTGGATCACCTGAGGTCAGGAGTTAGAGACCAGCCTGGCCAACATGGTGAAACCCTGTCTCTACTAAAAATACAAAAATTAGCCAGGCATGTTGGTGCGCACCTGTAATCCCAGCTACTGCGAAGGCTGAGGCAAGAAAATCGCTTGAACCCAAGAGGCAGAGGTCGCAGTGAGCCGAGATCATGCCATTGCACTCCAGCCTGGGTGACAAGAACAAAACACACTGTCTCAAAACATAAAATTAAATTAAATTAAATTAAAATGCATTTAATACACCTAAGCTAACATCATAGCTTAGCCTAGCTTACCTTAAACATTCTCAGAAAATTTACATTCACCTTCCATTGGGCAAAAATTCTCTCTCACAAACCCACTTTAAAGTGTTGAATATCTCATGTAATTTATTGAATACTGAAGTATGGTTTCTGCTGAATGCATATCACTTTCACACCATCATAAAGTCAAAAAATTATAAGTCAAACCATTGTATGTCAGGGATCATCTGTCCATTAGAAATAGTACTTCTGAGTAAAACGAGGACAAACTCCTTTGGTCTTCATGTCCTCAGAATCACTTTCATAATCATCTCTTGGTTTACAAGGTGCATCTTTTATTGGTTAAAAAAATTAATACAATTTATTTCACTCTCAAATTAGGTTTAATAATAAATAATACAACTTTCTTTTGTTTTCACTAATAATGCTAACATTGGCTTGATTTAAAATTAATATTGCAAAAATAAGACTTTATAGAATAGATGTTCCCATTTTTCAGATGTGTGAGATTATACTATAGTTGACAAACTAACCTTAAAGAACGCAGCTTGCAATGTGGTCCTTGTGTATGTGACTCGTTTGCAGCTCACAGCCTCTGCATCTTTCCATCGAGTCTGACAAAACCTGAGTTGGTCTGTAACTGCTCATTGAGACAAGTCCCCTGATGTCACATGCTGGGAGAATGTCAAGTTTCTATAGAAATTTCTAAACATTTACCCTGAATTTCTATGTTTCTATCATTACATAGAGATGACAGAGTGTTGACAGACTTTGAGTGGTCTTTAGTAACCAATTGTTGAAAGTCTGGTTTAGCTAAACTAGTTTGTAAGTACCTCGGCAGGTGCCTTTGCTGTAGGAATTCTCAGAGTCTCTATAAACTAATGAGCATTGGAAATCTGCAGGGGGGAAACAGAGTATGCAGTATCCCCCATGATGATTCAACCCCAGATTTTATTTTTCACTGAGGATCTCACACTTAGTAGTGTATCTTTTCTATGCATTGGGCACTGGGAGAGGACGTGTTGTCATCTCAACAGAGACCTGGCCTTCAGACGCCACCACTCACTGCCGCTCTGTCCAGGCGAGCATCAACTTGCACTGTTTCAGAAGCAAAAGGAAAATGAACCGCAGCCACTGAAGTCCCTCAGAACTGAGGAAAAGTTACTGACTTTCCTGATTTGTGTTCAGTCTGGCTGGCCATGGGTACAGACACAGCTGGTTTCCCCATTTGTGAGCTGGACGGATTTAATTCCTGGCTGTTTGAATGATGTATCCCCTCATCAGTGAAACCAACAGAGTAGCTCAACTTAATTTTCTCTTTCTATGGCATGCCATTTATACCCATTCAATTATGCCTGTGTCAATTAAGTCAAACATTCTTACTGTCTCTATTTCTAATAAAAAGTGGTAAACACTCGAAAACCCCTTTCATAAATAGGCATGTATAAAAGCAATGTTCTTAATAAAAATGTTGGACTTAATAAAAGTATTTTAAAAAACAGTAGGAACCATAGTATAATAAAGGCCTTAGCCGGGCGTGGTGGCTCACACCTGTAATCCTAGGACTTTGGGAGGCTGAGGCGGGCAGATCACGAGATCAGGAGATCGAGACCATCCTGGCTAACACGGTGAAACCCCATCTCTACTAAAAACACAAAAAATTAGCTGGGCGTGGTGGCAGGTGCCTGTGGTCCCAGCTACTCGGGAGGCTGAGGCAGGAGAATGGTGTGAACCCAGGAGAGGGAGTTTGCAGTGAACAGAGATTGTACCACTGAACTTCAGCCTGGGCGACAGAGCGAGACTCCGTCTCAAAAAAAAAAAAAAAAAAAAAAATATATATATATATATATATAAAGGCCTCATTTTGCAGGTGAGGACACTGAAGATTATAGAAGAAAGAAGGGCTTCATGCAAAACCACGTTCCTGATTGTTGGCGGAACCAAGCCCACAACCTGGAACTCAAGTTTCTCTACTTATAGTAGATGCTCAAAGAATTATAATACTTTATAACAACGTCATAATCATTTGACGTTTCTAAGCTGGTCATGTTTTCTTTCATGTGTACTTCTCCCCTCTCAACAATTACCGTGCCCTTGGCAATTTAATAAAGCAGGATAATATTCAACTCAGTGACCTACAGCTTGACAAGCATCTCCTGCTCCCAGAAAACAGAAGGTGTTGCTGTCAAACTAATACTAAATAATAATTTTCTGTAGTCCTAGAGCCTCTGGACTTCCCAATTACACGGCCAATAAACCCCCTCATTGTCTGAGCCAGTCTGAGCTGGGCAGCCTGACTGAAGTCTGGAACATCCTAACTGGCACAAAGGCCCTTAAGATGACCCCAAGCCAGCTGTCTGGCTTTCTCTCTTGTCACTTCCTTCTACATCCTCTCTGCAACAACCAAATTAGATTACTCACCATTCCCCACACTGCTTTGTGATTTTCTTTCTTTCTTTTTTTTTTTTTTGATGAAGTTTTATTCTTGTTGCCCAGGCTGGAGTGCAGTGGTGTGATCTCAGCTCACTGCAATCTCTGCCTCCTGGGTTCAAGTGATTCTCCTGCCTCAGCCTCCCGAGTAGCTGGAATTACAGGTGCCCAGCATCATGCCCAGCTAATTTCTGTATTTTTAGGAGAGACAGGGTTTCACCATGTGGGCCAGGCTAGTCTCCAACTCCTGACTTCCGGCGATCCACCTGCCTCGGCCTCCCAAAGTGGATTTTCTTTTTTTACCCATGCACTTGCCCAAGCTGACTTTCTGGCTCAAACCTTTCCCCTGGCCTTGCATCCTCTCTATCCATCTGCCCAAACCTCCCTCACTCTCCAAAGTCTCATTTCAAATGTTGCCTTTCCCTGAAGCTTCTCCCGGAATGACCCATCTCTCCCTCCTCATTCTGATCATTTCCTCTTTGAATTCCCGTAGCGTTAGGTATGCCCTCCTCTTCCAGCACTGAATCCAGCCTTGCCTCGCATTAGAGTCATTTGTACACCTGACCTTAATCCCCCTGAGGGCAGGGATAGTTTGTGTTTATCCCAAAGTCCTGAAACAACTAGTACAGAACCTGAGACACAGGAAGGCCCCAGAATTGCCTGCCGAATAGAACAGTGATAGTGCTGAATTTGGTTCCTCCTTTAACCTGTGTGACCCCAGACGTTTGTTTTCTATGAAGCCTCAAAACATGGTTATGTTTCCTAATTTACAACGAACACATGGAAACCCATGTTTTGAAAACGGGGGTGGGGAGGATGAACTGAAGGCAGCCTCTTCAGCCAAGTTCCAAAGGCCAGGTGGCCCACTGTGAACCTTGTTTAACCACACAGAACATATGAATAGCTACAACAAGGGATCTAACAGTTACCAGAATGTTTTCAGAAAGGTGACTTCAGAAGTGCCAAGCTTCAGGAAGACCTGGACTGAGAAGGGATCAGACAACTTTAGGAAAGCAGGTACCAAACAGCCCTTTTACAGTTTACACACAGGCCTTGGTGTCAGAAAAATACTGGTTTGAGTACTGGTTATGCATCAGAGATGCCACTCTGGACAAGCTCCTTATGCTCTCTGGGACTCTGCTTTCTCATCTAAAAAATGGGGATCACCTGAGGTCAGGAGTTTGAGACCAGCCTGGCCAACATGGCAAAACCCCATGCCTGCTAAAAATACAAAAATTAGATGGGTGTGGTGGCTCGCACCTGTACTTGCAGCTACTTGGGAAGCGGAGGCAGGAGAATTGCTTGAACCTGGGAGGCAGAGGTTGCAGTGAGCTGAGATCGCACCACTGCACTCCAGCCTGGGCAACAGAGTGAGACTCTGTCTCAAAAAACGGGGCGGGGGGTGGTGGATAATAATAGTGCCTACCTCAAGAGGTTGCTGTGAACACCAGAAGAAGCAATACACACCAAGTGCCTACAGATAGTAAGCACTTGGTAAAAATGTAACTGCCATTAACAATAAATATGATGCTCACAGGGTCAGTGGAAAAAGTAGTGGAAAGTAGGAGTGGTGGGAACAGAACAGGAGGGAACAAAGCACCTCTGAGTAGACCTTTCTGTATAGCTCCGACTCTCCGTCTCTTATTATGTTTCACCCTAATAATTCATTAAAACTAGGATAGGAAGGCTGAGGGTGTTTTTGGAATACAAACACTAATGAACCAAACTGCATTATAAATAGTGGCCACACTGAAAGGGATGAAGAAGAAAGTAACTACTTTTTTTTTTTTTTTTTAGACAGAGTCTCCCTTTGTTGCCCAGGCTGGAGTGCAGCGGGGCTATCTCAGCTCACTGCAATCTCTGCCTCCTGGGTTCACGCCATTCTCCTGCCTCAGCCTCCCGCAGTAACTGGGACTACAGGCGCCCGCCACCACACCCAGCTAATTTTTTGTATTTTTAGTAGAGACGGGGTTTCACCATGTTAGCCAGGATGGTCTCGATTTCCTGACTTCGTGATCTGCCTGCTTCGGCCTCCCAAAGTGCTGGGATTACAGGCTTGAGCCACCGCGCCCGGCCCCCCCGCTCCATTTTTTTTTTTTTTTTTTTTGAGACGGAGTCCCGCTCTGTTCCCCAGGCTGGAGTGCAGTGGCACAATCTCAGCTCACTGCAAGCTCCGCCTCCCTGGTTCAAGCCATTCTCCTGCCTCAGCCTCCCAAGTTGCTGGGACTACAGGCACCCGCCACCACGCCCTGCTAATATTTTTTGTATTTTTAGTAGAAACGGGGTTTCACCGTGTAAGCCAAGATGGTCTCGGTCTCCTGACCTTGTGATCCACCCACTTTGGCCTCCCAAAGTGCTGGGATTACAGGCGTGAGCCACCACGCCTGGCCTCCCCCTGCTTTACTTGTATTAACCAAATATTTATGAGTCTATCTATCAAGCGTTCAAATTATTTTACATGTAATCGCCAATCTCCAGAAAATAAATGGGACCACAACAAATTTACCCTAATTTCTGCAGCGAGCATAAATAATTGCTTTCAAGGGATGCTTGAATGAAATTACTATCCTGACTGTAGGGGCAGGGGCTTGGTGAAGATTTGTCCTTTGTGAGTAATGAGAAGAGTATACTTGGATATAAAAATAGTGAAGAAATAAGTAGTTTTTAAAAAAACGCTAAATTCCATGTTTAGCAAAGTTAATGAGCCCTAAATTCCTAAAGCTGAGTATTAGTGTGTAAATGAGTACTCCAAACCAACAGAGAATAACCTTGTAATTCATGGATATTTAGCTAAAACTTCATATGTTCTCATCATTCTGTGTCTCCTAGTTTTAGTTCAAACAGATGTTTTCACTCCTAAAAGACTCAAAATTTCTGACAATGCCCTTTATTAATGTTACTTTTTGAGAAATCACTTATTAAGTAAAAATTAAATTTACATTTTTCAAAATTGCATGTTGGGTTAATTTACCAAATCTTTTATCTGTTTTGTGTTTCCAGTTAGCCATTTTTGTTTCTGATTTGTAAATATTCAAAAATATTTGTTGAAATTACAAATTTTATTAATTGATTTTTGAGGGGAGTAGGGTGCGTTAGTTACTTTTCATTTAAATTCTGTGGTGTTTTTGCATATTCAAATTATTGTATTGTGAATAACCTGAAAGACAGTAGCTATATGATTGTTTGAGGTAATGGTAACAATACTCAAGGGTTGAAAAGATATGATTTTAAGTATGAGCTAAGGAGACTGCCCTTTATGTAACTACGGGATGATGTGAAAATCTGTTTTAACAGCATGATTAAATTTGGAATTCTTTTTTTTGAAGTTTTGTAAAAGGGAGGCAGAAGTTTAAGGGAAAAAGTTGGCCAGGTAAACTTGGATAGTTTTAGATCTATTAGTGACAGAATACTCAAGCTCTTGAAAATAGGAAAAGTTGTTCTTGCCATGTCAAAGGACAAGGGCTGCCATATGCTAATCACTGTATCTTTACTCAGATCCTATAAAATGATTTGTACAGAGAAGGGATTTAGTAAATCTTTACTAAATTAATGTTAGATGATGGAATGGATCATTGCGGCTGAAGGAGAGAGTAGTGAAAATGAGGATATTAGGAAAGGAAGTGGATGATTTGCTCAGATGTTGTTAAATTAGGTTTTGATAGAAAAAACCTGGAAAAAAAAAAAAAAACGACAACAGCCTGCATGACTTCTTAAAGCCCCCACCTCTTAATACTGTTTCAATGGCAATTACATTTCACATGAGTTTGAAGGGGAACTTAAAACCATAGCAAAGAGCACATTATATTCGTTGTTTCTGTGTAGTGCTGCTCTTTACCAGGCTAATAAATCCTGGTAGACATGCAAGAGCTTGCTCTTAATCCAAAATAAACAAAATGTGTTTTACTGAGAAAATTGCAGACATATCAAAGGGTAGTTTGACAGCACGGGTACAGAATACTATCAAGACATTTTCTTCTGTTTTACATACATGGGTAATTCTTGCTTGAATGCAAGAGGGCTGAATACCAGCTTTATTTAATATATTTTGTGTCAACTTCTGTATACAGATTTTTTTTTCTTGAGGTGAGAGAAGAGGAAAGAGGAGAACGTTAATTCCAGATAGCTTTAAGCAAATGTTAGAAAGGCGAACATTTATAGGTTTCCAAATATCTTTTGGCTAGCTGACATTTACAAACACGGAGCTAGGTAAGCTTTTCCCCCTAGCAATATTAAGGCTCTGGCAGCAAGTAAAGGATATGTGAAGTGAAATATGCCTTTCAAACATAGTAAAGAAGAAGACTGTTTGTAACCACCGTTGGTGAAAATCACGAGAACCAAGTCTTTCTTGTTATTTTAAACATCCTATAAAAGCATTGCAAAAGTTTATATTGCTGGTTAAAATATTTGGGACTATTTTGTCCATTTCCACACCTTACTTTAAGGTCCAGGCATTTGTTGAGAGGGAAATTGCCTATTTAACTGAAGGAACAATATGTTTTAAATTACTGAGAGTACTCTGTTGAAACTTAATGAGAACAGAAAGCAGCATTAATAAGAAAAATAGTATTTACAAAGATTGCTTAAGGATGCAAGCTGGGTACCAACTAATTGTAATTCTTTAATTTCGGTATGCGTGCAACATCCCATGTGTATGAAAACAAAATGTGTATTTCCAAGCAGTATGTTTTAGGATCAGAGAATTTCAACCAAATATTAAATTCTCAAATCGTATGCAAACAAGTGTCAATCATGGCTTTAACATGACAGCTGGAGGAAAAAATTCAAGCAACATGTGTAGATAATTGTGGTTAATGTTTATCTGTACATAGGAAGATACTTCAGATGTGTAAGTATGCAAATAACTCTCGGATTTCTAATTACTGTATTTATCAAGTTCTATATGCTGTCTAAATTCAGAAATGAAAGCAATTTTAAAATAGCATGCATATTATAATTACAATATTAAATTGAGCTCAACTTTCCTAGCTATTCTCTGCCTTTCTGTCTGCCTCTGCCTATGTCTCTATCTCACACATGTATGTGTGTATGTGTATATATACCCTCACTTGTGAACATATATTCATAACCACATGTATAAACACACAGTATAAAAGGATATTAGAAAAGGAAGTGGATGATTTGCTCAGATTTTGTTAAATTAGGTTTTGATAGAACAAACCTGAAAAAATACGTTAAAACATATGAGGACATATACCAAAATATTATCAGTAGTTAATTTTAAGACAAGCCTGATGGGTCATTTTAATTTTCTACTTTTTACCTGTCTGTTTTGATTGCAACTTTAAAAATAAGCCTGTGTTACTTTTTAAAGAGAAAGAGAGAGAGAGCAAGATTTGCCTGTTTTGGAAAATTGTTTTAAAGGAACACCACAGGAAATGAAGTCATTCTTAAGTGCCTGCCATTTATATCTAAAAATGGTTTTCAGTAATGGGATAGTTCTAGTATCAGTAGGGAGATCCATTATCACATGCAGATTTAACCTTGTTGTTGTAGGCCAGAAATATTTAAAACCATTTAACTGACTTGAAGAATTCTTCAATTTTTGAAAATATATTTCAAAAGAAAAACTTTCCAGTTAATTTATGAAGTTAACAAAATATTGATTCTAAATGGTATATTTATAAAATTTTATTCTGTAATTGGTTATTGGTAGTGTAAGGAAATAAAATAGACTTTTATGTGCTCATATTGTAACCAGTGATCCTGATAGCTATATTTAGTTATTCGTTCTAATATTTTATTTTAGATATTCTACATATACAATAATGTCCTTAGCAAATAATGACCTGTGTATTTCTTTCTTGCTAATTCTTACTTTTTTTTTCTTATTGAACTGACTAGGGAATTTTGTTTCTGATCCCATAAGGAAAGCTTTCCATATTTCCTTATTAATTATAATATTTTTGTAAGATTTTATGATTATCTTTCACCAGATTAAATACATTTCATTGTTGTTTGCATATTAAAAAATATATTCTGCATCTGTTGAGATGAGATTTTCTTCCATATTGTTAATATAGTGAATTACAATAATTGATTTTGTGATATTAAAATAATATTTTATTATTGAAACACAATTTGTTTTTAATTTACTGTACTTTTTAAAATTAAGATATAATTCATACACCATAATATTTGTCCTTAACAAGGATGCAACTCAGTGATTAGTATATTCAGAAGGTTATGGTATAATCACTGCAAATTCCAGAATAATTTCATCACTGAACAACAACAAAAAAATCCTGTGTCTCTTATTAGCCAGTCCTTGTTTGCTCTTCTCTCTAGCCCCTGGCAATCACTGATCTACCTTCTGTCTCTATAGATTTGCTTTTTCTGGGCATTTCATATAAGTAGAATTATAGAATATGTGACATTTTGTGTCTGGCATTTTTCACTTAATGTTTTCATGATTCATACATGTATCATGTATCAGTAGTTCATTCCTTTTATGGCTAAATTATATTCCATTGTATGGATATACCACTTTTTGATTATCCATTCATCAATTGATGGACATTTGCACTGTCTTTATGGCCATTACAAATAATGTTGCTATAAACATTTGTGTCCAGGTTCTTTGTAGACATGTTTTTCATTCTTTGGGAGATATTCCTAAGGAGTAGAATTGTCCAGTCATTTGATAACACTGTTTAACTTTTTTTTCTTTTCTTTCTTTCTTTTTCTTTTTTTTTCTGAGACAGAGTCTCACTCTGTCGCCCAGGCTGGAGTGCAGTGGCATGGTCTCAGCTCACTGCAACCTCCGCCTCCTAGGTTCGAGCAATTCTCCTGCCTCAGCCTCATAAGTAGCTGGAATTACAGGTGCCTGCCACCACGCCCGGGTAATTTTTGTATTTTTAGTAGAGATGGGTTTTCACTGTGTTGGCCAGGCTGGACTCAAACTCCTGACCTCAGGTGATCCTCCCGCCTTGGCCTCCCAAAGTGCAACTGCAAAATTGTTCCTACCATGGCTGCATCGTTTTGCGTTCCCACCAGCGATTTATGTGGGATTGTTTCCACATTCTCAAACATACTTGTTATTTTCTTTTTGATCATAGTATGAAATGGTATCTCCTGGTGGTTTTGATTTGCATTTCTCAAATGACCAATAATGTTGAGTATCTTTTCATGTGCTTCTTGCCTATTGTGTATCTTTTTTGGAGAATTTTCTACTCAAATCATTTCTCCATTTTAAAAATAGGTTATATGTTTTTTTATTATTGAGTTGTAAGATACATATTCTGAATACAAGTCTTTTAGAAGATGTATGATTTGCAAAATTGTTCTCCCATTCTGTAGGTTGTCTTTTCCCTTCCTTGGCTTTTTCTTTTAAAGAAAAAATTTAGTTTTAATTAAGCATAATATAGCCCCCTTTTTTTTCTTTTGTTGCTTGTAATTTGGTGCTATATCTAAGAAACTATTGTTTAATCTAAGGTCATGAAGATTTTGCTTATGTTTTCTTCTATGAGTTTTTTACTTCTAGGTCTTACATTTAGGTTTTGATCAACTTTGTGTGTAAGGTAAGGTCAGAATCCAACTTCGTTTGTTTGCATGCATATGTACAGTTGTCCCAACACTATTTGTTGACAAGACTACTATTTCCCCTTTGAATTTTCTTGGCATCCTTTTAAAAATCAATTGCTCATAAATATAAGGTTTATTGATTAATGCTCAATATTATTTCATTAAATTTATATGTCTATCTTTATGCTAATGCAACACCGAATTAATATAGTTTGGTAGAAAATTTTCTGTTTCAAGACTATTTAGACTGTTCTGGGTGCTTTGCTATAGTAGTTTCCTGTTCCTGATGTAACATCTTACTACAAAGTTATGCCTAAAAAATCACAGCTTTATCATCTTAATGTGTGCACGTGTGCGTGCGTGTGTGGATTCCTTAGGATTTCCTGTATGCATAAATATTTCTCCATATATATCTATATACAAATTCTTTATACCTCATGGCATCTCCATATAGAGATAGTTATATTTCTTTCTTTTTAATCTTCACCCCAGGCTACTATCCAATTGAATAAAAGGTGGTGCTACTATTGAACATGCCATAGAATATTAACTTTGTAAACTGACTTGAAGTCTCCCTGGGTGAATGCTAACCCTCTCATATGTAATAATGGCTTCATTTACAAAATGTATAACATGATGACTACCAAATTATTTCTTCAGCCTTCACTTTTATCCAGAACTGCCAAATCTGAATCTAATTCCCATTTAGGATTGCCACAGGTATGTTCAAAATAGTACTTTCTTTTTCTCATAAGATTCTGCCTTATGTCTTGAATTTATACTCTAGGTAAATGTTGTAAGCAGAATAAAAACCCCCAAAGATGCTCACACTTTAATCCTTGAGACCTGAATATGCTGTATTACCTGACAAAAGAGACTTTGCAGTTAGAATTATGAATATTAAAATGAGGACCGTATATGAGTCCAATCTAATCACTATGAGCCCTTAAAAGCTGAGACCATGTGTAGTTGATTTCTGAGAGACGGGGCAGGAGGGAAAGGCAGAGATATTTGAAATGTTCGTGCTGCTGGAAAGGCCCATGAAAAAAGCATAAGGAACAGGGACAGTCTAGGAGGAAAGGCTGGTCCCAGCTGACGGCCAGCAAGGAAATGGGGACTGCAATAATACCTACTCAAGGAACTAAGTGTGGCTAACAATCTGAACAAACGTGGAAGCAGACCTTTCCTCAGATCCTCCAATAAAAAATGCAAGAGTGTGGCTGGGCGCGGGGGCTCACGCCTGTAATCCCAGCACTTTGGAAGGCCGAGGCGGGCAGATCACGAAGTCAGGAGATCAAGACCATCCTGGCTAACACGGTGAAACCCCGTCTCTACTAAGAAAAATACGAAAAAATTAGCCAGGCATGGTGGCGGGCGCCCGTAGTCCCAGCTACTCTGGAGGCTGAGGCAGGAGAATGGCGTGAACCCGGAAGGCGGAGCTTGCAGTGAGCCGAGATCGCGCCACTGCCCTCCAGCCTGGGCGACAGGGCAAGACTCCGCCTCAAAACAAACAAACAAAATGCAAGAGTGATGGAGTCAGTGCATTACTACCTGAATACAACACACTTTTCAAGCTACATAAACTTCATGCTTTCCTCGTTTTATAAAAGTCATCTCCTCTGCCTTGAAAACTCTCCCCATTGTTATTAATCTGCCTGAAAATTTATCTTCATCCTCAAGTGTCTACTCAAATGGTCTATTAAATGAGTTCTTCCCAGATGATCCCAGATAATGAGTACCACTTTTTAAAATTAGATTTCTAGATACTTTCATTATTGTAATCCACTTTTATAGGAAATTTTTGTTGTTGTGTATCTCCTTACTAAACGAACATTTTTTTGTTTTTGAATCTGCATCAATTGTTGAACACATATAGAATATATTAAATACATACAAGCTAATGAAGTAACACATGAATGCATCTCAGACCACTTATCCTAAAACAACCATTTTTTTCTTTCATTCTGTCAAATACTTTTTCTCTAATATCCTATACTTTTGTTACTATTCATGGATTTTATCTATTTATAGTTATTTTCTTACTGATATGCAATTATTTTCTATGTATAGTGTATCACATATCTGGCAAAATTTTGTTTGGTTTGCATAATATCTTTTTATTTTATTGTGAATGACATTATAGAACTTTACAGATGAAATAAAATCTGTCGGCCGGCTGCGGTGGCTCGTGCCTGTAATCCCAGCACTTTGAGAGGCAGAGGCGGGCAGATGACGAAGTCAGATCAAGACCATCCTAGGCCAACATGGTGAAACCCTGTCTCTATTAAAAATACAAAAATTAGACGGGCGTAGTGGTGCGTGCCTGTAGTCCCAGCTACTTAGGAGGCTGAGGCAGGAGAATTGCTTGAACCCGGGAGGCGGAGGCTGCAGTGAGCCGAGATCGCGCCACTACACTCCAGCTTGGGCTACAGAGGGAGCCTCTGGAAAAAAAAAAAATCTGGCTAGGCGCGGTGGCTCACGCCTGTAATCCCAGCAATTTTGGAGGCCGACGCGGGCGGATCACGAGGTCAGGAGATTGAGACCATCCTGGGTAACACTGTGAAATCCCATCTCTACTAAAAAAATACAAAAAATCAGCCGGTGGGCACCTGTAGTACCAGCCAGTCCGGAGGCTGAGGCAGAAGAATGAGGTGAACCCGGGAGGCGGAGCTTACAGTGAGCATAGATAGCACCTCTGCACCCCAGCCTGGGCGACAGAGCGAAGACTCCGTTTCAAAAAAAAAAAAAAAAGGCATTTATATGTCCATTCTTCCACTTATGCAGCCCTACTTAATTATTGTCATTACAAAATGATGCTTATCCTTCTGCTAAATTTCTCTGAGTATTTCTAATATTTATGCTTACAGATAAAATTGAATTATTTTTAATCAAAGTCCAAAAATACATCATTAAATTTATTTTTTCAAAAGAAAAGACAAAAAATTTTTTAATTTATCCAATGCTCCTTTTAAATCCCTAATGGAAAAATACATTTTATTCATTCATTATATATAATGAATTCATTTTATTGAATAAAATGATTTTATTAATGAATAAAATGTATATATAAATATATTTATATTTATTTTTAATGAATTTTTGGCTAATTTTTTGCTAATTTTATTTTTATTATTATTATTATTTTTGAGACGGGCTCTCTCTCTGTGCCCAGGCTAGAGTGCAGTGGTGCAATCTCGGCTCACTGCAACCTCTGTCTCCTGGGTTCGAGCGAGTCTTCTGCCTCAGTTTCCCAAGTAGCTGGGACTACAGGCATTTGCCACCATGCCCAGCTAATTTTTGTATTTTTAGTAGTGAGGGGGTTTCACCATATTGGCCAGGCTGGTCTTGAACTCCTGACCTTGTGATCCACCCATTTCAGCCTCCCAAAGTGCTGAGATTACAGGCGTGAGCCACCATGCCCGGCCACTAATTTTTTTTTTTTTTTTTGAGACAGAGTCTCCCCCTGTTGCCCAGACTGTGGTGATGTCATTGCAACCCCCACCTCCCACGCTCAAGTGATTCTTGTGCCTCAGCCTCCCGAGTAGTTGGGATTACAGGCATGTGCCACCACAGCCGACTAATTTTTTTTATTTTGCAGTAGACAGGGTTTCTCTATGTTGGCCAGGCTGGTCTTGAATTCCTGGCCTCAAGCGATCTGCCCACCTCGGCCTCCCAAAGTGCTGGGATTACAGGCATGAACCACCATGCCCAACCAAGAGTTAATGTTTCTTTTAAAATAAATCAAAAGAGCAAAACTTATCTGACAGCAATTGACAAAAGAAAACAGCAGTCTACTATTAAACATAATAAAATTTAAGGCAAAATTATTTTATTTGGGATTTTGGATTTCCTTGTGTTTTCTCATCTTACTTAAACCTGCTTCCTTTCTATGCCTGCACTTCTCACCATCACTTTTCCCACCACAAGCTTACTGCTCCAGTTTTTTAAAAAGTCATGGCTCTTCTGTCTTTTTTAGTGTAAAAAGGGGAAATTTTCTAATTTTCAGTTTCTTGTGTTACATTCTTTTCATAAGTACATTCTTTTTGAATCCTAAATATTTCGTTGTTAGATGATTGTTCAAAATCAGTTTGCTCATTCATGACTATAGAAAGATGTAGATTTAAGCCCTGGTTTTTGCAACAGAAAAGCCAGATGGCCCACAGCTTATCCCAGTTTCTACTTGAACACAATAAGCTTTCTTTTTCTCTCAACTTTATCCAGGAAGAACCATTTTATATACAGATTTCTGATCCAGTCTCCAGGGTTTCCAAGGCATTAATCAAGCATGGCTTTACTGGACAAATGTAGGGCCTTCTGTGTCTTTAATACTGGACTTTCTATGCCAGACAGTATCTTTGTTCTAGTTCTTCTTTGCACTGTTCATATCTCACTGGTTTAGATATAATTGCCTGCTGCAGCGTGATGACTTCCCTCCGTGAATCTTCCTCAGTTTCATTATTGATGGTATACCATGTACATGAGACAAAGATTTCTTTACTCTTCTTGAGGTCTCTCTATGCTGTTTGGTTCAGATAATATGGAGTTACCCATTGTAAACTCATTTACAGTGAAGTCAGTTGTAGCACTGATCTAGTTTGGCTGTGTCCCCACCCTAATCGCATCTTGAATTGTAGTTACCATAATCCCCATGTGTCGTGGGAGGGACCCAGTGGGAGGTAACTGAATCATGGGGGCTGTTACCCCCATGCTGCTGCTCTCGTGATAGTGAGTTCTCGTGAGATCTGATGGTTTTATATGGGTCTTTTCTCTCTTTGCTCTGTATTTCTCCTTCTGCCATCATGTGAAGAAGGATGTTGTTTGCTTCCCCTTCTGTTCCCCTTTTTTCCTTTATTGATTCGAGTGTCATTCAGTTCAACATAAATTTTGTGAACAGCTGGTGTATGGTCAGCCCAAGGCTAAAACATTGTAAATGAATACATGGAGGACAGAAGTTTTGTGAACAGTGGGAGCAGAAGGCAAATCGCTGTAGACAGAGGAGAGAGCAAGAATGGACAACTTGCAAGAAGTTGAGCTATGTAGACAATGGGGTAAGAAAGCCAGGGGTGTTAGAGGAAGAGAAGTGCAAGTTGGATACCATAGCTTATAATGAGAATAGGAATTGGTAAAAATGTCAAGACAGGAGAAATCATATATGTTTAGAGGTTTAGTAGAGGAGCCATTTGACTTCTCTGTTCTTTTTGAGAAAGACGTGAATTGACAGAGATATAGGGAAAGTGTATTTGAAGTACAAGCAACAGCATGTATCTGGAAAACCAAAACACGGAGGGCATAAGTATGGGGGAACTGTGAATATTCCAACTTTGGCCACAACATTGGGTAGATACCATAGTTGCCCAGTAATGAAAACTTGTCTGAAAATGTATGTTTATGTCACACTGAGATAAAGAAGTATGTAATTAATTGGTTTATTTTAATCCCAATTATTGATTTTCCTGAATTATTGAGTATCATGAGACAATGGCCCATCTTAAGAAGTTCTAAGGAAGGTAGACTAATATGCAGGAAGGTATTTGTAACCCTCGAAACCCATTGGAGACACCTCACTAATGTATGGTAACCAGAATAATAGGAGGGTAGGAACTACGCCAATAATCAAAGTGATCCCTCCGCACGCCACTACCTAACTTCTTCAGCTTTGCTTAAACTTTGTCATCTGCTTGTGTGGCAGCAACTTCCTCCTAATAGTGTATGTTTACACTGAGTATTGGCACATAGTTTCTGCATCGTATAGAATTAAATTTCCTGTTTATTTTTAATTTTTGCTTTGTATTGTATTGTACTTTGGTTCACTTGTTTGTGTTTAGTCCAGATCATGATTCTAACCGGTTATAAAAATTTTGTGCATATGCTTCTTTTGAAATTTGTTTCTTGTTTGTATATCCACAGAATCCTTGAAAGATTCCTTTACCCAATGCCAAAAGAAATCCACTTAATACATTCCGCTGAGGCCTTTATATTAGTACACGTTAACTTTAAGTTGGAATATGCCACCGTGTGACATACTTTATGTGACAAGAAAAATGTTCTTAGAAAAGATTCTCATCTCAAGCAAGCTTTATACTGGAGACATTGTTTGCAATATCAGACTTCACTATTTTCAGCTCACAGTTTACTAAAGAGGATAATTGGAGAGGCATTCTAACATTAGTGGAGAAAAAGGCACTTGATGTTCATGACACTTGATAACAGAACCTCTGTATTTCTTAGTCTCTAGCACCATTTCATAGAATGAACTAAGTTATCAGAGGAGAGGAGATACACATTCAACCCAATTCTAAAAATTTAATATAATCAATATTTACTTATAAGGTACATTAATTATATTAATACATGGCAAGTCTCAAGATAAATTCTGAATAAAAATTTTTCAGTTAAATGTTGCAAATAATTTTTATCATTAAATTTTAAATACACAGATTATCTGTGTAACATATTAAAATGTATGTCATATAATGACAAAGGATTTCTCTATTGGAACATCTTTTATTTCACTGGCTTATTATTATTTCTGGTTGGTAAGTTTAAAAGACTACAATCTTTAATTTTATTTAGTTAAATGATTTGTTGTATTTTAAAATCAGTAGATAGTATATGTATCATCTTAGTCTTAATTTATAAATATATGACATTTCAATAAAATTCTTGAAGCCAATCAATAAAATTGATTAAGCTTTAAATTCTAGGCTGAGTCTAATTGATTATATTTCTTTATGATTCTTTAAGGGGAAAGCAGACACTTTCGTTTCAAGATGCCAATTTTCTTTTCCTCTTTTTTTTTTTTTTTGAGACAGAATCTCGCTCTGTTGCCCAGGCTGAAGTGCAGTAGCACGATCTCCGCTCACTGCAAGCTCCGCCTCCTGGGTTCACGCCATTCTCCTGCCTCAGCCTCCCTAGTAGCTGGGACTACAGGCACCCACCGCCACGCCTGGCTCATTTTTTGTATTTTTAGTAGAGACGGGGTTTCAACGTGTTAGCCAGGAATGGTCTTGATCTCCTGATCTCGTGATCCGCCTGCCTCGGCCTCCCAGAGTGCTGGGATTACAGGCATGAGCCACTGTGCCCGGCCTCAAGATGCCAGTTTTCTAAAGTGAGAAAAATTAATTTTAAAAATTAAATTGTATGTTCAATATCTGTGTGAGATCAGGTAAACCATGTGTCTTAGAGAGGGAAAGGTTTGAAAGTATAATTTTTATAGTTTCTTATTTATCTATATTTTCCTATATGATTGTTGTTGAAATATCTTAAATTTATTTCACATTAAAATTGTCAAATATCTGAATTCATGAGCCACCTGTTGAAGACCACTGAAAGAATATAAATAAATAAAATTGGTAGCTCATTGTTTTTCAATAACTTGTGAAGACTAAGCTCTGATTTTTTTATTTTGCCCAAATTCTTATCTAAGGGGTCTGGGGAGTCATCCCCTACTAACCATAAATTCTCATCAGATGGATTTTATTTAACCCTATATATCATGGCTTACTTTGCAATCTGACTCTGGCATAACATTATGTGACAAAGAAGAAAGTAAAAAAAATTTTACCCCAAAAGCAAGTTTCTTTGTCATATTTTGAAATGGTCCTGCAAAGCTGCCCTTTGTTGGGGGACATATGCATCTGTAAAGAATCTCTATTGACATAACTAGATCTTTTTCTTCCAAGCCCTCCCAATCCTGAAGAAATTAGTAGAAGTCTAGCACCTTTTAAGGTCTGAATAGGAAATATTTGTCATCTATTATCTCTAAGGGCAGCCACTATAAGACTTCAGAAGAACCTTGGTATCCACAATCTTTTAGCTTAACCTGGACATATCCTTTCCTTTGATCCCAGGTTTTTAGACAAACTCAACCAATTATCAATTGGAAAATGTTTAAATTTACCTATAGCCTGAAAGCACCCCCCACCCCTGCTTTGAATTGTCCCGCCTTTCTGAACCAAACCAATGTGTTTCTTAAATGTATTTGATTGATGTCTCATGTCTCCCTAAAATGTATAAAACTGACCTGCACCCTGACCACCTTGGGCACGTGTTCTCAGGATCTCCTTAGGGCTGTGTCATGTGCCATGGTCACTCATATTTGGCTCAGAATAAGTCTCTTAAAATATTTTACCGAGTTTGACTCTTCATCGACACTTGTTTTATTGAATGAACTGGATTTCCATTGTTAATATTACCCTAATGTAAAGAGCAGTGAAGTAACAGACTTTTTGTCAGCCTTTTACTTACAGAATAGATGACCCCATGATCTGAGCCCTAATTCCTAACAGGGGATGCTTTGGAATGAACAAATCAAGAGGTACCTTGAACTGGAGATTGGTCCTGCTTCATGGTAGCATTTTCCCAGAAAACATGTCTCCATAATAAAAAAGAGTGACTGAATAGCAGATGAAGATATCCAGTTATAAAGCCAAGAGATAAGCCACCCATTCCAGAATTGCTACTTCCTCCTTTATCTGCAATGATCAAGTGGCAACTGTGACAGTGTCAACAGGTTGTACAGTGCACAAAAGGGAGGTTCTGGCTGAGAACGGAAAGTCTGCAAATGATAAGAGAGCAAAAGGAAGAAGTCCTAAACTGAGGAGAAACTGTCCTTTAGGGACAGGAAAAGGAAAATGAGCAAGAAGAATAAAAGATTTTAAAAAGAAATGAAGCTGGAAATCTATCATCATAGCCTAATCCCTAAATACCCCGCAGATGTTAGAAGAATGCCAAGCATTCCTGAAGTTGATAGACACAGATATAGATAGGTAGGTAGATACATAGAGATAGATTAATAGATAGGCAGATACATACATACATACATGCATACATAGGTAGCTACATAGACACATAGATGTATTGAATTGTACACATACACATGTGTATATAACATATATACCTATGTATGAGAGAGACAAGTGAGATATTAAATTATAATTAGCTAAAGACCATTTACAATACCCTATGCAAAGAGAAATATCTGAAGTGTTTTTGGATAATTAATTCCACATTCTTTAGCAACTCATCCAATTTCCCACTGGCAGAGATTCAGGGCAAAGACATTTCAAGCCATTTTACAATGAGTCTCAAAAAGCAGTAAAATACCTTTATTCTGAGCACCATTTTAAACTTTTTAGCAAGTTGATGCTACTGCGACTCTTATTCCTGTCACCAGAGAAGCAATTCAGAAGAATTGTTAATATTTCAGAAGTTGCTTAAACTTCCTGTAAAGTGATAGGCCTGACCTCCTGGGGTTAATGTGAGCATCATAACAGTTAATACACGTAAATGCTTGACATACGATAAATGCTATGTAAGTGTTAGCCATGATTAGTATTTTCATCACTCAAAAATGCCTCTTTTCTGTCTCACACCATATTTCCCTAAAGTGCTCTGCCATTTCTTTATCTTTAACCATACTTCCCACTCTTGCTCCAATATTTCTCTCTTTTATATTTTTATTCCTTCATATACTGCTTCCAATACCTTCCTACTCAAACAGAAAGCTGCCTCTGTCCTTTAAGAATACCTACTAGTAGTACCTGGAAAGATTATTTTTCAGACACTTACCGTAAGGTGGGGTGGGGTTAGCATTCACCTTTTTTCATGCTGCCATTTTTAAAACTACACTATCTCAGTCTCCTTATGTTCAGGATAACACCATTCATAATCTACCCCTTCTTCACTGGGCCTCATGCCATCATGTCCACATTTTTGAAATACACAAACACCTGTCATTTTCCTTGAGACCTCAGAGCCCTGTGCAGGTGTCATCCAGTTACCCAGCCTCACTCTTTCGTAACTGGTGCGTCAATGACTACCATCATCATTTATGTATTTCTCACCTTAATTAATGGGGAGGGGCCGGGTGCGGTGACTCATGCCTGTAATCCCAGCACTCTGGGAGGCCAAGGCGGGCGGATCACGAGGTCAGGAGATCGAGACCATCCTGGCTTACACGGTGAAACCCTGTCTCTACTAAAAATACAAAAAATTAGCCGGGCGTGGTGGCAGGAGCCTGTAGTCCCAGCTACTCAGGAGACTGAGGCAGGACAAAGGCGTGAACCCAGGTGGTGGAGCTTGCAGTGAGCCAGGGTGGTGCCACTGCACTCCAGCCTGGGCAACAGAGCAAGACTCTGTCTCAAAAAAAAAAAAAAAAATTAAGGGGGAGCTTGCCTGAAGGAAATCATTTCCTAGTACTGAATTATGACATAAGTGCCTTTGCTGAGACATTTTATATATATGGGCCATTGAATTATGATACTCTTCAACAATATTTTTGTATTAGGCAACAAAATGGATTTCATATGACTATTTGTTGTATTGTTCTTTTGTTAAAAGGAGTAGGTCATGGCCCCAAAACTTAATTCAAGGAAAGAAACTCTGTTGGAAACTAAGGCAATATAGTTCAACTTTGTAGCCTCCTGGTGATCTGATTTGACCGAGGCTAAAATTTATAATACCCAGAGGAGTGACAGCCTTCAAATGATTTTCTGTAAGTATTAAAGTTGAGGTGTTTATTAAATGTCCACTTCTGTTTGGTAACACTTTAAGATTTTCTAGTTATTTTGAAGACTCATAAAATTCTAAAAAAAAAAAAAATCCTTAGTAAAAAATAGTTTCCTCAAAATAAATACATTGCTCACAATTTTAATGACTCATCATTAAAGCTAACAAGGAAAGGGGTATTATCTGTCTTAAACTATTTGTAACTGATAAATAAGAGGTTAAATTTTTCCCTACAGAGTTTTACTATTGAGCCATTATTCAATTATGAGAAAGAGTAAACTGAAATATTTGCCAAGTACTTATGATATGACAGATATAGTGCCAGGTTGTTTTACATATTGTATATCACTAAATGTCAGAATTAAACTTCTGAAAATCAAAGCTGGCTAAAAGTGGGTATTTAACTTCTGTGGACTTGTTGAAACCCAATACAGAGATGTGTCTACTTGGGATCATGAAATCAAATATTCAGAAGAAATATATTTTTCATGCATATTCTGAAATCAGTGGCTGAAACCACAAGAAATAAGTGAACAGAGCTTATAAATATTGATTTATTGAGTTTATTCCCTTAGGTTCATATCATGGAGATGCTTAAAATACTTAAGCTAGAGTTATATTTAAAGTACTGCTATGTACGGATGTAATACAACTTATTTTACAGAGCTTCCCTTTGGGGGGCAAGAATTATTAACGTATGTGGTTATCCTGAGCTCCCTCTTTCTGTTTGCTAATGGGGATTCTGGCTTTGTCTGCTCAATTTCTTCCCCATTGCTCTTCTCTGAAAAGGCACTGCTGGTGGCTGACAGTGATATTCTCTTTCGTTATCTCCACATCAGTACAATGATAAGAGGAAACTGGAACAAAAAGGCAGGAGGGGTGGTAGGTAAAGATTGAGAACATGCATTTGAGTAAGGCCTAGGTGAGCTTTCTTCCAGAAAAGAAAAAATAAATACATAGTCAGGAGGCAATGACAAATTTTAACCAGAAGGATTTAAAGAAAGAGAGATATGGATAAAACGATATAAAGATGTGTGCGTTATATTTTATGTCTTATTCAGATATTACCAAAATACAAATACACTCGAGGTATTTTTACATTATGTTTCATTATAATAGAATGATTTATATTCCTATGAGTATATACCCAGGAATGAGATTGCTGGGTGAAATGGCAATTCTGGTTCTAGGTCTTTTAGGAATTGCCACACTGTCTTCCACAATGGTTGAACTAATTTACATTCCCACCAACAGTGTAAAAGCATTCCTATCGCGTCTGTTTTTTGCTTCACTATTCACAATAGCACAGACATGGAATCAACCCAAATGCCCATCAATGATAGACTAGAAAAAGAAAATGTGGTACCTATACACCATGGAATACTATGCGGTCATAGAAAGGAACAAGATCATGTCCTTTGCAGGGACATAGATGGAGCTGGAAGCCACTGTCCTTAGCAAACTAACACAGGAACAGAAAACCAAACACCGCATGTTCTCACTTCTAAGTGGAAGCTGAATAATGAGAACACAAGCACACAGGGAGGGGAACAAAACACACTGGGACCTACTGGGGGGTTGGGGGGAAGGAGAGCATCAGGATAAATAGCTAGTGCATGGGGGCCTTAAAACCTAGGTGATAGGTTGATAGGGGTAGCAAACCACCATGACACACGTTTACCTATGTAACAAACCTGCACGTCCTGCACATGTATCCCAGAACTTAAAATTTAAAAAAAAAAAAATTACATTTCACCTTTTTTAAAACAGAGTGTTGTCATGCTATATCATGTGGATCCCATCATTATAGGCATTATGTACTCTAATAAGATGGCAAGAGAAAAAATGTTTAAGCTGTTCAGGCTGGAGGTAAAATGGAAGAGTTGAGGCTGGCCTTGGCTGACAGTCAGTTGAGTCTGGACTCTGGCCCTACCTGGCCATGTCTATGGATAAGTTTCTGAACTTCTTTTCTTCAAAATATAACCAGGCTAAGAGCAGCCTGATGGGAGTCCGACTGAGCAGGGTTTGAATCCCAGCTTTGCCATTTAGCATGATGAGATGTGAGTTAAGTTACTTAATTCAAGCCCCACGTCCTCATCTTTAAATGCAGACAACAGTATCTACCTTCAGGTTGTTGTCAGGATTAATATAATTTATGTAAAGTATTTTACCCAACATTTGGCATATATTTGTATACAGTAATTGGCGTATCTTTGGTATAAAATAAATGTTACAAAACATGAGTATTTTCCTTGTTATTGGTGTGGTACCTTGCATTTTCAAGTTGTCTTAGTCCATTCACATTACTATAAAAAAACACCTTAGACAGGATAATTTAGACAACTATAAAACAGAAATTTATTGCTCACAGTTCTGGAGGGTGGGAGTTTAAGACTGAAGTGTCAGCAGATTTGGTGTCTGGCGAGAGCTTGCTCTCTACTTCATAGATGGTGACTTCTGTGCTTCCTTACTTGGTGGAAGGGGCTAGGGAGATTTTGGAGGCCTCTTTTATAAAGGCACCAATCCCATTCATGAGGGCTCTGCCAGTCACATTCTAAAGCCTTCATCTCTTAATACTATTGCATTGGAGATTAAGTTTCAACACATGAATTTTAGAGACACAAACATTTAGACCATAGCACAAGTCGACATGTTTCTCTTTTGTTTAGATTTGCTGAGAGAGAGAAATGGAGAGACAGATTGAGATTCAGTAAAGGGTAAAGTTACTGAAGTTGTAAAAGTATATTCAAGAGCATTATATGGGAAATGTATAGGGCATTGCAGCAAATAAAATATAATATGGATACTGTGAATGATTTCTAAAAATTCAAGTTTACAAAATACATATTTTGAAGACTTGAACTGTTTGAAACATTTAATCCTTGTAGATCATGAGTGGAAGAACAGATTCTCTAAGTAGTGAAGAGAAATAGAGCAGTGGTCCCCAACCTTTTTGGCATCAAGGACTGGTTTTGTGGAAGACAATTTTTTTCACAGACATGGTGGTGGTGGGGATGGTTTCAGAATGATTCAAGCCCATTACATTTATTGTGCACTTTATTTCTATTATTATTACTTTGTAACATATAATGAAATAGTTATACGACTGACCATAATGTAGAATCCCTGGGAGCCCTGAGCTTGTTTTCCTGCAACTAGATGTTCCCACCTGGGGGCAATGGGAGACAGTGACAGATCATCGGTCATTAGATTCTCATAAGGAGCACACAACCTAGATCCCTTGCATGCTTAGTTCACAATAGGGTTCATGCTCCTATGAGAATCTAATGCTGCTGCTGATCTGACAGGAGGAGGAGCTCAGGGGGTAACACGAGCCATGAGGAGCAGCTGTAAATACAGATGAAGCTTCGCTCACTCAGCCGCCACTCACCGCCTGCTGTGGAGCCCAGTTCCTAACAGCTATGGACTAGTATGGGTTTGGAGAGCCCTGAAATAGAGGATATCCAGCAAGCCTTTTAAAAGAGTGAATTATTCCATTCCAACCTCTGGAATATAAAAGATAAATAGTCTCTCAGGAATTCACACTGTGTGGCCTTTTGCATTAAAGCAATCACCTAAGTTATCTGGAGCTTCATGTACATGGGTCAGATGTTGCTGGCATTGTCCTAACTCTGCATGGCTGCTCTCAAATCAGTCCTTCATCACCTCCATGAGATTCATGCCGTGAGACCCTAATTTCCTTCATTTTTTCAAAGATGTCTATCTTCCAGGAGGACACATCTGCATTTTTAAGGAAAACTCTGGCTACAGGCCATCAGATGATTTTCCCCTTGCCAACACTCTGGGTAACGTTAGCGCATTTGTGCAAAATACATTCAACACCCTGGCCTTACACCTTTTGATCTCCTTATCTTCAATAACATGTATTTCTACTCTAATTTAGGCACCCACATTCATTGCCTCATCAGGAATGATGATATCTTCTGTAGTTATTCACATTGTATTTTTGAATTCCAGTGGCCCTCTCACCTTTGACTTCAATACCTGATTCTTTTAGTTCTTTAAAATTTTTATTTTCTCTTCACACATTATTTGATCTCCTGCAGAACACTATTTTCTTCCACCTTTGCCTCAGTTATTTACCAAATATCTCTCCTTCTTTTTTTATTTTTTTCTTTTGAGATAGAGTCTTGTTCTGTTCCCTAGGCTGGAATGCAGTGGTGCAATCTTGGCTCACTGCAACCTCTGCCTCCCAGGTTCAAGCAATTATCCCGCCTCAGCCTCCCGAGTAGCTGGGATTACAGGCACCTGCCAACACGCCCAGCTAAGTTGTGTATTTTTAGTAGAGACGGGGTTTCACCATGTTGGCCAGGCTGGTCTCGAACTCCTGACCTCAGGTGATCCAACCACCTCGGCCTTCTAAAGTGCTGGTATTACAGGTGTGAGCCACTGCACCCGGCCAACCAAATATCTCTTAAGCACCTCAAGTGCTTTACAACATGGAATGCCAGAATACACCAATTCCAAGCCAAATCTACACAGGAGTGAAAAATTCTGTTTAGATAAATGCAACTATTCAAACACATGCTTTCAAATAACACTTCCTCCTTAGTGCTGAGGGCCATCTTGATACTTTGTTAAAATGATTCAATCAAGAGACAGAATAGAGAGATTGAGGGAGAGTGTGATGCTTTCTTTAATGCCCTGATCCTGAGTTAGATGTATCAGCAGTGTGTCCTGGAGCTTTTTCTAAACCTCCTGTTTCCACATCTACCACCTTCTATCACACTGGATTCTTTACATAGTTTCCACCACGACACTGTAAATGTTAAGGATGTCAAATCAAGATTGAATCTTGGTTTTTCCATTGCCTTTATATTATAGCAAAGTACCTGGTACATAGTTTATAGTTAATAGGTATCATCTAAGTGGATTAGTTACCCTACATTATCTTCCCAAATAAATGCCAATTTCAAATAAATACCAAATTTTGCCAACTCTCTATTCAAACCCACATCTTTCATTTTCAGGAAATGACATATTCTCTTTAATGAAAATAAGGACATAAAGTATCACCTACCATTATGTAGCCAGTCCCACCCTCCTATAAACTTACCTATAATTGGGTGATGAGTGATCCTTCCTCTTAATTAATGTAATTTTTCACTTGTAGAATTGATCTAGCTCATGCCTTCCATTATATCTTGTATCTTTCCCCATTTGTTATTGTGTCTCATATCTCTGCCTTCAGCCCTTCCCACTTCTCTATCTCTTATTTTGCCTGTAAACATGATTGAGGCAAAATGATTGAGGTAGAATGACATAACCAAAAAGAGGGTAATTTCAGAATTTCATTCCAATGTGAGAGAGCTCCAGTGGGCCCTTTTATCTTCTAAAATCACCCTCTTTTTTGTTATGCTATTCTCTAGCTTCCAACTACATTTTTTTTTAAAGAGGTGGGGTCTCGCTACATTGACCAGGCTGGTCTTGAAATCCTGACCTCAAGTGATCCTCCCATCTTAGCCTCCCCAAGTGCTGGGATTACAGGCGTGATCCATCACAGCCAGGCCCCAACTACTATCTTGCTGACCCTTTTCTAATTCTCTTCTTTTGAAAGGAGTTTTCAATTTGCTACTTTACTTCCTAATATCCCATTCATGCATCAACCCAATGTAGAGTAGCTTCTATTCTAATTACTCTACCAAAGCTGTTCTTCCATACCGTTCACTCCTTTCACTCAAAGTACCCCATATTTTTGAAGAATGGTATCATTCATGATACAATGTTCTCTAGTAAGCAGATTTGGACATGGAGATATATACTAGGGAGTGCCCTTGGATTACTACCTGTGAAAAGGAGAAGAAGGAAGCTGGATTGAGGGAAAGGGAAAAAGCTGGGCTGAAAAGAAGTCCTGGACCACAGCTTTGGCTCATCTCACAGGGGACTTTGAAGATAAAATGGCCCACTGGCATCCTTTCACATTGCAATGACATGACTGAGTCTTTATAGGCCCCAAGTCCCCTCCCCACCTCTTTCACCTGCCTCCTTGCCTCACCTCAATCAGTCGTTGCATATGCGCCACAACTGGGAACCTCAGGACCTTAGGCAGGGGGAAGCTCTGCAGCTGAGGTGACGTCTGAAGGGGCTCACAGCTGAGTCCTGTCTACTGACACAGCTCTCAGGGAGGACCTAGGTGATGCATCTCTGTGTGTATCATATATATGAGTAATGATATTAGAGGTTTTATAATTTAACCTTTTTTCTCCTTTTTATCTTTAATCTTCACTGTATTTCAGTCATGGTCTTCAGGTTTCAAAGTGACCTTTAAGATTCAGCAAAGAATATACAGCTTTTTAAACATGGGGAATAAAACAAGAACAATGTGATAGCATAGTGTAATGGTGCCATAGAAATAAACAATAAAAAAGAATTTAAAGAGAGAACCAGGAGTCAATTTCATAAATGCCACCATTACATTACTTAGGTTAAGCTTTTGAATTTATCTAGAGAAATGTCATTGGCCAAAACATTAACATTTATAGAGGAATGCAAAAGTGCAAAATTAAAGTTCCTAAGAATCAAGTCCAGAAAAATAGAAAATGTGTAAAGGCTATTGTTCTCAGTTTGGCAAATAAAATTAAAAAAATAAGCAAATCCAGAACTGGCTAATTTCAAATAACGTTTCTAGTATTTCCCACACATTTTTTTTACATATTTTAAAATCACTAATACAGCATTACATTTTTAAAAGGCATATTTCAATACCTTACCTTGAAATCATAAGATGCATTTGTTCAATGAAATCTTACAGTAAAACAGCATAAAAAATATAAATTGTACAGTGTGATATAAATGCAAACTATTTGATGTTCAATTTAATCATTTTTTTCAGGAACCTAAATGTTAGTTATTTATTATTACTTTAACGACTTAATATTAATTACAATGAAAAGAATATTGCCTTTGAGATCTTCCATTAATGATTCAGTTCCCAGGCCCTGATTTCTTTATAAACTTCTAAATTCTTAAGAGAGAAATGTACTTGGCTCAAATTTAATCATGTTAGAATACAGGTTCTGTATCAACTTAGTTTTTGTAGACACTATATGATATAAGAAGACAATGTTTAATTTTATGTCAATTTCTTGCATAAACTTGTTCAATTAATTCATTCAATAAATAGTCATTGAGTTCATATCATGTCCCAGGTACTTTTTTTTTTTTTTTTTTTTTGAGATGGAGTCTCACTCTGTCGCCCTGGCTGGAGTGCAGTGGCACGATGTCCGCTCACTGCAAGCTCCGCCTCCCGGGTTCACTCCTTTCTCCGGCCTCAGCCTCCAGAGTAGCTGGGACTACAGGCGCCCGCCACAACGCCCGGCTAATTTTTTTGTTATTTTTAGTAGAGACGGAGTTTCACCGTATTAGCCAGGATGTTTTCGATCTCCTGACCTCATGATCCTCCCTCCTCGGCCTTCCAAAGTGCTAGGATTACGGCGTAAGCCACTGCACCCAGCCATCCCAGGTACTATTAAAAGCACTGTTATTATATGGTGAAAAAGACGGACGGGGTCCCAGTACATACTTTATATGGAACATACTGATGTCTTTTCTAAAACCTCTAGTCTCTGATTTGCCTATATAAAGAGTGACAAGTTTTATTTTTACTTTCTGCAAAAATTCAGTTTCTTGTTGTTTTATCATCATACATACAACTTTTATTCAAATATTCATCTAAGGGCCAGGTGCGGTGATCTCTACTAAAAATACAAAAAATTTTAGCCGGGCGTAGTGGCGGGCGCCAGTAGTCCCAGCTACCCGGGAGGCTGAGGCAGGAGAATGGCGTGAACCCGGGAGGCAGAGCTTGCAGTGAGCGGACATCGTACCACTGCACTCCAGCCTGGGCGAGAAAGCGAGACTCTGTCTCAAAACAAAACAAAACAAAAATTAAAAAGAAAACTCGATATTAGGGATTTCACAGTGCTGTAGACTGAATGATAGTGCCCCCCAAAATTCAGCTGTTGAAATGTAACACCCATATGATGATATTTGCAGGTGGGACCTTAGAGGGAGGGGATTAGATCATGACGGTAGAGCCCTCATGAATGGGATTAGTGCACTTATAAAAGAGTCCCCGGAGAGACTCTTGCCCCTTTCACCAAGTGAGGATGCAGGGAAGAGATGGCAATTCATGAATCAAGAAGCAGGTCCTCACCAACTCTTACGGCACTTTGATCTAGGACTTCCTGCCCTCTAGAACTGTGAACAACAAATTTCTATTGCCTATAATCCACCAATTTATGGTATTTTGTTATAGCTGTTTAAATAGATTAAGACACCTAGGATGGGAAACCCATTAATACTGTAATAGAGAGATGAGCTTTCTCTTCCTCTAACTACTTTTAAAGTCTAAGATAATTAGGAAATGATGTTTTGTGTAGCTATATTTTGATTTAAAATTATCTGCCTCAATTAGTGATGAACTAACTTGATTTTGTGCCTGAGTTTTAATAACTGTGATATTTTGAATCAATGTGAGTTATTTGATCAGTTCAAAATATCCAAAAAAAATTTGTCTGGTTAAGATCATGTGCATCTCCATGATGGGATTAGTGTTCTTATAGGAAGAGAAAGTGAGACCATAGCTCTCTGTCTTTCTCTATTTTGTGCCATGTGAAGACATTGTCAGAAGGCAGGAGCCTGTAGTCTAGGAAGGGGGCTTTCACCAGGGACTGAATCTGCCCGAACCTTGTGGAGGATTTCCCAGCCTCCAAAACTGTGAGAAACAAATGTGTGTTGAAGACACCAGTCTCTGGTATTCTGTTATGGCAGCTTGAGCTGCCTAAGATACAATGATAATATAAAAATATTAACAAGATTAGCCTGGGCACCATAAGAAGACCCCAGCTTTAAAAGTAATACAAATAATAATAATAACAACAAACTAAAACATTTTGAAATTTTAAGTGATAATTTTTCATTAGATACAGAATCACCTACTTAGAAAAATACAGATCCCAGGGCAGGGCGCAGTGGCTCAGCCTGTAATCCCAGCACTCTGGGAGGCCGAGGCGGGCGGAACACGAGGTCAGGAGATCAAGACCATCCTGGCTAACACGGTGAAACCCCGTGTCTACTAAAAATACGAAAAATCAGCAGGGCGTGGTGGCGGGCGCCTGTAGTCCCAGCTACCCGGGAGGCTGAGGCAGGAGAATGGCATGAACCTGAGAGGCGAAGCGTGCAGTTGAGCTGACATCGTGCCACTGCACTCCAGCCTGGGCGACAGAGCGAGACTCCGTCTCAAAAAAAAAGAAAAAGAAAGAAAGAAAGATACAGATCCCAAACTCTATTATACTTAATATTTCTTCTAAAATGTTCATCATTTTGAGGATTAAGATTTCTTAATGCATCTGTACAAACACACATGCATATATTCACACAAATAACTATAGTCATTTTATCAACGTTTTGTTTTGACTTATTTATTTAAAAATATTAAATGTATTTTATAAATGAAGAATGCGTGTATTTATTTATTTATTTATTTATTTTTATTTTTATTTTGAGACGGAGTCTTGCTCTTTCGCCCAGGATGGAGTGCAGTGGCGTGATCTCCGCTCACTGCAGGCTCCGCTTCCGGGGTTCATGCCATTATCTGGCCTCCAAAAGTGCTGGGATTACAGGCGTGAGCCACTGCTCTGGGCCTCATTCAAGTATATTTATATAGGAATGTCTGAAATACTGCCACCTAATGTTTAGCAATTATTTTCATTTCTGAGCAGTAGAATTTGAGTGATTTTTATTACTTTTGATTCTGCAATGTGATGTATTCTTTTTTTCATAATGTCTTTCGTATTTATTAAAAGGTTAATTAAATCATCCTAAGAATATTTTATGCATATTTTTGTTAAAATAGGATGTTTAACAGTCAAAATTCTCCATTTACTAAATCTTTCTCAGTCAATGCTTCAGACTTACCTTTTCTACATTTACTAATAAAAAATTTAATTTCAATGTTATATAATAGAAGAACACAGAGTATCTATTTTAAATTTTACCTCCACAAACATCTTTAACCAGAAAATGAAATAAGCACTTAAAATATCAAATAAAATACTAGTTTTCAGGTCTGTTGCTTTGAAAATATGCTTCCTCGTTGAGCAATATCTGAATTTTTATTACTATACCAGGGTATAGATGAAATATCTAACTAGTATACTTTTAAATTAAAACTGCAAAAAATATATAGAGAATTCAGTAGTGCTTATTCAGCATGTAAAACATTTTGCCTATTACATTCTTCATGTTGATGGTAGCTATGGCTAAAGTTTGTAGATACTTGGTTTCGTTAGCTTTTAGAGTTGCTTAGGTTAAATATGCTATAATATACCAGTCCCTGCTGGCTTTGAACTACTTCGAATTCTTAGAAGTGAAGTAACATAGTACAAACCTATAGAAAATATGATAAATGTACCACGAATGACACAAAATATTTTCTGCAGGTCACATAAGGAGTCATTCTCTATTTTGTCAATTTCCTTAGTTAATTCAAAAGCTCCCGGCCAGGCGCAGTGGCTCAGGCGGGTGCACACCTGCAATCCCAGCACTTTGGAAGGCCAAGGCAGGTGAATCACAGGGTCAGGAGGTCGAGACCATCCTGCCCATCCTGGCTAACACAGTGAAACCCCGTCTCTACTAAAAATACAAAAAATTTGCCAGGCGTGGTGGTGCCCGCCTGTAGTCCCAGCTACTTGGGAGGCTGAGGCAGGAGGATGGTGTGAACCCAGAAGGTGGAGTTTGCAGTGAGCCGAGATCCTGACACTGCACTCCAGCCTGGGCTACAGAGCGAGACTCCGTCTCAAAAAAAAAAAAAAAGTTCCCAATGCATGAATCAATCAAGAATTTCACCCCCAACAGTGAAAAAAAAATGTGAAAGCAGTCAGGTTTTAGTCACTGTAAATCACAATTTCAATTCCACCCCATCCAAAGAAAGCTATGTATGTCCTTCTCATTCCAAATACATACAGGCCATGAGTTAATAATCTTTCATTCTTCTAAAATACCAACAGATTTGCTTTTTTACTTTCATTTGTAGTTTATAGTACTCACAATTAAATTGACCCAAATGTTTTTGAGGTATGTATCTAAATATATATATATACATGGATCAAAGGTCAATGCTATTGTCTATGCATTAGCCACTCCCATTTATGAGAATTTTCTAAACTTGTTGCTTTATATCTCTTAAATGGTGTCAGTTGGCCACATTTATTTCCTGAGAAACAACTGAGCAGCTGACAATGAAAATGAAGCTCTCTGCATTCCTCTTAGGCATACTGCATACATCTTAGGCTCTCTGCATTCCTCTTAGGCATACTGCATACATCTTAGGCTCTCTGGATGCCTCTTAGGCACTTAACGCTTACATGTATTTGTATCTCATTACATAGTGATACAGTCCTAAAATAAAGTAAACAATGAGTTATTTTCTAGACTAATTTGATGAGGCTTTTATTTGATAACAAATTAAAATTATGCCACCAGATGCCTATACTTTGACTTATAAAATGTGTTGTGTTCTGCATGGGCAAACAGAAAGTGCAGAAATTGAACGGCTGCCTGGTAAAATTACCTAAATCCACAATGCCACTGGACAACATTGAACTAGATATTTAAATAAGTGAAAGTAATCAAGTAGTTGAGTTCACTGATAAAATTATACTTGGAATCTTACATCATTCCCAGATTAATATATACAATGTATATCAAATGTCATTGCTATGGGAATGGAAACTGTTACACATGAGGCTAAATTTTTATAAAGAATTTTTTTTTCCTCTAGAACTGACCTTGAGAAACTTGATATCCTCTGTTTATGGCAAGTCTTAAGAAAATGTCAACCCAATGTCAAAGGATAATTAATTTTTTTAAAGAAAAGAAAATTAATGGTTCTCATACAAATGTAAAATGAATATATGTTCATGATTTTATTTAACTGATTAATAAATAAGAGTACCACAGGATGTTCTGACTGGTTCAAAGGAGAATACAAAGAGCAGAGAATATACAGGCAGACATTCATGCTGAAATGAATTTGCTTAATAAAGGCAAAATTAGCCAATATCTATAGGGTGACAGTCAAATATATCTACACTGGATAATTTGTATTTTCATGGACAGGAATTATTTGCAATTTACACAGTTGTGAAATAGGTAAAACAAACAAAAAGTGAAAGGTTCAGAAACCCCATACAATCAGTTAAACTAACATTTAGTTTTCCACTGAAAATAGTAATTTTTTGAGACCATTTCAAAGTTTTTCTTAATTTTTCTCTGCTCTAAAAAAGTCTATAAATTATTTCCAATGAACATTAGAGCTTTTTCTTTGTTGAATTAGTATTTTTAAAAATTTATGGAAGGAGACAGAGCATAAAAGCAGTCGCCAAGTTTATCAATTAAGTCGGTACGATTACAAATCCCAATTGAGAAATATTTTTAAGTATATTTTTCTTTCCAAGACAAATAGACATTAAACAGTCCTAATGTTAATATCCTTTATGTTACATATATATGTATAGATGTATAAGTATATGTATATCCTCATGTATATAAAAAGTTACAAACACATAGTTATTTCAGAGAATTATTTATGCAAATGTGTTGGGTTTTCTTTTTGTGAAGCTATGTTATCAAGAAGTTATTCTTAGTTTTACAGAAAATAAAACAGCTCTAGCTCTTTGTATCATAAGATAAATATCTGTTTATAAATATCAGTATTTTCTAATACTTCTAATGTACTCTTTTGGAGGTAATGGTATATGAAACCCTATAAGAGCAATTCTACTTCATTAATTAATTCGGAAGAAACACAAGTTTTTAAGGCCCAGTGTATACCAACAATTGACAAAGTCATTAAGGTAGACAAAGATGGGCAGAGCCTGGGCTTTGGCTATGAATGTTAGAAAATGAATCACTGAAAGTAAAACATGTTTAAAAGATTAAAATAACAGAAAATGGTTTGAAATTAAATTCAGTTATTGGCCATCAATTGGTCAGAAAGAGTAATTAAGAATTAGTCAAAGCTTTTTTCTCTTCATTTAGGTCAAATATGTCATAAAAATAGTCAATTTTAGCTTATTATAAGTCGATTATGTCAAAATGGTTGAACGACATGTCATTGAAATTAATCTTTAGCTTGTAATGCTATCATTTCAGTTTTAATTAATATTGGGGCCAAAATGTTCATTAGATACTGTTTTTAATGATCAGTTTTTATGCAAATGATTTATATAAGTCAGAACTTCAATTCAGTGTTTGGTAGCTGTTTGATTTTTAGGACATTATATATTGAAATGTACACTGATTATCCTAAAGTTGTAAATATTTAAGAAACTTTTCAGCAAAAAGTCTAAAATAAAGATATATTTATATTATTTCCAAAACAGAAAATTTAAATTGATTCCCTAGTCAAAGAAACTGTTTGTAAATAAAATGTAACAAGCTATATATTGCTTGGCCCCCAGACATTTTAAAGTCACTTTTCCTTTTTATATACATGTTCTAATATTATAAACAGTGAGCTCAGAAATATCCTAGTTTGTCTTTTGTGTATTTTCAGCAGATTGTGCTGTTTCAAATTCTATTATTTTACTCCAATTCTTTTGTTCACATATTGCTGTTTTGCTAGCGTTTTTCATATTTTAAAATACATTACTATATTGTATATAGTAATATTGTGTTTCTATTTCTCTTTCTTCATGTTTTATTTTGTTCCATAACCTTTGGCTTGTCCTTTTTATTCCATATTCCCATTTGTAGGTGTAGTTTTCAAAGGTGCTTTTCTTATTTACACAAACATAAGACTTTTGTGCCGGGCGTGGTGGCTCACGCCTGTAATCCCAGCACTGTGGGAGGCCGAGACGGGCGGATCACGAGATCAGGAGATTGAGACCATCCTAGCTAACACGGTGAAACCCCGTCTCTACTAAAAATACAAAAAAAAAAAAATTAGCCAGGCGTGGTGGCAGGGGCCTGTAGTCCCAGCTACTAGGGAGGCTGATGCAGGAGAATGGCGTGAACCCGGGAGGCGGAGCTTGCAGTGAGCCGAGATCGCGCCATTGCACTCCAACCTGGGCGACAAAGCGAGACTCCGTCTCAAAAAAAACAAAAAAAACAAAAAACTTTTGAACCAGAATATTCTGAATGAGATCAAAGTCAAAGCTCAAACATTTCTTAAAAATGAGGTTTTTCTGAGTTGGGAACCAGAGTCATCTTCTATTGCCTGATGCAATAGGCATTGAGAATAGAACTTGTGACAACTCTCTATGCATTAACAATAGAAAAAATGGGATAAGATAGAGGCAAGGAACATACATTCAGGGAGCAAGAAGAAACACTGAGGAACTAATAGAAATTGTGCTTATCAAAATAAACTTACCAAGGTATGGTACCAATTCTCCTTTTTTTGTTCAGTCCATAATAGAGTTCTTAATGCTTTCAATTTTTTTCTTATTAATAATTTTCCTAAATATATTTTATTTGTTTGTTTGTTTGTTTTTTACATGGTGTCTCGCTTCATCACCGAGGCTGGAGTGCAGTGGCGCGATCTCGGCTTACTGCACCCTCCGCCTTGTGGGTTCAAGCAATTCTCCTGTCTCACCCACCTGAGTAGCTGGGACTACAGGTGCCCGCCACCACACCTGGCTCATTTTCGTATTTTTAGTAGAGACAGTATTTCACCTTGTTGGTCAGGCTGGTCTGAACTCCTGACCTCAGGTGATCCACCCGCTTCGGCCTCCTAAAGTGATGGTATTACTTCTGTGAGCTACTGCGCCTGGCCCTAAATCTATTATTTAAAAATCCACCTGTACAATTGGTATTCACAGAAATCTCCCATATATGTTATTATTTTATTCTCATAACTCTCTATGCCAAGTATAGATACATTATTGATGTGGAAAATTAGATCACAGAGATAAAGTGACTTTCCCAAGGTCAGTGCAGAAAGGGAAAAGTGAAAATTTGAAATTGTACCTGAAGAGTAAGAGCAAAGGGGTTAAGGAGTTATTCATAGATCTTTGTGCCTCAGAGGTCCTTACTGAGAGTTTTAATCCAAATGGTTTGGTAAATTTGGGGCGACAGGTATAACATGGCTTATGTGATGCTTAGAGTGTTTTGGAACCATCAAGATCTTTGCAATGGCATCACAGATAACAACCCCATCATCTTGTAAAACATGGACATGTTGGGAAACAATGTTTTAGTTCAGTCATTGAACTGACCCAAACTTCTGTGTTCATATTGTTATAGACCTCATAATTGTTAAGGTATAAAGAAGCATCAGAAGTTTTGTTTTTGTTTTTAATTACAAAGGAGTTAGGATATTCCTAACATCCAAAGTGAATTAAAATAATTCACTTTGATGTGAGAAAGAGCTTCTTGTCTTAGGGACACTGGTGAGGTGAATTC